>NC_000011.10:62403861-62706892 GCF_000001405.40 Homo sapiens | reverse complement strand
CAAAAGCTAGTCTAGATAATGTGCTGTGGGGACTCTGAGGGAGAGTGTATCCAGTTAGGGTCAGAGGAGGTCCACAATGCTACCACGCTGGGAACAGGGCACTAATCTGCCTGCGCAACAACGCAAGAGGCCCAGGTTGCCGCAAACTGCAACATGCTCTAGGCGAATGCCCCCGCCTTAGATGCCTACAGGTCCTAGGAGCTGTGGGCGATAAAAATCAGCGCCAGCTGGATGACCGCCTCACTCGGCCGCTTCGCGGGTGAAATGGCCTGTGGTGAAGGTGTGCACGGAGGGCTGTGATTGCAGTCTCAAGGGAGAGCCGAGCGGAGGCTGCAGTCAGCGCATCCCCTGGGGCACATCTTGGGGCCTGCAGGGAGGCAGGCGTCTTTCCCCTTTGGTCACGGTAACCGGAGGGAAACCTGCCGCAGAGAGAGCCAGTGGCGAGCGCAAGGAGACAGCGACCTCGCAGCTCGGGAAGGCTCCGCCCCGTCCCGCCCCGCCCCGCCGTGCTGGACCCCGCCCTGGGCTGAAGCCCCGCCTCCCACGGCTACAAAAGCGGCCGGCGGAGAGGGGCGGGACTTCCCCGGGAGCCGGAAGTCCCGTCTCACGGTTGCCCTGGCAGCGCGCGAGGCTGGTGAGTCGGCAGCCCTGTGGCAGCCGGCGGGCTGGTTTCCATGGTTGCACGATTAGGTAGGGGCTCCGGGCGCTTTGCCCACCCCCGAGCTGGAGGGGACTGGCGGGAAGCGGCGGTTGGCTGCAGGGCGCTCCGCCGGGCGTGGGGTGTAGCCGTGTCGGTGAGCGAGCTCTGCTCGAGGCGGAGAGGAGAAACTCGGGAAGCAATTGTGGCTACTCTAAGGCTACTGGTTTCGAGTCAGGCCGTGCGACCTTAGGCAAGTCGCACATTCTCTCCGTGCAGCTGCCTAGCAGTGTGGATTCAGTATCACCGTGTGTGTAAAGCTCTTTCTAAGAATCGTAAGGTGCTTATTCTTTGTTATATAGCTGTGAATGAGAATCAAGGTGGTTTGTCCCAGCATCAAATGACTGGAGAAGGAATTCCACTGAGGAGATTTAGCACTGGGCGGGAGGGAACACAGTGGAGGAAAGGGAAGGGGTAATTGGCAGAGTGGCACAATCATTTGGAGAAAGGCCATATATATGAAACAATGACTTTGCTATCCTGCTATCTCTCGTTCCTCAAAGCCAGTCCAGTAAGCTGTTTTGTCCCCACCTCCCTGGGGAAAGGAGTCACTCTTTTCCCTCACCCTCTCTTTCCAGGAACCACCAGCTGCTGCATCCCATGGCCAGGGGTGGCGTCCAGGTGGCAGAGCAGCTAGGAACGCAAGGCCTGAACCTGGGGCCAGACACCCTGCTCTCCCGGCCATGGTCAACGACCCTCCAGTACCTGCCTTACTGTGGGCCCAGGAGGTGGGCCAAGTCTTGGCAGGCCGTGCCCGCAGGCTGCTGCTGCAGTTTGGGGTGCTCTTCTGCACCATCCTCCTTTTGCTCTGGGTGTCTGTCTTCCTCTATGGCTCCTTCTACTATTCCTATATGCCGACAGTCAGCCACCTCAGCCCTGTGCATTTCTACTACAGGTGAGAGGGGCCTTCTATCAAAATAGAGGACTCCTATGGGAATTGTAAGGCCCTTGGAGTTCATTCAGTTCAATCCCCTCATTTACAGATAAGGAAAACTGGAGCCAGGTGTGCTTCCAGGGCCTCTCAACTTTCACAGCCCAAGGCTAGATTTGGGTTGCCAGGGCTAGGGTTCTAGTTCTACCTCTGATTACTGAATTCTGGTTAAAAAAAAAAAAAAAAAAAGGAAAAATATCCACTTCTATCATTATGAGGATCAATTCTATTTTGGTTGGATCACCCCTCTCTCAGGGCCAATGTAGAATTTTGAGCCAACTCAACCCTTTAGTGCAGAACCAACCTGGCTTTCAGTAGAGGAGCTATTAGGAAAGCAGCAGTTTGCTTTTTACATTACTGCCTCTCAGTCCCTGAAAGTCGGCTACACAATAGAGATTATGGAAACATAAGATGAGTAGGCGCATAAACTTGCTTCCCAGAGAGTCTTGCGTCTTGACTGGCCCCTTAGGTTCCTTCTCATTTTACAAACCCTGCCAAGTGCCAAATTCTCTCTTTTTTGAGGTGGAGTCTCTCTCTGTTGCCCAGGCTGGAGTGCAGTGGTGCAGTGTCTGCTCACTGCAACCTCCCAGGTTCAAGCAATTCTCGTGCCTCAGCCTCCCAAGTAGCTGGGATTACAGGTGTGTGCCACCACATCTGGCTAATTTTTGTATTTTTAGTAGAGATGGGTTTTTTTTTGTTTTGTTATTGTTTTTGTTTTTGAGATGGAGTCTTGCTCTGTCGCCCAGGCTGGAGTGCAGTGGTGCCATGTCGGCTCACTGCAAGCTCCGCCTCCTGGGCTCACGCCATTCTCCTGCCTCAGCCTCCTGAGTAGCTGGTACTACAGGCACCTGCCACCATACCCAGCTAATTTTTTTTTTTTTTTTTTTTTTTTTTTAGTAGAGATGGGGTTTCACCTTGTTAGCCAGGATGGTCTCAATCTCCTGACCTTGTGATCCACCTGCCTTGGCCTCCCAAAGTGCTGGGGAGATGGGGTTTCACCATGTTGGCTAGGCTGGTCTTGAACTCCTGAATGCAGGTGATCCATCCGCCTTGGCCTCCCAAAGTGCTGGGATTACAGACGTGAGCCACTGTGCCCCACCAAGGTCTCTTCTTCTTCTTCTTTTTTTTTTTTTTCTTTTTGAGACAGAGTCTCGTGCTGTTGCCTGGGCTGGAGTGCAGTGGCGCAATCTCAGCTCACTGCAACCTCTGCCTCCAGATTCAAGCCATTCTCCTGCCTTGCCTCAGCCTCCCAAGTAACTGGGATTACAGGTGCCTGCCACCACACCTGGCTAATTTTTTTTTGTATTTTTAGTAGAGATGGGGTTTCACTATGTTGGCCAGGCTGATCTCGAACTCCTGACCTCGTGATCCACCCCCTTGGCCTCCCAAAGTGCTGGGATTACAAGCATGAGCCACTGCGCCCGGCCTAGTTCTCTTTTCTTAACAGTGGTTGTAGGACCTATCAACAGATGCAGAGAAGGGCGTTATAATCAATGGTTTAAAGTCATTTTTTCCCTTAAGTCCCTGGTCCAGAGCTATAGTTTCTAAAGCAGAGCTTCTTAAACTTTTAGGAAATGGATCTTATGGCCCTTCCTGCCATAAAAACATATATACGGCCGGGCGCGGTGGCTCACACCTGTAATCCCAGCACTTTGGGA
Organism: Homo sapiens; assembly: GCF_000001405.40. Classification (NCBI taxonomy): domain Eukaryota; kingdom Metazoa; phylum Chordata; class Mammalia; order Primates; family Hominidae; genus Homo; species Homo sapiens. The sequence continues at coordinate 62,703,606 of NC_000011.10, read as the reverse complement.
GGCCGAGGCAGGCGGATCACAAGGTCAGGAGATTGAGACTATCCTGGCTAACACCGTGAAACCCTGTCTCTACTAAAAATAAAAAAATTAGCCGGGCGTGGTGGCAGGCGCCTGTTGTCCCAGCTACTTGAGAGGCTGAGGCAGGAGAAATGGCGTGAACCTGGGAAGCGGAGCTTGCAGTGAGCCGAGATCGTGCCACTGCACTCCAGCCTGGGCGACAGAGCAAGACTCCGTCTCAAAAAAAAAAAAAAAAAAAAAACGTATATGCATGCCCAGGCATATGCTGCACCCACACCCCCACATGCAAATTTGCCTACAATTGGAGGGGTTCATGAGCTTCTTAATAACCATCTGTAGATCCTTTTGGAGGCGTTTTCTCAAACTAGGACCCAGACCAGAGCTACCAAATCAGAATCTCTTGGGGTGGGACCCTGGAATTTCCTTTTTTTTTTTTTTGAGATGGAGTTTCACCCTTGTTGCCCAGGCTGGAGTGCAGTGGCGTGATCTTGGCTCACCACAACCTCTGCCTCCCAGGTTCAGGCGATTCTTCTGCCTCAGCGTCCCGAGTAGGTGGGATTACAGGCATGCGCCACCACGCCCCGCTAATTTTGTATTTTTAGTAGAGATGGGGTGTCTCCATGTTGGTCAGGCTGGTCTTAAACTCCTGACCTCAGGTGATCCGCCCTCCTCGGCCTCCAAAAGTGCTGGGATTACAGGCGTGAGCCGCTGCTGCTTGGCCCTGGAATTTACATTTTTATCAAGCTCCTTAAGTCTTTAGAAACACTGAAGTATGCAACTATTTAAGTATCTCTAGATTCCCATCTAAGAACATCTGTTGTAATGAGAGGACATACATTGAAGTCATAGGAAGAGAATGAAATAATCCTGGTATCTTGAATCTCCTGGCCACATTTGTTCTCCATCTTTGTAACAGAGAGAAGGGTGCCTGTTCTGAGAGAAGGGAGGAGGGCAGGAGGGAGCCCTAGGGGGCAAAGAAGGTGTATGGATGGACTAGTAAGACTAACTTAGCAGAGTATCCTCCTCCAATCTCATTTAGGACCGACTGTGATTCCTCCACCACCTCACTCTGCTCCTTCCCTGTTGCCAATGTCTCGCTGACTAAGGGTGGACGTGATCGGGTGAGTATGGGAACTAGAGAGAGGTTTCATTAGAGCTTTGATGACTCAAAATAGGAAGACTTGAGAAAGGCCTAGAGAGAAGGAATTGAGTAATAAGAGACTGGCCGGGCACGGTGGCTCACGCCTGTAATCCCAGTACTTTGGGAGGCTGAGGTGGGCAGATCACCTGAGGTTGGGAGTTCGAGACCAGCCTGACCAACGCGGAGAAACCCCGTCTCTACTAAAAATACAAAATTAGCTGGGCGTGGTGGTGCATGCCTGTAATCCCAGCTACTTGGGAGGCTGAGGCAGGAGAATCACTTGAATCCGGGAGGAGGAGGTTTCGGTGAGCCGAGATCACGCCATTGCACTCCAGCCTGGGCAACAAGAATGAAGCTCTGTCTTAAAAAAAAAAAGGAGACTAAGAGGAAGGCTTTGAAGGAAAAGAAATTAAAATTAATTGTGTGTATTGATGGATCTTTCTGCAGCAGGTGTTAGAAATGTTCTTTCTCAACATAGTCCCTGACTTACGGTAATTCAACTTAAGAATTTTTCAACTTACTGTGGTGCAAAAGCGACATACATTCCTTAGACACTGTACTTCAGGTACCTATACAACCATTCTGTTTTTCACTCTCTTTCTTTTTTTTTTTTTTTTTCCAGACAGTCTCACTCTGTCGCCAGGCTGGATTGCAGTGGCGCGATCTCAGCTCACTGCAACCTCCACCTCCTGGGTTCAAGCGATTCTCCTGCCTCAGCCTCCCGAGTAGCTGGCACTACAGGAGCGCGCCACCACACCCAGCTAATTTTTTTGTATTTTTAGTAGGGATGGGATTTCACCATGTTGGCCAGGATGGTCTGGATCTCTTGACCTTGTGATCTGCCCGCCTCCCAAAGTGCTGGGATTATAGGCGTCAGCCACCACGCCCAGCCTGTTTTTCACGTTCAGTACAGCATTCAATAAATCACATGGGATATTCACTACTTTATTATAAGTATAGGCTTTGTGTTAGATGATTGTAATCAACTATAGGTAGGCTAACATAAGTGTTCTGAGCATGTTTAAGGTAGGCTAGGCTAAGTAAGCTATGATGTTCTTTAGGTTAGGTGTACTAAATGCGTTTTCAGCTTGTGATAGTTTCAACTTAGATGGGTTTATCGGAATGTAACCCCATCATAAACTGAGGACCATCTGTATCAGGTGAAGTATGATCTATTTATCTGCTAGGTAAAGTGAGCAATATCTGCTAGGTGAAGTAAGCAATGTTTTAGACCTAAATGAACAAATGAGCTATTACATTGGAATAAGATGGGCATCTACCCAAGAGTTTTGAAAGCATTTATATAACATTATGAAACTGTTGTCAAATATATGCATCGTGTCATTACAAAGGGTACTGTGCCAGAGGACTGGCCAGATGCCAGTGTGATGTCAACAAACCTGGGAACCCTGAGAAATGCATATGGGGACTGGGCCCTCTATAGTAGGCAAGCTAGAGGAGGCTCTCATAAAGGATACGTTCTTTTTTTTTTTTTGAGACAGAGTCTTGCTCTGTCGCCAAGACTGGAGTGCAGTGGCGCGATCTCACTTCACTGCAACCTCCAACTCCTGGGATCAAGCGATTCTCCCACCTCAGCCTCCTGAGTACCTGGGATTACAGGTGCCCACCACCACACCCGGCTAACTTTTGTATTTTTAGCAGAGACAGGGTTTCACCATGTTGGTCATGCTGGTCTAAAACTCCTGACCTCAGGTGATCCACCCACCTCGGCCTCCAAAAGTGCTGGGATTACATGCGTGAGCAACCACACCCAGCCTGAAGTTTTATTTATTTATTTATTTATTTGAGACGGAGTTTCTTTCCTGTCGCCCAGGCTACAGTGCAATGGCACGATCTTGGCTCGCTGCAACCTCTGCCCCCTGGGTTCAATCGATTCTCCTGCCTCAGCCTCCCAAGTAGCTGGGGTTACAGGCGTATGCCACCATACCTAGCTGATTTTTGTATTTTTAATAGAGACGGGGTTTGATCATGTTGGCCAGGCTGGTCTTAAACTCATGATCTCAGGTGATCTGCCCACCTCAGCCTCTTGAAGTGCTGGGATTACAGACATGAGCCACCATGTCCAGCCTGAAGTTATTTTTCAAAAGTGGTACTTTGGAGGAAACTGATGTAATGATAGAATGTCACACTTTTGAAGGGAGGAGTATAACCTATAGAGTCTGGGGTTCTATTTTATTTTATTTTTCAAGACAAGGTTTTGCCCTGCCACCTAGCCTGGAGTGCAGTGATACGATCACGGCTCGCTGCAGCCTTGACCTCCCAGGTTCAAGTGATCTCCCAAGTAGCTGGGACTACAGGTGTGTGCCACCATGCCCAGCTTTTTTTTTTTTTTTTTTTTTTTTAATTTTTAGTAGAGACAAGATCTTACTATGTTGCCTAGGCTTGTCTCAAACTACTAGGCTCAAGTGGTCCTCCCGACTCAGCCTCCCACAGTGTTAGGATTATAACCGGGTGTGGTGGCTCACGCCTGTAATCTCAGCACTTTGGGAGGCTGAGGAGGCAGGTGGGTCACCTGAGGTCAGGAGTTCGTGACCAGCCTGGCCAACACAGTCGAACCCCGTCTCTACTAAAAATACAAAAATTAGCCAGGTGTGGTGGCACAAACCTATAGTCCCAGCTACTTTGGAGGCTGAGGCACAAGAATTGCTTGAACCCGGGAGGTGGAGGTTGCAATGAGCCGAGACTGCTCCATTGCACTCCAGCCTGAGTGACAGAGCGAGACTCAGTCTCAAAAAAAAAAAAAAAAAAAAACCAGATAGGATTTTGCTATGTTGCCCAGGCTGGTCTCAAACTCCTGGGCTCAGGCAGTCCTCCCACCTGGTCCTTCCAAACTGCTGGGATTACAGGTATGAGCCACCATGCCTGGCCTAGAATCTTCTATAAAGACATTTATTCAGTTTGCTTCTATGGTTAAAAAATAATAAATGACTTGACTGGGCACAGTGGCTCACGCCTGTAATCCCAGCAATTTGGGAGGCCGAGGCAGGCGGATCACATGGTCAGGAGTTTGAGATCATCCTGACCAACATGGTGAAACCCCGTCTCTACTAAAAATACAAAAATTAGCCAGGTGTGGTGGCGCAGGCCTGTAGTCCCAGCTACTTGGGAGGCTGAGGCAGGAGAAAGGTGTGAACCTGGGAGGCGGAGCTTGCAGTGAGCCGAGATCGCGCCACTGCACTCCAGCCTGGGCTACAGAGCAAGACTCCATCTCAGAAAAAATTAGGGGCCAAGCGTGGTGGCTCACGCCTGTAATCCCAATACTTTGGGAGGCCGAGGCGGGCGGATCATGAGGTCAAGAGATCGAGACCATCCTGGCCAACTGGTGAAACCCCGTCTCTACTAAAAATACAAAAATTAGCTGGGCGTGGTGGTGTGCACCTGTAATCCCAGCTACTCTGGAGGCTGAGGCAGGAGAATCACTTGAACCCAGGAGGCGGAGGTTGCAGTGAGCTGAGATCGTGCCACTGCACTCCAGCCTGGCGACAGAGCAAGACTCCATCTCAAAATAAATAAATAAATAATAATAATAAATGACTTTATTGAGAAGAAATGAGAAAGCCACAGAACCTGGGATGGTGCATACAGTTTTGTGGCCCATTGCAGAGATCATAATGGGAAGGCAGAGAGCCAAGGGAGGGAGCCTCAAACGATCAGGTGTGAGGCTGTCACATGAGGGAGGGAGGAATAAAAGGAAGATGAGAGCAAATTCAGCCCATGTCCCTGATAATTAGAAGAGGTTGAACATTTTGTTTGTTGACAATGAACATTTTTAAATGAATTAATGAATGAAATAATCTGTCCACTATGTGTAACGGCTTGCTATAAGTAGATGTGGTCGCTGCTCTCAATGAGCTCACAGCGTTGATGGAAAACTATACATTGCATATGTTTGCATACATTTAAGTAGTAAACTGTAAAATGCGGATTCTGGCCAGGCATAGTGGCTCATGCCTGTAATCCCAGCACTTTGGGAGGCCGAGGCGGGTGGATCACCTGAGGTCAGGGTTCAAGACCAGCCTGACCAATATGGTGAAACCCTGTCTCTACTCAAAATGCAAAAATTAGCCAGGCGTGGTGGTGTGTGCCTGTAGTCCCAGCTACTTGGGAGGCTGAGACAGGAGAATCGCTTGAACCCAGGAGGCAGAGGTCACAGTGAGCCGACATCATGCCACTGTACTCCAGCCTGGGCGACAGAGTAAGACTCCATCTCAAAAAGAAGAGGCCGGGCACGGTGGCTCACGCCTGTAATCCCAGCACTTTGGGAGGCCGAGGCGGGTGGATCACGGGGTCAGGAGATGGAGACCATCCTGGCTAAAACGGTGAAACCCTGTCTCTACTAAAAATACAAAAAATTAGGTGGGCGTGGTGGCGGGCGCCTGTAGTCCTAGCTACTCGGGAGACTGAGGCAGGAGAATGGCGTGAACCCGGGAGGCAGAGCTTACAGTGAGCCGAGATTGCGCCACTGCACTCCAGCCTGGGCGACAGAGCGAGACTCCGTCTCAAAAAAAAAAAAAAAAGGATGTGGATTCTGCATTCCAGAAGCATTCGTGAAGAATTAGATCAGTGTTGTCTGGGATAGTCTAAGACCATGGAGATGGTGATGTTCAAAGCGGATCCTTTTTTTTTTTTTTTTGATACAGAGTCTCTCTCTGTTGCCCAGGCTGGAGTGCACTGGTGTGATCTTGCTTCACTGCAACCTCTGCCTCCTGGCTTCAAGTGATTCTCTTGCCTCAGCCTCCTGAGTAGCTGAGATTACAGGCGCATGCCACCATGTCCAGCTAATTTTTGTATTTTTTTTTTTTTAGTAGAGACGGGGTTTCACCACGTTGACCAGGCTGGTCTGGAACTCCTGTCCTGGTGATCTACCTGCCTTGGCCTCCCAAAGTGCTGGGATTACAGGCATGAGCCACTGTGCCGGGCCCAAAGCGGATCTTTTAAGGAAGGGTGAATATTACATGGGAATGTTAGAGAAGGGGGAGAATCTGCCCATCAAGCAGGCAATTGTGGACAAAGGCATGGAATTTTTTTTTTTTTTTTTTTTTGAGACGGAGTTGCCCAGGCTGGAGTGCAGTGACATGATCTCGGCTCACTGCAAGCTCCGCCTCCCGGGTTCACGCCATTCTCCTGCCTCAGCCTCCCAAGTAGCTGGGACTACAGGCGCCCACCACCATGCCCGGCTAATTTTTTTGTATTTTCAGTAGAGACAGGGTTTCACCGTGTTAGCCAGGATGGTCTCGATCTCCTGACCTCGTCTTCTGCCCGCCTTGGCCTCCCAAAGTGCTGGGATTACAGGCATGAGCCACCGCGCCCGGCCGGCATGGATTTATTCACAAGGTTTTAGTATTAAATTCTGTGGATCCCTTTGGAGGAGATTAATTTTTTTTTTTTTGAATTGGGGTCTCATTCTGTCACCCCGGTTGGAGTGCAGTGGCCCAATCATAGCTCATTGTAGCCTCAAACTCCTGGGCTCAAGGGATCCTCCTGCCTCAGTCTCCTCAGCAGCTGGGACTGCAGGCATGCACCACCACACCTGGCTAAGAGAACTACCTATTTTAATGTTTCAAAGAATTTGGGCCAAGGGCAGTGGCTCACACCTATAATCCCAGCACTTTGGGAGGCCAAGGCAGGATTGCTTGAGTCCAGCAGTTCAAGACCAGCTTGGGCAGCATAATGAGACCCCGTCTCTACAAAAAAATAAAAAATTAGCTGGGTGTGGTGGCACATGCCTGTAGTTCCAGCTACTCAGGAGGCTGAGACAGGAAGATCAACTGAGCCCAGGAGGTTGAGGCTGCCAGTGAGCTGTGATCACACCACTGCACTCCAGCCTTTGTGACAAGAGCGAGATCCTGTCTCAAAAAAGAAAAGAATTAATAGACTGGGGGAGTGGTTGAGGGGAAGAATTCATAGGCTGAGCAACAAAGCAAGACCCCTGTCTCTCCAAAAAAAAAAAAAAATTTTTAGTTGCATGTGGTTGCATGTGCCTATAGTCCGTATGGTCCCAGGTACTTAGGAGGCAGAGGCAGGAGGATAGATTGAGCCCAGAAGTTCCAGGCACAGTGAGCCATGATCATGCCACTGCCTTCCAGCCTGTGACAGAGCAAGACCTTGTCTTCACACACACACACACACACACACACACACACACACAAAAAGTTTATGAAGCAACTGGCTTAATCATCTGGTCTCTACAGGGGGGTAGGAATCTCATGGAATCCATTTTCTTCAACAGATAGTTTTTTGTTTGTTTGTTTGTTTTGAGACAGAATCTTGCTCTGTCACCCAGGCTGGAGTACAGTGGCACGATCTCAGCTCACTGCAACCTCCGCCTCTCGGGTTCAAGCAGCTCTCTGCCTCAGCCTCCGAGTAGCTGGGATTACAGGTGCCTGCTACCACGCCCGGCTAATTTTTGTATTTTTAGTAGAGACAGAGTTTCACCATCTTGGCCAGGCTGGTCTTGAACTCCTGACCTTGTGATACACTCGTCTCAGCCTCCCAAAGTGCTGGGATTACAGGCATGAGCCAACCGCGCCCGGCCAACAGATAGTTCTGACTGGCAATAAGAAGGTACAAAAAAAGGCCCCTATCAGTGGTGTCAACCATTGCCTTAGTGATAAACACTGAAAGCACCCCCAAGGCTGAACCCATGTTTTGGAGGTAGTTCACTATGGGCTAGGGAAGTATTTTCCAAATTTTTTTTTTTTTTTTTTTTTTTTTTGAGACAGAGTTTTGCTCTTGTCGCCCAGGCTGCAGTGCAATGGCGCGCTCTCGGCTCACTGCAATCTCCGCCTCCAGGGTTCAAGCGATTCTCCTGCCTCAGCCTCCTGAGTGGCTGAGATTACAGGCGCCTGCCACCACGTCCATCTAATTTTTGTATTTTTAATAGAGACGGGGGGTTTCACCATGTTGGCCAGGCTGGTCTCGAACTCCTGACCTCAGGTGATCCACCTGCCTTGGCCTCCCAAAGTGCTGGGATTACAGGCATGACTCACTGCACCTGGCTAACCTTTTTTTTTTTTTTTAACCCATTACCTCTAATTAAAAACAGAAGCTTTACCCTCACTCCTGTAATTTTTATATACTACTGTGTGAGGGCCTTGTTGCCAGATATGAATCAATAAAGGGGCTAGAAGAATATAGAAATAGGAAAAACTAGGGCATGTTTGGTGGCAAATCTTTAACCTCTTGAGGGTGATCCCTGTGAAGAAGCCTTCCTACTCTGAGTCTTGGGGCGCTACCAACAGAACCAAGATAAGGGAGCTAGAATGGCAGAAAGATGATCTGGAGCGAGGATGACTGTGCCAGAGCTGGCTGGGGAGACTGAGCACTGTCAGTGCTTGATTAATAATGTAAGAGAGGACAGGCTGGGCCCTGGGGACAGCCTCACCGGCCCATAGGCCAGAGTCACAGATGGCCCAGTTGGCAACATGATGGTTCACTTTTGGAAAAGAAACGTGACACAGCCTTTCTGGGAACAGGGTAGCCAGTCTGATTCAGGAGAGCCAACAGGATACCCAAGAACTGGACGTGAGAGGCTCTAGCCACCAGAAGGGGGCAGCACCTTCTTGGGATGACAGATTGAAAGGCCCGTTAGGCTACCCAAGAGGGTTGTGGCTGAGTATTTGGGGGCGTTGCGGGGGCTAAGAGGGAGGTGGAATAGAGACAGTACATTTTCAACAAAAAAATTTTTTTAAAGAAATGGGGGCTACCTTTGGCAGGTGCTGATGTATGGACAGCCGTATCGTGTTACCTTAGAGCTTGAGCTGCCAGAGTCCCCTGTGAATCAAGATTTGGGCATGTTCTTGGTCACCATTTCCTGCTACACCAGAGGTGGCCGAATCATCTCCACTTCTTCGCGTTCGGTAAGTGTTGGTGGCCTGTCTGAGAAGGTGTGGAGGAAGATGGCAGGATCAGAATGGGTAGGGGGCTGGGTGTGGTGGCTCAGGCCTATAATCCCAGCAGTTTGGGAGGCCGAGGCAGGCAGATCGCTTGAGCCCAGGAGTTCAAGACTGGCCTGGGCAACATGGCGAAACCCATCTCTACAAAAAAAGTTTAAAAATTAGCTGGGCATGGTGGCTCACGGCTGTAGTCCCAGCTACTCTAGAGGCTGAGGTGGGAGGATCGCTTAAACCTGGGAGGTTGAGTCTGCAGTGAGCCAAGATTGCACCACTATTCTCCCTCCTGGGCAACAGAGCAAGACCGTCTCAAAAAAAAAAAAAAAAAAAAAAAAAAAAGAATGTCTGGGTAGGGATTCCTCAGGAGAAAACACCCTTGGCTTTGAGGTCACAGACACATCAGGATAAAGAAGGGAATCAAGGCCGGGCGCAGTGGCTCATGCCTGTAATCCCAACACTCTGGGAGGCCGAGGCGGGTAGATCACCTGAGGTCCAGAGTTCGAGACCAGCCTGACCAACATGGAGAAATCCCGTCTCTACTAAAAATACAAAATTAGCTGGGCATGGTGGTGCATGCTTGTAATCCCAGCTACTCAGGAAGCTGAGGCAGGAGAATTGCTTGAACCCGGGAGGCAGAGGTTGTGGTGAGCCAAGATCGCGCCACTGCATTCCAGCCTGGGCAACAAGAGCAAAACTTTGTCTTAAAAAAAAAAAGAGAAAGGAATCAGCTTACAAAACCAGAAACCTTTGCCAAACACCCCAGGTATCTCAGGAGCATGCCCAGCTTTGGGATTAAGTGTGAAGAGTGGAGCTGCTCTCAGAAAACAGGCTTTAGAGCCAGACAGACATGGGCTTGTGTCCTCATTCAGAAACAAGCTAGCTGTGGGTCACCTGACTTAACTTCTTGGGTATAAAGTATTATAAAATGGGTATAATAGTAACTGCCTCATAGCAAGACTAGTTTGGATTCAATGGGGAAATGTAAAATTCCCATTAGCACATAGTGGCTGTTTAATGTTTTTTTGTTTTTGAGACAGAGATCTTGCTCTGTCGCCCAGGCTGGAGTGCAGTGGCGTGATCTCGGCTCACGGCAACCTTCACCTCCTGGGTTCAAGCGATTCTCCTGCCTCAGCCTCTCAAGTAGCTGGGACTACAGGTGCTCACCACTACACCTGGCTAATTTTTGTATTTTTAGTGGAGGTGGGGTTTCACCATGTTGACCAGGCTGGTCTCGAACTCCTGATCTCAAATGATTCAACCACCTCAGCCTCCCAAAGTGCTGCAAGTACAGGTGTGAGCCACCGCACCTGGCCTAATAAATGTTAAGACTCCATTCTTCCATTAATTAACAACACAACCTCATCATGAAGCAAATTCCTGATGTCTACATGATGGGGGGAAAGCTTCAGATGGTGCGCTGGGACTTAGATCCCATACTGGATTACAGAACTACTTGGTGGGAAAGGCAGATCAGAGACAGTGCTGGGCTTAATCTAGGAAGGTTTCTTGGAAGGAGGGGCCTTTGCTCTATAATAGAGTGTGGTTGAGTAGGGAGAGAGGTACTCAAGCAATTGGAATGGTTGGATGAGACTGAGGGGTAGGAAGTGAAGGTGAGGCAGCCAGGGACCTGAGGAAGAAGCCGCCTTCATAGACTACTCAGGGGTGGTTGAGGGGTAGGTAGGGTCATGGGGATCTGGCATGCACCTGTCCCCAGCCTCTGCTTCCCACCCCCGGCAGGTGATGCTGCATTACCGCTCAGACCTGCTCCAGATGCTGGACACACTGGTCTTCTCTAGCCTCCTGCTATTTGGCTTTGCAGAGCAGAAGCAGCTGCTGGAGGTGGAACTCTACGCAGACTATAGAGAGAACTCGGTGAGTGAGGTGAACGAGCTTTATGACTAGGAGATAGCCCCTCCCATTAGCCCAGGATTCTACCTGAGAAGCCTCCAGGCTCAGGAGACATCACAACTGAGAGACTGGAAGTGGGGCTCAGATGAGGCGGGTAAGAGTGCTAGCGGCAGGACCCTGGCCTGACGCCACCCTCACCCCACCCCCTCACAGTACGTGCCGACCACTGGAGCGATCATTGAGATCCACAGCAAGCGCATCCAGCTGTATGGAGCCTACCTCCGCATCCACGCGCACTTCACTGGGCTCAGGTGAGGGGCCAACTGGAGTGAACCTTGGGCAACTCTTCACGGGGGCTAACCTTCCACCAAGAGGGTCCCAAGCAGAGGTAATGGGTTTACAGAGCAGAGCTGACTTGGGTTTCACATAGGCCAGAGGGTCTCAAAGCTGCCACATATTGGCCTATCAGCTCCCTGGGGAACTTTTATCTAGGCATCAGAATTTTTAATTTTTGTTTTTTGTCCCCCCAACCCTCCATCATCCCTGTTCATCTTCCCTCCGCCCTGCCATCCACCCAGAAATCCAGGGCTAAGGGCTCCACCCAAGTGAGCAGAATTTTTTTTTTTTTTTTTTTTAAGAGGGGGTCTTGCTCTGTTGCCTAGGCTGGAGTGCAGTGGCGCGACCTCGGCTCACTGCAAGCTCTGCCTCCCGGGTTCACACCATTCTCCTGCCTCAGCTTCCTGAGTAGCTGGGACTACAGGCGCCTGCGACCACACCTGGCTAATTTTTTTTGTATTTTTGGTAGAGATGGGGTTTCACCGTGTTAGCCAGGATGGTCTCAATCTCCTGACCTTGTGATCCGTCCACCTTGGCCTCCCAAAGTGCTAGGATTACAGGCGTGAGCCACCGCGTCCGGCCTGTGAGCAGAATGTTTTAAAGCACCCCGAGGAAGGCTGATGGGCTGACAGAATTAAGAGCTACTCTTTTGAACCGTTGGCTTAGCAAGAGTTGGGGTGACTCTTGAGAGACAGACAACATTGAGGCTGTGGCATATGGCCCTCCCACAGGAGACTTCCCAAGGTCCTTGGCCTTTGTTAGAACCTGGTATAGCAGGTTCTGGAAACTGTGTGGGTGGGAGGCAGGGGTGACAGAGCCAGCTGTAACCAAACTCACTTGAATTGCCCTAGAAATTATTTCTGGGACATGAGAAGGCTGGTGCTCTCTGGTAACTGCTACTACCTTCTTGTCCCTACTTCCTGCCTCAGATACCTGCTATACAACTTCCCGATGACCTGCGCCTTCATAGGTGTTGCCAGCAACTTCACCTTCCTCAGCGTCATCGTGCTCTTCAGCTACATGCAGTGGGTGTGGGGGGGCATCTGGCCCCGACACCGCTTCTCTTTGCAGGTCGAAAGGGGCAAGGACCCCCTTTTGTCCCTTTGATCTTTGTGGGTGGTCAGGGGTATGTTGGGGATTAAGGCATGAGGGTCCTGATTGTTAGTGAGGGAAGTCAGTCCTGGCTGCTCAGTAGTTTTTCCTCCACAGGTTAACATCCGAAAAAGAGACAATTCCCGGAAGGAAGTCCAACGAAGGATCTCTGCTCATCAGCCAGGTAAAGGTGTTGGCTGGGGAGCTGTTGAGGTGGGCTAGGTTGAGCTGGGCTGGGCCAGAAGGAGTCCCTGCTTCATCCAGTATGAGGCTTAGGGTATCACCGACTGAGACAAGGGTCAAAGGAAAGGCGAGGAAGGTGAGGTTGGCACTGCCGTCCAGGCACAGCCACCCTAACCCTAACCTGTCCTCTCCCTCTTTGGAGGTGCAGGGCCTGAAGGCCAGGAGGAGTCAACTCCGCAATCAGATGTTACAGAGGATGGTGAGAGCCCTGAAGATCCCTCAGGGACAGGTATGGCGCAGCCACCACACTCTCTCCTTCCTGACTCCTTGGCTTTCTCCTTCAGTGTCTGGGTCTGACCCCTGCATTCCCCTTTTGGCTGCAGAGGGTCAGCTGTCCGAGGAGGAGAAACCAGATCAGCAGCCCCTGAGCGGAGAAGAGGAGCTAGAGCCTGAGGCCAGTGATGGTGAGGGGCATCCTGCAGCGTGACCTGGGTGGGGCCCCCGGTTAATCTAATATCCCATTTGAGATTTTGTTTTTCCCTTTCCTGGCCCAGGTTCAGGCTCCTGGGAAGATGCAGCTTTGCTGACGGAGGCCAACCTGCCTGCTCCTGCTCCTGCTTCTGCTTCTGCCCCTGTCCTAGAGACTCTGGGCAGCTCTGAACCTGCTGGGGGTGCTCTCCGACAGCGCCCCACCTGCTCTAGTTCCTGAAGAAAAGGGGCAGACTCCTCACATTCCAGCACTTTCCCACCTGACTCCTCTCCCCTCGTTTTTCCTTCAATAAACTATTTTGTGTCAGCTTCTTCCTTGACTCTGAAATGGGTTCAGGGCCATTTGAACACCCTGTGTCCCCCATGCATCTCTCACTTTCCGCCATTAGAGGGGAGGTCTTCTTGTCCAGGGGAAGGCCTCCAGACCTGGGCTATTTTAAGCACAGATGTTTCCATTCATAAGCCTAGGAAGTCCAAGGAGGGAGAAGCTATCCTGGCCCCTAGCAAGCTTTCCCACTCCCTGCATGTGACTTTCATCTCCCCCAGAGGAGGGGGATGGTGTAGGGCAGGTCTGCAGAGCTGGGAGACATCATTCTGGCCCCCTCTACACCCCTCCCTTCCTCCCTTCCTCCCTTTCTCTGTCCATTGGGAGGCAGAAGACAGGAAATGACTGCCATGGATGTGGTAGGATTTTTACCAAAACAGCATTTTGCGGCTCAGGCCCGTGCTGTTCGCAGCTGTTTTCCTCTAATATCAGCCAGGTGGCCGCCTTCTATGTTCCCCTCCCCATCCCGTTGTATGACTTCAGCCTTCGGATTCTAAGCTCCTGGCTGCTTTCCACATTCCACTCCCCTTCCAGAACCCAGGCATCCTGGGCTCCAGCTGAAACCATTGCATGTGGCTTTCCCCATCCCTGGCCCCGTGACTCAGTCCCTCTGAAGGGAGCAGCCCTCTTTTTTGGCAATCACCAGGGAGGTGGGGGGAGGAGGAGGGGAGCTAGGTGGTGACATCACAGTCGAAGGTTATAAAAGCTTCCAGCCAAACGGCATTGAAGTTGAAGATACAACCTGACAGCACAGCCTGAGATCTTGGGGATCCCTCAGCCTAACACCCACAGACGTCAGCTGGTGGATTCCCGCTGCATCAAGGCCTACCCACTGGTGAGGAGCTGCTATGGGCCAGAGAGGAGGAGGGAGGCATGCAGGGGCCAGGACTCCTTGGACAGGATTTGCACAGATAGCAGGTGGGGAGGGAGGATTCCAGCGTCCCTATTTTTTTCTCTTGTTTTCAAAAAATACAGCTGTGCTTACAATATTTCTCCATTCTGTTCTCTTTTCTCAACTCTGTCTCCTTTCTGGGTTTTTGCCTGTGTCACTGACGGATACATGTTTTTGTTGAGTTGAGGTCTCACTCTTGTCACCCAGGCTGGAGTGTTGTGGGGCGATCATGGTTCACTGCAGCCTTGAACTCCTGGGCTCAAGTGATCCTCCTGAGTAGCAGGGACCACAGGCATGTGCAGTATATTTTTAATGTTTTTTAACTTTTTAATAATTTTTAAATACTTTTTAATTTTTGTAGAGATGGGGTCTCTCTGTGTTGCCCCAGCTGGTTTGGAATCCTGGCCTCAAGCAATCCTCTTGCCTTGACTTCCCCAAAGTGTTGGGATTATAGGCATCAGCCTAGGGGCCCGGCTTTGTTACTTGTTTTGCTTAGATCTTTTCTCTGGGTGGCAGCTAGTAAATATCCTACCGTTCTTCCCTGGGCTAAGTAAATCATGTCCTCCTCTTCTCTCCCTCAGCACTTTGTTTATTCATTAACTGTTTCTAATACTTAACACATGCTGATCATGCATCTGTCTCATGTGTCAGATCATGTTTTATTTTTTGTCTGAAACCAAGCACACAGCCTGGACTCAGAAGTTGGTTGACAAATGAGTGTGTCTGCCTCATTCCAACTTCTTTCCTCTTCTGATCCCCAGTTGCATTTTCCTGTCTCCAGAGATTGTGTCCAGGCAGAGGGCATGGCAGGCTTTTGGGCTGAACAGGCTTTATCTATCCACCCCTTCCCTTCCAGTCTCCATGCTGGGCTCTCCCTGCCTTCTGTGGCTCCTGGCCGTGACCTTCTTGGTTCCCAGAGCTCAGCCCTTGGCCCCTCAAGACTTTGAAGAAGAGGAGGCAGATGAGACTGAGACGGCGTGGCCGCCTTTGCCGGCTGTCCCCTGCGACTACGACCACTGCCGACACCTGCAGGTGCCCTGCAAGGAGCTACAGAGGGTCGGGCCGGCGGCCTGCCTGTGCCCAGGACTCTCCAGCCCCGCCCAGCCGCCCGACCCGCCGCGCATGGGAGAAGTGCGCATTGCGGCCGAAGAGGGCCGCGCAGTGGTCCACTGGTGTGCCCCCTTCTCCCCGGTCCTCCACTACTGGCTGCTGCTTTGGGACGGCAGCGAGGCTGCGCAGAAGGGGCCCCCGCTGAACGCTACGGTCCGCAGAGCCGAACTGAAGGGGCTGAAGCCAGGGGGCATTTATGTCGTTTGCGTAGTGGCCGCTAACGAGGCCGGGGCAAGCCGCGTGCCCCAGGCTGGAGGAGAGGGCCTCGAGGGGGCCGACATCCCTGCCTTCGGGCCTTGCAGCCGCCTTGCGGTGCCGCCCAACCCCCGCACTCTGGTCCACGCGGCCGTCGGGGTGGGCACGGCCCTGGCCCTGCTAAGCTGTGCCGCCCTGGTGTGGCACTTCTGCCTGCGCGATCGCTGGGGCTGCCCGCGCCGAGCCGCCGCCCGAGCCGCAGGGGCGCTCTGAAAGGGGCCTGGGGGCATCTCGGGCACAGACAGCCCCACCTGGGGCGCTCAGCCTGGCCCCCGGGAAAGAGGAAAACCCGCTGCCTCCAGGGAGGGCTGGACGGCGAGCTGGGAGCCAGCCCCAGGCTCCAGGGCCACGGCGGAGTCATGGTTCTCAGGACTGAGCGCTTGTTTAGGTCCGGTACTTGGCGCTTTGTTTCCTGGCTGAGGTCTGGGAAGGAATAGAAAGGGGCCCCCAATTTTTTTTTAAGCGGCCAGATAATAAATAATGTAACCTTTGCGGTTTAAGAGGATAAAATGGAGGATATTATTATGTGGGTATTTATATGACCTTTGTAACCATTTAAAAATGTAAAAACGACCTGACTTAGTAATGCGAACCTATAGTAGCAGCTACTCCAGAGGCTGAAATGGGAGGATCTCTTGAGCCCAGGAGTTGGAGTCCAGTCCAGCCAGGGCAACACAGCCAGACGCCCTTGTTTTTTATTTTGTTTTGTTTTGGTTTTTTGTTTTTTGAGGAGTTTCCCTCTGTCACACAAGCTGGAGGGCAATGGCGCCATCTCAGCTCACTGCAACGTCCACCTCCTGGGTTCAAGCGATTCTCCTGCCTCAGCATCCTAATTAGTTGGGATTACAGGCGCCCACCACCATGCCCGGCTAATTTTTGTGTTTTTTTAGTAGAGACGGGGTTTCACCATGTTGTCAGGCTGGTCTCAAACTCCTGACCTCAGGTACTCCACCCGCCTTGGTCTCTCAAAGTGCTGGGATTACAGGCATAAGCCACTGTGCCCAGGCAGACCCCCTTCTTTAAAGATGTAAAACCCGGCCGGGCGCGGTGGCTCACGCCTGTAATCCCAGCACTTTGGGAGGCTGAGGCGGGCAGATCACGAAGTCAGGAGATCGAGACCATCCTGGCTAACACGGTGAAACCCCGTCTCTACTAAAAATACAAAAATTAGCCGGGCATGGTGGTGGGTACCTGTAGTCCCAGCTACTCCGGAGGCTGAGGCAGGAGAATGGCGTGAACCCGGGAGGCGGATCTTGCAGTGAGCGGAGATTGCACCACTGCACTCCAGCCTGGGTGACAGAGCAAGACTCCCTCTCAAAAGAAAAAGAAAAAAGATGTAAAAACCATTCTTAGTTTGTGGGCCTTACAAATCAGGCCACTGGCCCATTGCTTGTAGTTAGTTGATCCATGTCATGCACCCTAAAAATGGCTCTGTCACTGTGAGTGGCTTCAGTAGGATTTTGAGAATAAGTTTATATTCTTGCTAGGTAAAACAAAACAAAAACGACAGTAATACCAAGGAATCTCCCCCCCCTTTTACCCTCCATTTGTGTTTATTGCATATCCACTATAACAACATTAAAGGACCTTTAAAAGGAAGTAATTTTTATTGTTTATGATTCCTTTCAAGTCACTGTCCACACACCCATTTTTCAGAGTAATATACATACTTTTGATTTTTTTTTTGTTTTTGAGATGGAGTCTCACTCTGTTGCCCAGGCTAGAGTGCAGTGGCACGATCTCAGCTCACTGCAATCTCCGCCTCCTGGGTTCAACTGATTTTCCTGCCTCAGCTTCCCAAGTAGCTGGGACTACAGGCGTGCACCACCACGCCCAGCTGATTTTGTATTTTTTTAGTAGAGATGGGGTTTCACCATGTTGGCCAGGATGGTCTCGATCTCTTGACCTCATGATCCACCCGCCTCGGCCTCCCAAAGTGTTGGGATTACAGGCCTGAGCCACCGCCCCCGGCCTTGAATTTTTTTTAATTAAACGAATGTAGAAAAGTCTGTTTTGTGTTACTACACAGTATAATCCTTACCTGTGTGGATATTATAACTTTTTAAATAATATATATGTATATATTTTATAGAGATGGGGGGGTCTCACTATTTTGCTCAGGCTAGACTTGAACTCCTGGGCTCAAATGATTCACCCCCCTTGGCCTCCCAAAGTGCTGGGATTACAGGCCATTCTAACTTTTTTTAATTATAAAAGTAACACATGGGCCAGGTGTGGTGGCTCACGCCTGTAATCCCAGCACTTTGGAAGGCTGAGGTGGGCAGATCATGAGGTCAGGAGATCGAGACCATCCTGGCTAACACGGTGAAACCCCGTCTCTACTAAAAATACAAAAAATCAGCTGGGCTTGGTGGCATGTGCCTGTAATCCCAGCTACTCAGGAGGCTGAGGCAGGAGAATCTTTTGAACCTGGGAGGCGGATGCTGCAGTGAGCTGAGATCACGCCACTGTATGCCAGCCTGGGCGGCGTAGCGAGACTCCATCTCAAAAAAAAAAAAAAAAGTAACACATAAGGCGGGCGCAGTGGCACACACCTGTAATCCCAGCACTTTGGGAGGCCGAGGAGGAGGCTGAGGAGGGCGGATCACCTGATGTCAGTTCAAGACCAGCCTGGCAAACAAGGCGAAACCCTGCCTCTACTAAAAATACAAAAATTAGCTGGGCATGGTGGCAGGCACCTGTAATCCCAGCTACTGGGAAGGCTCAGGCAGGAGAATCACTTGAACCAGGGAGGTGGAGGTTACAGTGAGCCAAGATCATGCCACAGCACTCCAGCCTGGAAGACAGAGCAAGACTCCGTCTCAAAAACAGTAAATAAATAAATAAAAATTTAAGCCGGGCGCGATGGCTCACACCTGTAATCCTAGCACTTTGGGAGGCCGAGGCGGGCGGATCTCGAGGTCAGGAGATTGAGGCCATCCTGGCTAACATGGTGAAACCCCGTCTCTACTAAAAATACAAAAAAAATTAGCCAGGCATGGTAGCGGGTGCCTGTAGTCCCAGCTACTGGGGAGGCTGAGGCAGGAGAATGGCGTGAACCCAGGAGGCGGAGCTTGCAGTGAGCCGAGATTGCGCCATTGCACTCCAGCCTGGGCTAGAGCAAGACTCCGTCTCAAAAAAAAAAAAAAATTTTTTTAAAGATAAAAGTAACACATACAAATTTCAATTAATACTGAATAATATGGCCCAGTGCAGTGGCTTATGCCTGTACCCAACACTTTGGGAGGCTAAGACAAGAGGCTCGCTTGAGACCAGGGGTTCAAAACCAGTTTGGGCAAAATATCAAAACCTTAACTGTACAAAAAATTTAAAAATCAGGACGGGGGCAGTGGCTCATGCCTGTAATCCCAGGACTTTGGGAGGCCAAGGCTGGTGGATCACCTGAGGTTGGGAGTTCAAGACAAGCCTGACCAGCATGGAGAAACCCTGTCTCTACTAAAAATACAAAATTAGCTGGGCATGGTGGTGCACGCCTGTAATCCCAGCTACTCGGGAGGCTGAGGCAGGAGAATCGCTTGAACCCAGAAGGCGGGGCTGGGCGCAGTGGCTCATGTCTGTAATCCCAGCGCTTTGGGAGGCCGAGGCGGCTGGATCACGAGGTCAGGAGACCGAGACCACGGTGAAACCCCGTCTCTACTAAAAATACAAAAAAAATTAGCCGGGTGAGGTGGTGGGCACCTGTAGTCCCAGCTACTCGGGAGGCTGAAGCAGGAGAATGGCATGAACCCGGGAGTCGGAGCTTGCAGTGAGTGGAGATCATGCCACTGCACTCCAACCTGGGCGACAGAGTGAGACTCCATCTCAAAAAAAAAGAAAAAGAAAAAGAAAAAAGAAAAGAAGAAAAGAACTCAGAAGGTGGAAGTTTCAGTGAGCCCAGATCACGCCATTGCAGTCCAGCCTGGGCAACAAGTGTGAAACTGCGTCTCAAAAAAAAAAAAAAAAAAAAAAGAAGGCCAGGCATGGTGGCTCATGCCTAAAACCCAGCACTTTGGGAGGCTGAAGCAGCTGGATCACCTGAGGTCAGGAGTTTGAGACCAGCCTGACCAACAAGATGAAACCCCATCTCTACTAAAATACAAAAATTAGCTGGGTGTGGTGGCAGGCACCTGTAGTCCCAGCTACTTGGGAGGCTGACAAAGGAGAGTTGCTTGAACCCAAGAGGTGGAGGTTGCAGTGAGCTGACACCACGCCACTGCACTCCAGCCTGGGCTACGGAGTGAGACTCCATCTCAAAAAAAAAATTTATTCTATTATAGAACCTCTACAATAAATTTAGAATACTATGTTATCCCCGCTGGGCTTAATGGCTCAACCTGTAATCCCAGGACTTTGGGAGGCCAAGGTGGGCAGATCACTTGAGGTCACGTGTTCAAGACCAGCCTGGCCAACAT
Source organism: Homo sapiens (assembly GCF_000001405.40). Lineage (NCBI taxonomy): Eukaryota > Metazoa > Chordata > Mammalia > Primates > Hominidae > Homo > Homo sapiens. Next base: position 62,683,592 of record NC_000011.10, on the reverse strand, counting down.
GATGAAACCTCATTTCTACTAAAAATACAAAAAATAGCTGGGTGTGGTGGCGGGCGCCTGTAGTCCCAGCTACTCGGGAGGCTGAGGCAGGAGAATCGCTTGAACCAGGGAGGCAGAGGTTGCAGTGAGTTGAGATCGTGCCACTGCACTCCAGCTTGGGTAATGAGTGAGATTCCATCTCTAAAAACAAAAAAAGAATACATATGTTATCCTGAATACACTTGTTATAATACTGCAGTGAATACCCTGTGCCTTTTTTCCTTTTTTTTTTTTTTTTTTTTGAGACGGAGTCCCTGTCTCCCAGGCCGGAGTACAGTGGCGTGATCTCCACTCACTGCAAGCTCCGCCTCCTGGGCTCACACCATTCTCCTGCCTCAGCCTCCTGAGTATCTGGGACTACAGGCGCCTGCCACCACGCCCAATTTTTTTGTATTTTTAGTAGAGACAGGGTTTCACTGTGTTAGCCAGGATGGTCTAGATCTCCTGACCTCGTGATCCGCCCGCCTCAGCCTCCCAAAGTGCTGGGATTATAGGCATGAGCCACCGTGCCCGGCCTTCCTTAGCATTCATTTATTTACAAATAACGAGAGGTCATACTATCTCATTATTATTACTATTTATTTATTTCATTTTTTGAGACGGAGACTCTGTCTCAAAAAATAAATAAATAAAATAAAAAAATAAAGCCCATGCTTGTCACTCTACCGTGGAGAGGCAACATAGCATAGTGGTTTAGAGAACACACACTGCCTTGGGTTGAATCCTAGTTTTGTTATTTACTTTGTGACTTTAGGTAAATTATCTCATCTTGGCTGGGCATGGTGGCTCACACCTGTAATTCCAGCACTCACGCCTGTAATTCCAGCACTCACGCCTGTAATTACAGCACTCACGCCTGTAATTCCAGCACTGGGCATGGTGGCTCACGCCTGTAATTCCAGCACAAGGCAGGGGATGGCTTGAGCTCACAAGTTCGAGACCAGCCTGGGCAACATAGCGGAAACCTACCTCTACTATAATAAAAATACAAAAGTTAGCCAGGTGTGGTACATGCTACTTGGGAGGCTGAGGTGAAAGGATGGCTTGAGCCTGGGAGAAGGAGGTTGCAGTGAGCCAAGATTGTGCCACTGCTCTCCAGCCTGGGCAATAAAGCCAGACCTTGTCTCAGAAAAAAACCCATCTTTCCTTTTTTTTTTTTTTTTTTTTTTTTGAGACGGCCTCTTACTCTGTCACCAGGCTGGAGTGCAATGGCACAATCTTGGCTCACTGCAACCTCCGCCTCCCAGGTTCAAGTGATTCTCCTGCCTCAGCCTCTCAAGTATCTGGGATTACAGGTGTGTGCCACCACGCCTGGCTAATTTTTTGTATTTTTAGTAGAGAAGGGGTTTCACCGTGTTAGCCAGGATGGTCTCGAACTCCTGACCTCATGATCTGCCCGCCTCAGCCTCCCAAAGTGCTAGGATTACAGGCGTGAGCCACCGTGCCTGGCCAAAAAAAAAACATCTTTCTGAGTCTGTTTTTTGTTTTTTTATTTTTTTTTCTTGAGACAGAGTTTCACTCTTGTTGCCCAGGCTGGAGTGTAATGGCACGATCTCGGGTCACTGTAATCTCCGCCTCCTCGGTTCAAGCAATTCTCCTGCCTCAGCCTCCTGAGTAGCTGAGATTACAGGAGCCTGCAACTATGCCCGGCTAATTTTTATGTTTTTTTAAGCAGAGATAGGGTTTCACCATGTTGGCCAGGCTGGACTCGAACTCCTGACCTCAGGTAATCCACCCGCCTTGGCCTCCCAAAGTGCTAGGATTATAGGTGTGAGCCACCATGCCTGGCCTTGAGTCTGTTTTTTTGTGACTAAAAATAGCTTCTACATCATAGGGATTGTTGTGATGATTAAATATGGATTAATCATACAAAATTCTCTAGCAGGCCGGGCACGGTGGCTCACGCCTGTAATCCCAGCACTTTGGGAGGCCGAGGCAGGTGGATCACCTGAGGTAACAAGTTCGAGATTAGCTTGGCCAACATGATGAAACCCCTTCTCTACTAAAAAATACAAAAATTAGCCCGATGTGGTGGCGGGTGCTTGTAATCCCAGCTACTCGGGAGGCTGAGGCATGAGAACAGCTTGAGCTTGGGAGGCAAAGGTTGCAGTGAGCCAAGATCCCACCACTGCACTCTAGCCTGGCAACAAAGTGAGACCCTGTCTCTCTCACACACACACACACACACACACACACACACACACACACACACACAAGTCTCTAGTGCATATATTATCAATATCAGTAACTGTTATTGTCATTATTACTCTACCTTCTAATAAACATTTAAAGTGAGCTTCACTTTCAGGAATCTAACAGCCCGGGTAGTGGTGGAGCACAAAGTAATCAACAGTGACTCACAGCAGTGGGGATAAATGCTTAATGGGTTAAATACTGTAGCTGGAAGGCAGACAGCAGTGGTCAAAGCAGGCTTTTCTTAGAAGGCAAATCCTGAATCCTGAAAAACTCCTGGGAGTTAGTTTACTAAGTGAAGAGACAGGACATCCTAGGCGGAGACTGGTTGGTGCACAGGCCAAGAGGAGGGTGAAGTCTGGTTTGCAATATGCACAGCTTACCCTCAAGTGGTGGGTGATGAAACTGCACAATAACTACCAGCATTTACATACTCTGCCTTGCCAGGCACCAAAGTAGGTGCTATTGTGATCTCCACTTGAGAGGGGGTTCTAACCCCCCTCCCCGCAAAAAAAGCCAAGGTGGGCGCAGAAGGAAGTCAGACCACTAGCATTTAAGTTGTCCCAGATGGCCGAGTATGTAGCTCACGCCTTTAATCTTAGCACTTTGGGAGGGCGAGGCAGGTGGATCACTTGAGCTCAGGGGTTGGAGACCAGCCTGGCCAATATGGCGAAACCCCGTCTCTACAAAAAATAGAAAAATTAGGCCGGGCGCGGTGGCTCACACCTGTAATCCCAGCACTCTGGGAGGCCAAGGTGGGTGGATCATGAGGTCAGGAGTTCAAGACCAGCCTGGTGAAGATGGTGAAACCCCGTCACTACTAAAACTACAAAAATTAGCCAGGCGCGGTGGCAGCCACCTATAATCCCAGCTACTCGGGCAGGAGAATCGCTTAAACCCGGGGCAGGCAGAGGTTGCAGTGAGCTGAGATTGTGCCACTGCACTCCAGCCTGGGTTACAGAGTGAGATTTTGTCTAAAAAAAAAAAAAAAAAAAAAAAAAAAAGGAGAGAGAGAGAGAAAAGAAAAAGAAAAATTAGCCGGGTGTGGTGGCATGTGCCTGTAGTCCCAGCTACTTGGGAGGCTGAAGTGGGAGGATCGCTTGAGCCCAGGAGGCTGAGGTTGCAGTATGTCAAGATTGCACCACTGCACTCCAGCCTGGGCGACAGAGCCAGATCCTGTCTCAAAAACAAAAATAGCTGGGTGTGGTGGCTCACGCCTGTAATCCCAGCACTTTGGGAGGCCGAGGTGGGTGAATCACCTAAGGTCAGGAGTTCGAGAACAGCCTGACCAATATGGAGAAACCTCATCTCTACTAAAAATACAAAAATGGCTAGGCTCGTTGGCTCACGCTTGTAATCCCAGCACTTTGGGAGGCCGAGGCAGGTGGATCATATGAGGTCAGGAGTTCAAGACCAGCCTGACCAACATGATGAAACCCTGTCTCTACTAAATATACAAAAATTAGCCGGGCATGGTGGCGTGGGACTGTAATCCCAGCTACTCAGGAGGCTGTGGCAGGAGAATCGCATGCACCCAGGAGGCGGAGGTTGCAGTGAGCCGAGACCGCGCCACTGCACTCCAGCCTGGGCGACAGAGCGAGACTCCCTCTTAAAAAAAAAAAAAAAAAAAAAAAAAGCTGGGCATGGTGGTGGGCGCCTGTTATCTCAGCTATCCGGGAGGCTGAGGCAGGAGAAATGCTTGACCCGGGAAGCGGAGGCTGCAGTGAGCAGAGATCGCGCCACTGCACTATTGCACTCCAGTCTGGGCAACAAGAGTGAAACTCCATCTCAAAAATAAAAAATAAAAAAAAAAGTAAGTTGTCCTAGATGGTGGAAGTGTCACGGATTTTTAAGCAGGGAGGTGAAGACAGGACTACATGATTGTGTTTTGCAAAAATCCCTTTGGCAGTCAGGCAGAGGATGGCTCAATTCCCTAAGGAGAATGAGTGGGCCAAAGAGCAAGACATTTCTTCTGCTCCTGGCAAACATTGCCAAAGAACTTCCCAAAGCATTGCGCTAAGGGACCATATTCCTTCTAATTTCTAAGGAGGGTGAGGCAGGATGAAGTTCCGGGAACTGGCTTCATTCCGCCCACGGGTTTCAGAGCCGCACCAGCTTTCTTCCCCACAGCAGCCTGGCGCCTTGGCTTGGTGGGTTGCCTCCCTGTTCCCACCCACGGAAAGTCCTGGCAGCAGGGCCAGAAGTTTTATGGTTCTCAGCGGCACCCGTCGACATCCGCCCCCACGTGACCCAAACAGATCCGGCACTTCCGCTTCCCCTCGGCTTTCTTCTCGTCGGTGTTCCCGGCTGCTATAGAGCCGGGTGAGAGAGCGAGCGCCCGTCGGCGGGTGTCGAGGGCGGGTTGCCTCGCGCTGACCCTTCCCGCCCTCCTTCTCGTCACACACCAGGTCCCCGCGGAAGCCGCGGTGTCGGCGCCATGGCGGAGCTGACGGCTCTTGAGAGTCTCATCGAGATGGGCTTCCCCAGGGGACGCGCGTAAGGGAGTTCCCCAACCCCGGCCTGCGGGTGTGGGGGGTCGCGGACCTGTCTCGGCCTTTGCCCCAGCCTGACCGTCACCATGGCTCGTGGGCGCTATTCATGGTGTTTCTGCCCCCAGGGAGAAGGCTCTGGCCCTCACAGGGAACCAGGGCATCGAGGCTGCGATGGACTGGTAAGCGCTCGTCCCGGGTGGCGGAGAATTGGGGGCTGGCGGGAGGGGCAGCCTCAAAGCTAACCTCCCCGCCCACTTTCCCTGCCAGGCTGATGGAGCACGAAGACGACCCCGATGTGGACGAGCCTTTAGAGACTCCCCTTGGACATATCCTGGGACGGGAGCCCACTTCCTCAGAGCAAGGCGGCCTTGAAGGTCCTGACTGAGGGTCCACGGTGTGATTATTCAGGAGGGTCCGAGGAGAATCTGAAGGGATAATAATACCGATTGTTTGTTTGTAGGATCTGGTTCTGCTGCCGGAGAAGGCAAACCCGCTTTGAGTGAAGAGGAAAGACAGGAACAAACTAAGAGGTACAGTAACAACAATCTCACGTGTCTGAGGGTCGTCTTCCATCTCTCCCCAGTACACGTCTGGTCAAAGAACCTTGACCTTTCCACATTTCCTCTTTCTTGGCATTTTCTTTTCCTTTAATCTACTTTGGGATATATGTCGCCTAATTTTGTTTATTGTAAACTTTACACCTTCCCACTCTGTCCATTTCTCTTGAACTGTTTTCCCTCGGCAACACAGGATGTTGGAGCTGGTGGCCCAGAAGCAGCGGGAGCGTGAAGAAAGAGAGGAACGGGAGGCATTGGAACGGGAACGGCAGCGCAGGAGACAAGGGCAAGAGTTGTCAGCAGCACGACAGCGGCTACAGGAAGATGAGATGCGCCGGGCTGCTGAGGAGAGGCGGAGGGAAAAGGCCGAGGAGTTAGCAGCCAGGTCTGGGCAGGGGAAATGATGGATAGCAGATGAGAAAGAAATCAAGATTTGCTTTGTTGATGTCTGACCTAATTTCTTCTTGTCTACATTTCAGACAAAGAGTTAGAGAAAAGATCGAGAGGGACAAAGCAGAGAGAGCCAAGAAGGTAGGTGACTGAGAAGACGCCACGGGTAATGGAGTGGGCAGGTTAGTAAATCTTTTCCAGCTTCAGAGGGAAAGCATGGGCTTATATGATCTGTTTCACCTGAGGATGGGTGAGTACCTGATTGACTGTTTTACTTTGCCCTTTAGTATGGTGGCAGTGTGGGCTCTCAGCCACCCCCAGTGGCACCAGAGCCAGGTCCTGTTCCCTCTTCTCCCAGCCAGGAGCCTCCCACCAAGCGGGAGTATGACCAGTGTCGCATACAGGTACTGATTCTAATTCTTATCTTCCTCTTGGGACCCCTTTGTTCCGTGTTAAGGTGCCCAGCTCAGAGCTTTTTTCAGTTAACGTGCCCTTTGCCAAATCTCTCCCTTCTTTGTAAATGACTTTTGAAATCCTATCTCTACTCTTGGGAAAGGTATCAAATTTCACCTGCCCCAGTTGTATTTAAACCCATACCTCTCTCTTACTCAGCAGTTACCCTTTTACTTGTTCATGTTTTTATTTGGTTTATTATGTAGCTATCTGGTGATGTGGTATTTATCCAGATTCTTTTGTATAATCTTATCCTTGTCTTTCTTAGGTTGTGAGGGAGCTGGGAGTCTCTCATCCGCACTTAGTAAAGCGGAGCCTAAGTGGCTGTTCATTTGGTGCTTTAAATAGTAGTTGTGCTGGTTCAATCTAAGAAGAAGGGGGCCCAGCTTTAGCTCTTTTCCTTACTTGGGCACCTCATTCAGTTTTGATGCCCACAATACTGAGTATCTCCCTTGCCCTTTAGGTCAGGCTGCCAGATGGGACCTCACTGACCCAGACGTTCCGGGCCCGGGAACAGCTGGCAGCTGTGAGGCTCTATGTGGAGCTCCACCGTGGGGAGGAACTAGGTGGGGGCCAGGACCCTGTGCAATTGCTCAGTGGCTTCCCCAGACGGGCCTTCTCAGAAGCTGACATGGAGCGGCCTCTGCAGGAGCTGGGTATGGCTGCAAGACTAGAAACCAGGACTAGAAACTGGGGGAGTAGGGAGGCATGCCTAGGAAAAGGAGGGATGCAAAGAGAAGGGGCTTTGTGAACATGGTGCAAGGCCAGGAATTTTGGGAGCAAAAACCAAGTATCCTTGTGGTTCAAGCCTGTTTTCTTCCATCTTCAGGACTCGTGCCTTCTGCTGTTCTCATTGTGGCCAAGAAATGTCCCAGCTGAGGGCCTTTGTCCCATTGTCCCTCTGTGACCCCTTCATCTTTGATAAAGCACTGACATCTCCTTCCTAATAAATAGACCCTGAGTTCTGTACATGCCTGACTCCTTCCTGAATGGCTGGGAGGGACAAAACTAAGGCAGAGGAAGAGGCTAAAACGGAACAGTAGACCCTCTTCCTCATCTTTAGTTTCCAACAAAGACACTTGTTTGTAATCTCTGGGTCTGATTAACTGCTGGGGAAGTTGCGGAGGAGAGGTGCTAAAAGGGGTGGAGAGTACATTGGATGGCACCTTTTACTCCTATGGTAAGACAGAAAATAAAAGCCCAGCTGCTGCTTTTTTATTTTTATTTTTGAGACGGAGTCTTGCACTGTTGCCTGGGCTAGAGTGCAGTGGCGCAATCTCAGCTCACTGCAACCTCTGCCTCCCAGGTTCAAGCGATTCTCCTGCCTCAGCCTCCCTAGTAGCTGGGATTACAGGCACCCACCACCACGCCCAGCTAATTTTTTCCATTTTTAGTAGAGACGGGGTTTTGCCATGTTGGCTAGGCTGGTCTCAAACTCCTGACCTTGTGATTCGCCTGCCTTGGCCTCCCAAAGTGCTGGGATTACAGGCATGAGCCACCACGCCCGGCCTGCTGCTTTATTTATTTATTTATTTATTTATTTATTGAGAACATGAGAGTGCCTTTTCATTTTAAAAATGTTTGGAAATATGCACAACTTTGATACAGCTTTGGGGTGCTCCAGACACCCATGGCCACTTCATGTAAACCACTGAGAATTTCTTTTTTTTTTTTTTTTTTGAAATGGAGTCTTGCTCTGTCACCCAAGCTGGAGTGCAGTGGCACAGTATTGGCTCACTGCAACCTCCGCCTCCTGAGTTCACGGGATTCTTCTGCCTCAGCCTCCCAAGTATCTGGGATTACAGGCGCGCACCACCATGCCCAGCTAATTTTTTGTATTTTTAGTAGAGTCAGCGTTTCACCATGATGGCCAAGCTGGTTTCAAACTCCTGACCTCAAGTGATCCACCCGCCTCGGCCTCCCAAAGTGCTAGGATTACAGGCGTGAGCCACCACGCCCGGCCACCACTGACAATTTTTAGAGTACTTTGAGAGACTATACAATATCATGATCAAATTTTGTAATTAAACCTAATGAGGACAACAGGCACTTCTCAAATAAGAGATGTGTCCATTACGGGGCTCCCCTACTCTTAAGGTACTCACAAGGAGGCAGATAAACAGTTTCTTTTTTTTTTTCCTTTGAGATGGAGTTTTGCTTTTGTTGCCCAGGCTGGAGTGCAATGGAGCGATCTCAGCTCACTGCAACCTCCACCTCCCGGGTTCAAGCGATTCTCCTGCCTTAGCCTCCTGAGTAGGTGGGGTTACAGGCATGCACCACCACGCCCAGCTAATTTTTTTTTTTTTTTTTTTTTAAGAGACAGGGTTTCACCTTGTTGGTCAGGTTGGTCTTGAACTCCTGACCTCAGATGATCCGCCCGCCTCTGCCTCCCAAAGTGCTGGGATTACAGTCTTGAGCCACTGTGCCTGGCCAGATAAACAGTTTCTTTATTCATCCTCCTCCTCTTCATCTTCCTCTTCCACCTTTTTCCAGGCAACTTTAGCAGGACCCTTTGCATCATCAAACCAACCTTTCTACTTATAGTCAGGAACATCCTTCTTATACTTTTCCTTCAGCTTTGCTACCTTAGTGATGTCATTTAAGTTATTTCACATCTCACCCAGAAAACCTAGCTTCTTAATAGAATAGGAATAGTGCCTATTTCTTGGGATTGTCATGAGGGTTACATAATGCTGGTATAAGATGCTTTAGCATAGTGCCTGGTACCTAATAAGTCCCCAGTAAGCATTAGCTACTAAAAGGATAATTTTATTTACTTATTTGAGGTGGAGTCTTGCTCTAGATCCCAGGCTGTAGTACAGTGGTGCAATCTCGGCTCATTATAACCAACGTCTGCCGGGTTCAAGCAATTCTGCCTCAGCCTCTCGAGTAGCTGGGATTGCAGGTGTGTGCCACCACACCCAGCTAATTCTTTGTATTTTTTAGTAGAGATGGGGTTTCACCATGTTGGCCAGGCTGGTCTTGAACTCCTGACCTCAAGATCCACCTGTCTCAGCCTCCCAAAATGCTGGGCTAAAAGGGTTTTGTTTTTTTGTTTTTTTTTTTTGAGACATCTCCTCACTCTGTTACCCAGGCTGGAGTGCAGTGGCACGATCTCGGCTCACCGTAACCTCTGCCTCCTGAGTTCAAGCGATTCTCCTGCCTCAGCCTCCCGAGTAGCTGGGACCACAGGCACGTGCCGCCATGCCCAGCTAATTTTTGTATTTTTAGTAGATACAGGGTCTCACCATGTTGGCGCTTCTCTCTGCTTTTTAAAACCAACCAAGAAGCACTGATGAGCTTATCTATGATAGTCCCTCTGGCTGCTGATCACCCCACCCTGCTGTCCTGTCAAACTGCTCCTGACTCCACTCCTTCCTGGACTAGGAGAAAGGCCACAGTTACTCTGTAAAGATCACATGTAACATGTGTTCCAGCAGCTGAAAAGAGCACCAATACTTATATCTGGGTTTACACCCCAGTGTTAGAAAGCTTTATTTGGGCCAGGCACGGCGGGTCATGCTTGTAATCCCAGCACTTTGGGAGGTTGAGGCGGGCAGATCACCTGAGGTCAGGAGTTCAAGACCAGCCTGGCCAACATGGTGAAACCCTGTATCTACTAAAAATACAAAGATTATCCTGGCATAGTGGCGCACCCCTGTAGTCCCAGCTACTGGAGAGGCTGAGGCAGGAGAATCGCTTGAACCCAGGAGGCGGAGGTTGCATTGAGTTGAGATCGCTCCATTGCACTCCAGCGTGGGCAACAACACAGAAATTCTGTCTCAAAAAAAAAAAAAAAGCTTTATTTGGTGTTCTGACTTTAATAACAGCAGCCTTTTTTTCAATTGCAGTCTTGCTTGGGAACCACAGGATAGACAAAAGAGGAGCAACTTGGTTGACTAGGCTGTGGGGCTTTGACCCCACTTATTTAATCCCCTCAGTGGCAGCTCCAATAAATCCTGACCAGATCCAGAGATTGGGGACCACTTTACATTTCTAAATTAATGTTTTACAATAATCCTCGTAGTTATGACCTTTCATAGAACAGGGCTGAGGTTTGTAACATGCTGGAGTTCAACCAGGATCTGTGACTCAAAGCACACTCCTTTTACTACTAGTAAGTCAGCCTCCTAAGCTTGTTTAACCAGAGGTTAAATAATGGCCACAGAAAGCATTGTGGCATATGTTAAGTGCTAGATGCCCCTCCAATCTCGCTCCAAGGACAGGAGTCCTGAGTGTCCACTATAGGCATCCATTACTTCAAGACTTCCCAGGATAGTTCAGATTTCAAGAATGTCCCACGGTTATCCCTGGAAGTACACTCCAACCTGACACCACATGACCTGTTTTGAAAATGTGGTTGGCCGGGCGCAGTGGCTCACGCCTCTAATCCCAGCACTTTGGGAGGCTGAGACGGGTGAACTGCCTGAGGTCAGGAGTTCGAGATCAGCCTGGCCACATGGTGAAACCCGCCTCTACTAAAACTACTAATATCAGCCGGGCGTGGTTGCGGACGCCTGTAATCCCAGCTACATGGGAGGCTGAGTAAGGAGAACAGCTTGAACCCAGGAGGCAGAGGTTGCAGTGAGCCAAGATTGCGCCACTGCACTCCTGCCTGGGTGACAAGAGCAAGACTCCATCTCAAAAAAAAGAAAAAATGTGGCCGCGGCAGGGCGAGGTGGTTCACGCCTGTAATCCCAGCCCTTTGGGAGGCCGAGGCGGGCGGATCACCTGGGTCTGGAGTTCGAGACCAGTCTAGCCAACATGGTGAACCCTGTCTCAACTAAAAACACAAAAGTTAGCTGGGCTTGGTGGCGCGCACTTGTGATCCCGGCTACTCGGGAAGCTGAGGCAGGAGAATTGCTGGAACCCAGGGGCGGAGGTTGCAGTGAGCCGAGATCGTGCCACTGCACTCCAGCCTGGGTGACATTGACTCCGTCTCAAAAAAAAAAAAAAAAAAAAAATGTGGTCAGATACCTATCGGGATCAGCCTCTTCTGGTGGGGTGGGACAGGCAGCAGCTCCAGGCCGCGCCCCCAGCACCGACCACGCGTCTCTAAGCATTGGTAGGTGTCGACTGCAGGGCTCATTCTGGGTGGAGGAACATGATTTTATTGGTTCTTTCAGTTCACCACATCCGACTCGCGTCTCGGCCCTGGCCCGCCTTGCGGACCTTAAAGCAGTCAGTCCAGGGTTTGGGGGAAACGTGCTCACCCGACGGCAGCTCACAGGACCCCGGAGAGTCCTGGCATGGTATCTCGGTCCGGACTCTCCGCTGGGCCCACGAAGGAGAAAGGCTGCCTCGGATTCCTGCGCCCAAGCCAAGGTCCGGCGCCCACGGAGGCAAGTCCGGTCTCACGGTGACCTCCCGCCGGCGCCGCCTTCGCCGCCAACCATCCAGTTCTTCCTCCAGGCCACGTTCTCCTGCGTGGTCGCTGCCTCCTGCAGAGTGGCCAGCAATAGCTGCTGGGTCCTGGCCGCCTCCTCCCTGCTCCTTGGGTCCTGCAGTGGCATCTCCTGAGGGCAGGAAGGGGAGTTCGCAGGAGCTCCAGTCCGGGGCTCTCCACCCGCCCACCCTTCCTCGGGACTACCAGTTGCTTCTACCTTTAGCATTTCCTGCTTCCGCCGCTCTCCCGGGGTCACGATAACGAGGAGCGCGTAGCCCACGCCAGCCCCTGCGCCCAGCATTGCGACTGAGATCAGCATTTTCCGCAAGGAATCCATGGCCGCCTGCACAGCCAGCGGAGCGCCCACGGGAGCTCCCCGCAGCCGCAAGCTGTTGCCGCGCGGTCTCACTACCCCTTGGCGCAGGCTAGAGCGCCCTATAGCAGAAACCATAGATAAGCGGCCGGCTAGAGAGGACCTGCTCGAGGAAACGTTTGGAATCCGGAGCGCTTGGATCTCAGGTTTAGCTGAGGGGGTTGAGGTGTCCAAGAAGTGCTGGCACCAAGGGCTGAGCGCGGGGACCCTGTGTCCTCAATTCCGGGGTGGGATTGCTAGGGGGAGAGTGCGTGTCTTCATGGTTGCCGTGGGTTTTATGATTGCCCATTTTTCTGTCTTCCGACGTTTCCCGATCAGTAGAGGCCCGAGCTGTGCTCTGTGGTTTCCTGCAGTCACCCGCGCGTTTTCAACACAGCGCATGGAGGGCATCTACACACATACACATCCCTCTCCATCCCCTCAACTCTGGAACAAACACTCAAAGTCAAGTATACTGGTTGGAGAAATGGGTAATAGTTACTTATCTTTAACATTTATTTTACAAACAACCTATTCCTTTTCTCGTCATGGTACACACTTGGTATTGTTTGGGTTTTTTTTTGGTTTTGTTGTTGTTGTTAGTGTGTGGGCGTGGTTTTGTTTGTTTTTGGAGACAAGGTCTCGCTCTGTCGCCCAGGGCTGGAGTGCAGTGGCGCGATCATGGCTCACTGAAGCCTCGACTTCCAGGGCCCAAGCGATCCTCCTGCCTCAACCTCCCGGATAGCTGGGATTACAGGCGTGCACCACCACGCCCGGCTGGTATTGCTTTTTGTTTTGCTTCGTTTTCTTTTTTGCTTTTTGAGACAGAGTCTCACTCTGTTGCCCAGCTGGAGTGCAGTGGCGTGATCTCGGCTCACTGCAAGCTCTGCCTCCCGGGTTCACGCCATTCTCCTGCCTCAGCCTCCCGAGTAGCTGGGACTACAGGCGCCCGCCACCACGGCCGGCTAATTTTTTGTATTTTTAGTAGAGAAAGAGTTTCACTATGTAGGTCAGGCTGGTCTCGAACTCCTGACCTCGTGATCCGCCCAATCCGCCCACCTCGGCCTCCCAAAGTGCTGGGATTACAGGTGTGAGCCACCGCGCCCGGCTGTTTTGCTTTGTTTTCAACCACTAAAAGGCTGGATTCGTGTAACATACTGAATTCTGCTTTACAGAAGAAAACACCTCTTAGCTGTGTGACTGATTATAGGCAAGTTCTTGTGCCCCGGTTTCTGCATCAGAAAATGAAGCTTATAACAACAGTACTTGTCTCACAGTTTTAGGATAATTAAATTAGTTATATGTAAAGCAATTAAAACAGCTCCTGCCAAAGAGTAAACACCATATAAATATTCATTAAATAACATACAAACATACCAGGTTGGGAAAAATCAGTAAGCATAGGAGTCAGGAAATTCCAAGTTGGTTATCACAACTCTTGGCCCACAGGGCTTTAATCCAGGTGCCCTTGTCTCCTACCCTTGTTGCCATCCCAGTGTCTCCAGGGAGTAAGTAGAAATAAAGATCCTATCTCACCTCTTGGGCATTTTCCCCTCCCCTGAAAGCGTATAATCGCTTAGCACAGTCGGTGCTTAAGGGGCCAGGCTCCAAAGAAGATTAAAGGAACAGTTTGTGGGGTGCACTGGGCAGCAGTACTCTCCTCTGAGTTCAATCATCTTGCACTCTAAGAATCACCACCATGGCCCTTGTGCCAGGGAGAAGCAAGGAGGATGGGCTTTGGACTAGAAATAGCCCAGGCTCCTCCCAGCATCCAGAAAGTCCCAGGCTGCCCAACCCTCTCTGGGACAGAGGAAAAATTGGCAAGGTTGAAGGTCACCAGCACATTCAGGTTAGTACTTCCTCAGCCTGTGTCTGGCAGCTGGCTTACCCTCCAGTTTGGCCCAACCTCCCTGCTGTCCCTATTCAGGATTTCTCTCAAAAGTCCCATCTGCCGTCTATTGTGGTGGAATCCAGTGAGGTGAATGAAGAGAGTGGGGATCTCCATTTGCCCCATGAGGAGCTGCTGCTGCTCACTGATGGTGAGGAAGAGGATGCTGAGGCCTTCTTCCAAGACCAAAGTGAAGAGCCAGGTGAGGGAGGTGGCTCATTCAGGGGGCCACTGTGAGCTGAATGTTCTGGGCAGAGCCAAGATGGAAGTCAGTTACGGCCCCTGCATTCAGCAGTGCCAGGCACACAGCAGGTGCTCAATAAATGTGAAGATGTGGGAGAGAAAAGGCAGCTGGCAAAGTTGATGAATTGTAGAGAGCAGTTTTGGTATCAGAATGGGTGCCATCCTTTAATCTGTACTTTCTTTTTCTTCTTTTTTTTTTTTTTGAGACTGAGTCTCGCTCTGTCACCCAGACTGGAGTGCAGTGGCGCGATCTCAGCTCACTGCAAGCTCCGCCTCCTGGGTTCACGCCATTCTCCTGCCTCAGCCTCCCAAGCCGGCCAGTCTTGGGGTAATTTTATCTTTTCCTGCAGCAATGTAAACATTTTGAAAGTACAGATTAAGGCTGGCCGCGGTGGCTCACGCCTGTAATCCCAGCACTTTGGGAGGCTGAGGCGGGCAGATCACAAGGTCAGGAGATCGAGACCATCCTGGCTAACATGGTGAAACCCCGTCTCTACTAAAAATACAAAAAATTAGCCGGGCGTGGTGGCGGGCGCCTGTAGTCCCAGCTACTCGGGAGGCAGGAGAATGGCGTGAACCCGGGATGTGGAGTTTGCAGTAAGCTGAGATCCCACCACTGCACTCCAGCCTGGGCAAGAGCCAGATTCTGCCTCAAAAAAAACAAAAAACAAAAAAAATTACCCCAAGACCAACTACCTAAAAATAGTTTACATATTCGATACCTTCTCTTCTAGACTTTTTTCATCTCTGTGTACTGTTTTTTTGTTTGTTTGTTTTGGTTTTGGTTTTTTTTTTTGAGACAGAGTCTTGCTCTGTCCCCCAGGCTGGAGTGCAGTGGCAATGACCTCTGCTCACTGCAAGCCCTGCCTCCTGGGTTCGTGCCATTCTCCTGCCTCAGCCTCCCGAGTAGCTGGGACTACAGGCACCCGCCACCACGCCCAGCTAATTTTTTTGTATTTTTAGTAGAGACAGGGTTTCACTTTGTTCGCCAGGATCTCCTTACCTTGTGATCCGCCTGCCTGGGCCTCTCAAAGTGCTGGGATTACAGGCGTGAGCCACCGCGCCCGGCCCCGTCTGTGTACTGTTACAGAAGCTACTTTTTTTTTTTTTTTTTTTTTTGAGACAGAGTCACCCTCTGTTGCCCAGGCGGAGTGCAGTGGCAGGATCTCGGCTTACTGCAACCTCTGCCTCCCAGGTCCAAGCAAGTCTCCTGCCTCAGCCTCCTGAGTAGCTGGGGCTACAGGTTCAGGCCACCACGCCCGACTAATTTTTTTTGTATTTTAGTAGAGATGGGGTTTCACCATATTGCCCAGGCTGGTCTCAAACTCCTGAGCTCAGGCAATCTGCCCGCCTCAGCCTCCCAAGAAGCTACATTCTTTTGAGCATTTACTATGTACCAGGTACTATGCTAAACACTTTTACTTCATGATTTTCAGAACAACCCAATGAAGGTACTTCCCCTTTATAAATGAGAAAATTGAGGCTGCGAGGTTAGGCTCTTAGTGATATAATTGCTCTATTTTTTTATAAGCAAAAAATACCACAGAAATTAATTTTTAGCTCAAGTGCAGCAGCTTATCATGGCCCATTGCAGCTTTGACCTCCCAGGGTTCAAGCAGTCCTCCCAGCTCAGCCTCCTGAGTAGTTGGAACTACATGCCTGTGCCACTATCCCGGGCTCATTTGTTTTTGTAGAGTTAGGGGTGTCACTTTATTGCCAGGGCTCAAGCAATCTGCCCACCTTGGCCTCCCAAAGTGCTGTGATTATAGGTATGAGCCAGCATGCCTGGCCTAGTTTTGTAATTTGATAATATATCAGTAATATTTTTGTCCCCTCTCTTCCTCCATCCCAGGCTGGGCTTGGAGCCCACAGGACCCTAGAAGTCCTTTAAGAACATTTAACGCTGGACTCAGCTGGGGGCAGGACCAGGATGAAGAAGATGCTTGTTGGATTCTTGAGGACACAGCATGTCTGGAAGCCACCAACCACTGTCCCTTCTGGGACTCAACAGGCTCCCGTGTTTGTAGAAGTGGCTTTGTGGAATATTCCCATCTCCTGCCTCCTAATAGCTTTGAGGGTAAGTATTGTTCCCTCCCCCTCAAATATCTCATCCAGGTTTATGAAGCTCCTTATACCCATCCTCTTACAATCTCCTTTTACAGGTGACAAAAATGAGGCTTACAGGTTAGGCCACTAGATTATACAAGTCAGTCAGCGCAGGGGTTTTGATTCAGTTCCTGTCTGCTGCTTTTAGGAGCTCCAGTTAGTTGAAACTGGGGAATGACCCAATTGTACCTTCTCTTTTCAGCATTCATTTTGTGCTAAATATTGCGCACATCATTGTATGTAATCTCCGTAACTCCAAGTTATTCTCACTCTGCAGATGAGTAAACTGGGGAACAGAAACATTCAGCAATATGGCACCCAGCTAGTAAATGTGGAAGCCAGGACTCAAATTCTCACTTTGCAGCCAGATAGCTTGCAAAGACAGTTCTTCAGCCCTCTCCTTGCCCACAGAAATACTAGGGTCAGGACTACTAAAATGTCTTTAATGAGAGCCTTGAATCAAGTAAGCAAAGTAGGTGATGCCCCTGAACGGGCCTAGCTCCTGCACAGTCACAGTCCAGCCATAGGACCCTTGTTCCAGGCAGGGCAGTCGCACATCAGGGTCCTCATCTGAGAACTGAATCAGGGTCCCCTGAGGGTTTAGAACCCTCAAGCATTCTGATAGAAGCTGGTAAGCCCTAGGCAGACCTCCCCGGGCAACAGCATCCCATGTGCCTTTGTCCAGCAGTAGTTGGAAAGAGCCTGAAGAAGCCACAGCCCCCAGGTTCTGAGCATCGGCGTGCATGAAGTGGAGGCTTGAGGCAGGGTGTCCAGGGCATAGAGGTGTTTGGCCTGGGCCACCCTCCAGGAGGCTATTCATGTGGGCCACAGCCACAGGAGAAAAGTCCACCCCCAGCACATCCACTGGGTGTGGAGATTTGGTGTAGAGGCCTGTACATAGGCTGGAAGTCCCACAGCCCACATCCAGCACTCGCAGAGGACTGGCAGCCTGTGCCTCCTGCAGCAATGGCAGTAGGAGCCCCTGGACTTCGTCGTATCCAAAGAACCAGTCGAAGGTGGGGACAGTGCCCAAACGAGGCTGGGCATGCAGCCGATCCCAGAGACAGCGGTCCGCCAGGCAACTATCAGCCAGTGAGCCTGTGGGCACGGTTGGAGGGTGTCACTTGGTCTATGTCGCCACTGCAAAAACGTCGTATATACACACTGGCGTCTTTTTTTTTTTTGAGACAGGGTCTCACTCTGTGACCCAGGGTTGAGTACAGTAGCACAATGATGGCTCACTGAAGCCTCCACCTCAGCCTCCTGAGTAGCTAGGACTATAGGCGCCATCGTGCCCGGTTAATTTTTTTTGTAGACAGGGTCTCGCTATGTTGCCCTAGGTTGGTCTCGAACTCCTGGGCCAAGCGATCTGCCCGCCTCGGCCTGGCAAAGTGTTAGCATTACAGCCGTGAGCCACCACGCACGGCCCACCGTAGGGTTTGAGAATCACAATTTCAGGGACTACACTCCTGACTCACGAGGAACCCACCTTACCCTCCCCACTCTGCCCCCACCTTGCCCTCTCCACTCTGCCCCCACCTCCCTACCCGCAAAGGGGCGGCACGTCCCCATCATCAGGCTCGGCAAGTGGAGCATTCGACGCAGCGCGGCCATCTGGAGATTCGGGTAAGTTCGACCAGAGAAGCTTATGTGAAGCGTCCACCCTACTCCAGCCGGAGAGGCCTGAGGTCCAGGGGAAGATCTGCAAATTCCGCGTAGCGAAAGGCGGCGTACAGCTTCCCCGAACTCTGCAGTCCCGGAAAAAAGAACGCGGACACAGACTATGGTAGGAACGGCCTTTATTGGCTGCAGCGGGAAGTGGAGGAGGGTATACAGCGTCCGCAGACCTGAAATCAAATGAGAAAGTGTGAGCACCCCGATGGAGGAGCCAGCTGGATCTCGGTTGTCCTTCTCCGAGATTCCCGGTGTCCCGGCGTTTGAGGATAGAACCAGCGGATGGGAAGCCGCCAGCACCGAAGACATGACGCCGAGGGGGCCAGAGCCCTTTCCCTCTTCCTCCGTACATTACGGGGAGCGGCACCACAAGCCCGATCCCCGCCAAGAAAAGGAGGGTCCTGAGACCCCGCCCAGAGCCTTCCACCCGGCACCCCCACCACTCCCGGCCGCCCAATCTGGCTACTACAGCTAAAACCACACTTACTAGCTCACCACCCTCCGAAAGGCCTCCCGCACCGCGGAGCTCCTTTATATAGCCCGAGGACCCGCCCCCGAGTTGCGATTGGCCCGCGGAAGGCCGGGGCGGAGCCCCGCGGATCCGGCGCTGAGCGGAAGTACGGACCGTGAACTGGAGTGGAATCGCGACTATGGGAGCTCCGGGGGGAAAGATCAACCGGCCCCGAACGGTGACTGTGTGGGGGCCGCGACTTTGTTTCCTCAAGCGTTCCTGAGCCCTTTTATCTCGCACGAGATGGGATCAGTGAGGGGCCGGGGCTGCCTGGTGGAGGGGCCCCGGGTCGCGGCGAGCCCACTCCATCTGATTCGCATCTTTCTCCCCGGCAGGAGCTGAAGAAGAAGCTGTTCAAACGCCGGCGGGTGTTGAATCGGGAGCGGCGTCTGAGGCACCGGGTGGTCGGGGCTGTGATAGACCAAGGGCTGATCACGCGGCACCACCTCAAGAAGCGGGCGTAAGTACTAGACCCTCTTCCTGTTGGTCGTCCCCACCGAGTCTTCCTTCCTCCCTGCAGAGCTCCGGAGCAGCTTCACCTCTCAGCTCACCTTGTGCACTGACGCTTATGCGGGGAATGTCTGTCGGCTGTTAGTTCCTAAGCTCTGATAGCCTCTCACAATACCTGTAGCAGACAACCTTTCTTTGGGTTTTGGATTCTGTTAAGAATCTCAGGAAAGCCGGGGATGGTGGCTCATACCTGTAATCCCAGCACTTTGGGGGGCTGAGGTGGGCGGATCACCTGAGGTCGGGAGTTCGAGACCAGCCTGACCAACATGGTGAAACCCCGTTTTTGCTAAAAATACAAAAATTAGCCAGGCGTTGTGGCCGGCACCTGTAGTCCCAGCTACACGGGAGGCTGAGGCAGGAGAATTGCTTGAACCTGGGAGGCGGAGGTTGCAGTGAGCCGAGATCACGCCACTGCACTCCAGCCTGGGCCACAGAGTGAGACTCCGTCTCAAAAAAAAAAAAAAAAAAAAAAGAATATCAGGAAATCTGTTGGCTCTCCATTCTCCAAGTAATGTTATACATTCACACAGATTTTTATAAGTAAACTTATTTTTACATACAGAAAAGTGCACACATAGGCGCATAAAACTCGAAGAATTTTCCCAAAGGCACTCATAGGATTTCACTTGTAAGTTTCAAGGCCTCCTGTGTCTTGAGGAAGAGTTCCCATCCCATTAATTACTTTCTGTGTCCTTTTTTTTTTTTTTTTTTTTTTTCCTCTTTTTTGAGACAGAGTCTCCCTCTGTTGCCCAGGCTGGAGTGAAGTGGCATGATCTCGGCTCACTGCAACCCCTGCCTCCTGGGTTTAAGCTATTCTCTTGCCTCAGCCTCCCGAGTAGCTGGGATTACAGGTGCTCCCCACTGCACCCGGCTAATTTTTGTATTTTTAGTAGAGACGGGGTTTCACCATGTTGGCCAGGCTGGTCTTGAACTCCTGACCTCAGGTGATCCGCCCACCTCAGCCTCCCAAAGTGTTGGGATTACAGGCATAAGCCACCGCCCCCGATCTATGTCCTTTCATTAGCTTCTTCAATGTAAATATTTAGGGTTTCTATTACTATTTATATTATATTTATTTAATACTTTTCCTTTTTTTTTTTTTTTTGAGACGGAGTCTCGCTTTGTCGCCCAGGCTGGAGTGCAGTGGCGCGATCTCGGCTCACTGCAAGCTCCGCCTTCTGGGTTCACGCCATTCTCCTGCCGCAGCCTCCCGAGTAGCTGGGACTACAGGCGCCCGCCACTGCGCCCAGCTAATGTTTTGTATTTTTAGTAGAGACAGGGTTTCACCGTGGTCTCGATCTCCTGACCTCGTGATCCAGCCGCCTCGGCCTCCCAAAGTGCTGGGATTACAGGCGTGAGCCACTGCGCCCAGCCTATTTAATACTTTTTCTATAGCCAGAACTATTTGTGTGACCTCAGTTGGTTCAGGTTAACCTAGCTCTCTTTATTTCCACTTACCCATCAGGTCCAGTGCACGTGCCAACATTACACTGTCAGGGAAGAAGCGCAGAAAACTCCTCCAGCAGATCCGGCTTGCCCAGAAAGAGAAGACAGCCATGGAAGGTGAGGCTGGGACAGAGGTGGGTGAGGGGAATCCTGGATTTATTTGGGATAATACTTCCTTCTTCCCTTTACTCAGTGGAAGCCCCTTCAAAGCCAGCCAGGACTAGTGAACCACAGCTCAAAAGGCAAAAGAAGACAAAAGCCCCCCAGGATGTAGAAATGAAGGACCTTGAAGATGAGAGCTAAACCTCTTCCACTAGAAGATTCTCAACTGGAGCCAGCCTTCAGACTCAGTGGTTGTTTCAGAGGACTTTGACAAAAGCAAGGCCCCTTTTCACTCTCCAGATTTCCTCCTACCTAATGGCCTACTGACCTCCCCTAGAGGGATGTCTTTGGGAGGGAAGAAGGTACAGAAGAAAGATTGGAGAAGGGCCTCTCTAGCAGTCAACTCCATTTGTAATAAAGCCCTAGCACTCTGAGATGTGTGTGATTAAATGTAGGAATGGGGATGGGTCATGAAAAGATTGGGGAGTATGGAAACAAGACAGTGAGGAAGCAGTACCCACAGCTTCCTTGTGCAAATGCAACAAGATGCCAGCCTCTGCCCTCAAGAGTGGTGGTGCCTGGCCGGGTGCAGTGGCTCACGCCTCTAATGCCAGCACTTTGGGAGGCCGAGGCAGGTGGATCACCTGAGGTCACAAGTTCGAGACCAGCCTGGCTAACCCCGTTTCTACTAAAAATACAAAAAATTAGCCGGGCGTGGTGGTGCACGCCTGTAATCCCAGCTACTTGGAGGCTGAGGCAGGAGAATCGCTTGAACCCGGGAGGCGGAGATTGCCTACCGGGGTATTGCTTGAGGCCAGGAACTCAAGGCTGTAGTGTGCTGTGATCTCATCTGTCTCCTTAGTGAGTGATACTCTAACTTTCCATTTATGACAAAGATACAGATTATTCGAGAAGTTGAAGTTACAGTGAGCCAAGATTGTCCCACTGCACTCCAGCCTGGGCAACAGAGTGAGCCATTGTCTCGAAAAATATAGATAGATAATTGTAGGGATAGCAGAGGTAAAGGTCCTGATACCAGTTCTGCCACTGCCTCTGTGTGACTAAGGTAGGCAAGACACCTTACCTCTTCTGTCTTACTTCTTTTGCTGCATTATATTTTCATTTTAATTTATATATATATATATTTATTTATTTATTTTATTTTAATTTTTTTTTTTTTGAGACAGAGTCTCACACTGTAGCCCCGGCTGGAGTGCAATGGCATAATCTTGGCTCACTGCACCCTCTGCCTCCCGGGTTCAAGCAATTCTCCTGCCTCAGCCTCCTGAGTAGCTGGGATTACAGGCGCCTGCCACCAGGCCTGGCTTATTTTTTGTATTTTTTAGTAGAGACAGGGTTTCAGTATGTTGGCCAGGCTGATCTTGAACTCCTGACCCTGTGATCTTCCCACGTCGGCCTCCCAAAGTGCTGGGACTACAGGTGTGAGCCACCGTGCCCGGCCACCCCTGACTAATTTTAAAAAATTTTCTGTAGAAATGGAGTTTTACCCAGGCTGGTCTCAAACCCCTGGACTCAAGCGATCCATCCACCTTAACCTCCCAAAGTGCTGGGATTACTGGTGTAATAATAATAAAAAAAAAACTTTCAGTAAAGAGAAGAGATTAGTAAAATGAGCCCTGGTATATGCCCTCTACTTAGATTTACCAGTTATTAACATTGTGCTACACTTCTGTATCTGCATTTTTCTTGTCCTTATTGAATGAAATCCTTTGAAAGTCAAATATAGACAACATGAAACCTTACTCCTAAGGACATCCTTCTATGTAGCCAAAATACTGTAATCACAGCTAAGACATTTAACATTGATTAAATACCTAATATGTATTTTTATTTTATTTTATTTTATTTTATTTTGATACGGAGTCTTGCTCTGTCGCCAGGCTGGAGTGCAGTGGCGCGATCTTGACTCACTGTAACCTCCGCCTCCTATGTTCAAGGGATTTTCCTGCCTCAGCCTCCTGAGTAGTTGGGACTACAGGCGCCTGCCACCACGCCCACCTAATTTTTGTGTTTTTAGTAGAGACAGGGTTTCACCATGTTGGCCAGGATGGTCTCGAACTCTGACCTCAGGTGATCTGCCCACCTCAGCCTCCCAAAGTGCTGGGATTACAGGCGTGAGCCACTGCACCGGCTATTTTTCTGTATTTTTAGTAGAGGCGGAGTTTCACCATATTGGCCAGGCTGGTCTTGAACTCCTGACCTCAAATGATCCACTCACCTCGGCTTCCCAAAGTGTTGGGATTACAGGTGTGAGCCACTGTGCCTGGCCCACCCAATGGTTTAGTAGCCATGATGATCATTACCTGAATTAGTTATTACTGTGTTACAAAATGGTGATTTTCCAATACTGTCATTCATTCATTCATTCATTCATATTATTCCTATGACATTCTATAAAGAAGAGCCCAGGCCATGCATGGTGGTTCACTCCTGTAATCCCAGCACTATGGACAGCTGAGGCCAGGGGATCACCTGAGGTCAGGAGTTCAAGACCAGCCTGTCCAACATGGTGAAACCCCGTCTCTACTGAAAATACAAAAAATTAGTCAGGTGTGGTGGCCTGCACCTGTAGTCCCAGATACTCGGGAGGCTGAGGCAGAAGAATCACTTGAACCCGGGAGGGGGAAGTTGCAGTGAGCCGAGATCGTGCCACTGCACTCCAGCCTGGGTGACAGAGCAAGACTTTTCAACAACAAAAAAGAGCCCTGCCCCTTTTTTATTATCACTATGAATTTACAGATTTTTTCCAATGTTATAATTTATTGCTAACACTTTTTCATGCTGAAATTATGACAAGTTTGGCAAATAATAGCTTCTTCAAGTTGGTCCCTAAGTCCTTATGACACAACCACAGTATTTGAGCACTTCATTGCTTTCTGGCACAATAATATATTCCAGACTCACCTATTACTTTCCCTGCCTAAGAACTTGGAGTCAGCAATTTCACTAGTAAAAAATTATTATGTCCAGTTGTTTTCCCTGTGCAATATTTCACTTAATGTTCAGTGGTTTTTGTTTGTTTTCTTTTCTTTTTTTTTTTTTTTTTGAGTCTCGCTCTGTCCCCCAGGCTGGAGTGCAGTGGCGCAATCTCAGCTCACTGCAAGCTCCGCCTCCTGGGTTCACGCCATTCTCCCGCCTCAGTCTCCCCAGTAGCTGGGACTACAGGAGCATGCCATCATGGCCAGCAAAGTTATTTATTTATTTATTTATTTATTTATTTATTTTGAGACAGAGTGTTGCTCTGTCACCCAGGCTGTAGTGCAGTGGCGCAATCTCGGCTCACTGCAACCTCCGCCTCCCAGGTTCAAGCGATTCTCCTGCCTCAGCCTCCCGAATAGCTGGGATTACTACAGGTGCACGCCACCACGCCCAGCTAAGTTTTTGTATTTTCAGTAGAGATGGGGTTGCACCATGTTAGCCAGGATGGTCCCAATCTCCTGACCTTGTGATCTGCCGGCCTTGGTCTCCCAAAGTGCTGGGATTACAGGCGTGAGCCACTGCGCCCGGCCTTATTTTTTTTTTTTGAGACGGAGTCTTGCCCTGTTGCCCAGGCTGGAATGCAATGGCATGATCTCGGCTCACTGCAACCTCCGCCTCCCGGGTTAGAGCGATTCTCCTGTCTCAGCCTCTCGAGTAGCAGGGATTACAGGCATGCGCCACCATGCCCGGCTAAGTTTTTTTAATCTTTAGTAGAGACAGGGTTTTAGTAGATACAGGATGGTCTCAAACTCCTGACTTCGTGATCCGCCTGCCTCGGCCTCCCAAAGTGCTGGGATTACAGGTGTGAGCCACCGTGCCTGGCCATTTTTTATTTTTTGTAGACATGGCTTCGCCATTTTGCCTAGGCTGGCCTCCAACTCCTGGGCTCAAATGATCCACCTGCATCGGTCTCCCAAAGTGTTGGGATTACAGGCATGAGCCACCACGCCCGGCTAATGTCCAGTTTTAAACACAGGAGAAGTATTCTTTTGACATTGAACTGGCCGGTTGTGATGGCTCACGCCTGTAATCCCAGCACTTTGGGAGGCTGAGGTGGGCGGATCACTTGGGATCAGGAGTTTTAGAGCAGCCTGGCCAACATGATGAAACCCTGTCTCTACTAACAATACTAAAACTAGCTGGGTGTGGCAGCACATATCTGTAGTTTCAGCTACTTAGGAGGCTGAGGCAGGAGAATCGCTTGAACCTGGAAGGCAGAGGTTGCAGTGAGCCAAGATTGTGCCACTGCACTCCAACCTGGGCGACAGAGTGAGACTCTGTCTCAAAAAAAAAAAAAAAAACACGAAAAAAACGAAGGCCGGGCGCGGTGGCTGAAGCCTGTAATCCCAGCACTTTGGGAGGCCGAGGCTGGCGAATCACGAAGTCAAGAGATCGAGACCATCCTGCCTAACACGGTGAAACCCCGTCTCTACTAAAAGTACAAAAAAATTAGCCGGGCGTGGTGGCGGGCGCCTGTAGTCCCAGCTGCTTGGGAGGCTGAGGCAGGAGAATGGTGTGAACCCGGGAGGTGGAGCTTGCAGTGAGCCGAGATCGCGCCACTGCACTGGGAGACAGAGCAAGACTCCATCTCAAAAAAAAAACAAAAAAAAAAAACGAAAAGAAATTGAACTGTGTTCAGATGCAGTAAGGAAAGGAGAGGAGGAGATAGGAAAGAGAAAGAAAGACATTTTCAACGGCTTGGCATGCTCAATCCTTCATAGTTTTGTTCTCTCTGTGCCTAACAGGGAAAAGGAACTTACTGTGTTCTAGGAACTGTTAGAAGTTGAGTGTAGCTCTCGCCTGTAATACCAGCACTTTGGGAGGCCGAGGCGGGCGGATCGCGAAGTCAGGAGATTGAGACCATCCTGGCTAACACGGTGAAAACCCGTCTCTACTAAAAATACAAAAAATTAGCCGGGCGCGGTGGCGGGCGCCTGTAGTCCCAGCTACTCGGGAGGCTGAGGCAGGAGAATGTCGTGAATCCGGGAGGCGGAGCTTGCAGTGAGCCGAGATCGCGCCACTGCACTCCAGCCTGGGCGACAGAGCGAGACTCTGTCTCAAAAAAAAAAAAAAGAAAAGAAAAAGAAAAGTAGGGCCAGTAGGGAATATGAATTTTATTCTAAGTATAATGAGAAGTATTAAAGTTGTTTCTTCTAGCTGTATTTTGCTTTTTATTATGGAAAAATCTCAAACATTTACAAAAGTAGACAAAATATGAAAATATTACTCATTGCCCAGCTCCAACCATCATTAATCCCCTGTTCCCAACTTATAATTTCTTCTTTTTTTTGAGACAGAGTTTTGCTCTTGTTGCCGAGGCTGGAGTTCAATGGCACGATCTCGGCTCACCGCAACCTCCGCCTCCCAGGTTGAAGCGATTCTCCTGCCTCAGCCTACCTAGTAGCTGGGATTACAGGCATGTGCCACCACACCCAGCTAATTTTGTATTTTTAGTAGAGACGGGGTTTCTTCATGTTGGTCAGGCTGGTCTCGAACTCCCAACCTCAGGTGATCTGCCCTCCTTGTCCTCCCAAAGTGCTGGGATTACAGGCATGAGCCACTGCTCCCGGCCCAACTTAAAATTTCTTTTCTTTTTTTTTGAGCTGGAGTTTCGCTCTGTCATCCAGGCTGGAGTGCAGTGGTGAGATCTCGGCTCACTCTAACCTCCGCCTCCTGGGTTCAAGCGATTCTCCTGCTTCAACCTTCCAAGTAGCTGGGATTACAGACACCCGCCACCATGCTCAGCTAATTATTTGTATTTTTAGTAGAGACAGGTTTTCACCACGTGGCCAGGCTGGTCTTGAACTCCCGACCTCAAGTGATCCGCTCTCCTCAGACTCCCAAAGTGCTGGGATTACAGGTGTGAACCACCTCGCCTTGCCACTATCCCCATTTTAGAGAGGCAAAATCAAGGTACAGAAAAACTTGCCCATGGTAACTAGCTAGAAAATGATAGAAGCACTTGGGTCCGGGCAGTCTAATTCCAGAGTCCTTCAAACTTCCTCTTGTCACTGTTGTCATTCAAAGAGGAGTTTCTGTATCTAGCATTTACGCTAAGCTCTACATAAATTATCTCAAGTGACCTTCACAAAGTGTGTGAGATGGAGGTGTCATGCTCGTTTCACAGACAAGGAAACAGGTTCCAAACAGCTGGGTCACTTGCTCAGGGTTATTTTACTAATAAATGGCAGATAGGAATCCAGATCTGTCCAACTCCAAAATGAACACCCTTAGATTATGCAATCTCTAAGGTCAAGAAATACATTCTAGTCTCACAGCTGGAAGAATTCATCTGGTTCAAAAGCTTCCTTTCACAGATCTGAGGCCCTGAGAAGGGAAGTGTTGGGTCCAAGTTTGAGGCAGAGCTAGGGGTAGAAATTGCCTCAGATTTACCATCCTAGAATGATGCTTGGTAATAGGTGGTAGAAACACTGTAAATGATTGAACTTCTAAAATGTAAGAACAGACGGGGCACTGTGGCTTATGCCTATAATTCTAGCACTTTGGGAGGCTGAGGTGGGAGGATTGCTTGAGGCCAGGATTTCAAGACCAGACTGGGGAACATCTCGAATTTAAAAAATTTAAGTAAATAAAATTTAAGAACAAACACAAAATCATGCATGAGGGCTGGGCGCAGTGGCTCAGGCCTGTAATCCCAGCACTTTGGGAGGCCCAGGCAGGTGGATTATCTGAGGTCAGGAGTTCAGGACCAGCCTAGCCAACATGGTGAAACCCCGTCTCTACTAAAAAATATAAAAATTAGCCAGGTGTGGTGGCGGGCGCTAGGAATCCCATCTACTCAGGAGGCTGAGACAGGAGAATCGCCTGAACCTAGGAGGTGGAGGTGGCAGTGAGCCGAGATTATGGTGTTGCACTCCGGCCTGGGTGACAGAGCGAGACTCTGTCTCAAAAACAACAACAACAACAACAAAACCTGCTATATCCTCATCACCTATAACAGTGTCTGCCTGGCATGTAGTAGGTTCTGTTTTTTTGTTTGTTTTGTTTAAGACGGAGTCTTGCTCTGTTGCCCAGGCTGGAGGGCAGTGGTGCAGTCTCAGCTCACTGTAACCTCCACCTCCCGGGTTCAGGCGATTCTCCTGCCTCAGCCTCCTGAGTAGCTGGGATCACAGGTGTTCACCACCACGCTGGCTAATTTTTTTTTTTTTTTTTGAGACTGAGTCTCGCTCTGTTGCCCAGGCTGGAGTGCAGTGGTGCAATCTTGGCTCATCACAACCTCCACCTCCCGGTTTCAAGGGATTCTCCTGCCTCAGCCTCCAGAGTAGCTGGGACTATAGGTGGGCGCCACAATGCCCAGCTAATTTTTTGTATTTTTAGTAGAGACAGAGTTTCACTATGTTGGCCAGCTTGTCTCGAACTCCTGACCTTGTGATCCCCCTGCCTCGCCCTCCCAAAGTTCTAGGATTATAGGCATGATCCATCACGCCCAGCCCGAGGATATAGCTTTTAACAAAATAGGCCAAGTCTCTATTGTCAAGCAGCTTATTTTCTGTTTCATTCAATAAACATAATAAAAATAGCTAATGCTTATCTAGTGCTTACCATTGCTGGCACCAAGTGCTATACAATGACCATACTACCTCATTTCAATTTTCGTAACAACCCTTTGAGGTATTTGTACTATTAATATTACCTCCTCATTTCCAGAAGAAGGAACAGTTATGGAGTGGTTAAGTAAAGTATACAACTAGTAGGTAGAAGAGCTGGAACCTGATCTAGGTACACTGGCTTGAGTGAGGGCTCTTGATGAGGTGTACTGGCTCCCTTTACAGTTAGCAAGCTCTATCTCTGGCAGGTGTGGGGCTGTGAGTTAGACGAAGGTCCCTATGCTGGGAAGCTGTGGGAGAGAGAGAAGCTTAAATAATGAAGACGGATGGAAGGATGTTATTCATACTTGCTACTGGGAGGACATCTTCAGGCTAGCTAGCCCAATTTGTTTTGGGCTCCCTCTCCCTCCTTCTCTTTCTTAGTTTTTCTTTTTCTTTTATGAGTTTTCTCTTCTTTCCATCTCTTTTCTGCTTTCTCTCTTCCCTTTTCTCTCTCTCTCGTAAAAGTATTTTTGTAGGAGGGGTGCAGTGGCTAACACCTGTAATCCCAGCACTTTGGGAGGCTGAGGCGGGCGGATCACCTGAGGTCAGGAGTTTGAGACCAGCCTGGCCAACATGTCTCCAATTAGCTGGGCGTGGTGGCACATGCTTGTAGTCCCAGCTACTTGGGAGGCTGAGGCAGGAGAATTGCTTGAACCTGGGAGGTGGAGGTTGCAGAGACGAGACTGCACTCCAGCCTGGGCGACAGAATGAGATTTTAAAAAAAGCCTGGGTGCGGTGGCTCTTGCCTGTAATCCCAGCATTTTGGGAGGCTGAGGTGGATGGATCACTTGAGGTCAGGAGTTTGAGACCAGATTGGCGGACAGGGGAAAACGTTGTCTCTATAAAAATAAAAAAATTAGCCAGATTTGGTAGTGGATGCCTATAGTCCCAGCTACTCGGGAGGCTGAGGCAGGAGAATCTCCTGAACCTGGAAAGTGGAGGTTGCAGTGAGCTCAGATCTCACCACTGCACTCCAGCCTGGGTGAGGGAGTGAGACTCTGTCTCAAAAGGAAAACGAAACAAAACAAAACAAAAACAAAGAGAGACTGGCCGGGTGTGCGTGGCTTACTCCTGTAATCCCAGTGCTTTGGGAAGCTGAGGTGGGTGAATCACTTGAGGACAGGAGTTTGAGATCAGACTGGGCAACATAGCGAGACACTCGCCCCACCCACATGCAAATCCCTAACTCTGAAAATATTTAAAAAGTAGCCAAGTGTGATGGCGCACGCCTGTAATCTCAGCTACCTAGAACGCTGAGGTGGGAGGATGTCTTGAGCCCAGGAGGTCGGGGCTGCCGAGAGGGGTGATCCTATCACTGCACGGTCACAAAATAAACAACAATAACAACAACAACACCAACAAAAAAACCTTCCTATGCTTCATTTTTTTAAAGTCCTGAGTTGAGGCCGGGCGCGGTGGCTCACGCCTGTAATCCCAGCACTTTGGGAGGCCGAGGCGGGTGGATCATGAGGTCAGGAGATCGAGACCATCCTGGCTAACAAGGTGAAACCCCGTCTCTACTAAAAATACAAAAAATTAGCCGGGCGCGGTGGCGGGCGCCTGTAGTCCCAGCTACTCGGGAGGCTGAGGCAGGAGAATGGCGTGAACCCGGGAAGCGGAGCTTGCAGTGAGCCGAGATTGCGCCACTGCAGTCCGCAGTCCGGCCTGGGCGACAGAGCGAGACTCCGTCTCAAAAAAAAAAAAAAAAAAAAAAAGTCCTGAGTTGAACATTTTGTATTTTTGGCGTTAGGAAAAATGATTAAAATACCCCTGTGAGTGTTTTAGTTTCTCTCTCTCTCTCTCTCTCTCTCTCTCTCTCTCTCTCTCTCTCTCTCTCTCTCTCTCTCTCTCTCTCTCTCTCTCTGTGTGTGTGTGTCTATCGGGACTCTTGCTCTGTCGCCCAGGCTGGAGTGCAGTGGCGCGATCTCGGCTCACTGCAATCTCTGCCTCCCGGGATCAAGCGATTCTCCTGCCTCAGCCTCCCGAGTAATCGGGATTACAGGCATAAGCCACCACGCCTGGCTAATTTTTGTATTTGCAGTAGAGACGGCAGGCTAGTCTTGAACTCCTGACCTCAGGTGATCCGCCCTCTCGGGCTCTCAAAGTGCTGGGTTTACAGGCGTGAGCCACCGCGCCCGGCCTAGTCTGTATGTCAATAGGCTTTTGAATAAAGTGGTTGCATATAGGGCGAATCGGCTTCCTGCTATCATCGTCCCGGGATTATGCTCTGGGACTCCGACAGGGTGCGGAACTAATGTAAGAGGGTCGAGGACATCGCCGGATTAATTTTCCTGCGAGGCCTGGTAGCTGGTTCCTTTCGCGTTTCCTGTCAGCGCGCATGCGCCGCCTGCGCTCCGCCGCTCGCGCCTCGGGCTCGGCTCGGGCTCCGGGATGTCCGCGCTGTGCGACCCTCCCGGGGCCCCAGGGCCACCTGGGCCTGCCCCGGCCACCCACGGTCCCGCGCCTCTCAGGTAGTTAGAGCCCTTGGCACCTTCCCCCCATCGCGCGGCCCCGCGCCGATCCCTAGCCTTCTCGGTAGAAACCCGGATCCTACCTCGAGAACTCACGTCAGGGTTCTCAGATTCTTGGTCAGGTCCTCCCAGAACTCAGGGACTGCTTCACCAAAACTCAGGGCTCCAGTGCCCGCCCTCCCGACCTCGGGCCTGCCTCTCGCTAGACTCCAATGCCTAACTACCCTCGACCCCGGGCTTCCTCTCCCAAGAGTCGGGGGTATCTGAACTCTTGGGAACCCAGCTGCCCTGGCCATTTTTGACCCTAGGAAACCCAGTGTCCTGACTTCATAGAGACTCCCTGAGAACCCAGGCCCAGAAACAGAATGCAGTCCGGCTGAGATATTCCCTTATATTAGGGTGTTTTTTGGAGGAAACAGAGGAATGGCACTGTTAGAGCCTTATCAGCACCTAGAGGATGCTGTCTTCTTTGACAGAAAAGGCGATAAGAGAAAGGGGATTTGCCACCTCCCATAACATTGGCTTCTGAACCTCTGAGACTGAACCCATATATGTTTTAGGAGGGAAAGGGTTGAAAAGCATTATTACTCTGTGCCCTGGGACACCCTGATGTCCAAGCACATTGAGGGTGCTGAGTAGGTGGTGGTGGTTGATGTGGTGGTAGGTGACTAAGATTTTGCAGAATATGGGAAGAAACAGATGTTAGGAGGGAGAGCCCTTAATAAGGTGCTTACAATTTTTTTTTTTTCCCATTAAGAGATTTCAAGGTGCTTGTGTTGTGGGATGGGGCGGGGCGGGGGTGGTGGTAGAAGGTGATAAAGTGGAAAGGTGTGTTTTTTTTTGTTTTTGTTTTTTGAGATGGTCGCCCTGACTCCCAGGCTGGAGTGCAGTGGCGTGATCTCGGCTTACTGCAACCTCCGCCTCCTGGGTTCAAGCGATTCTCATGCCTCAGCCTCCTGAGTAGCTGGGATTACACCATGCCTGGCTATTTTTTTTTTTTTTTTGTATTTTTAATAGAGATGAGGTTTCACCCTGTTGGCCAGGCTGGTTTCGATCTTCTGACCTCAAGTGATCCACCCTCCTTGGCCTCCCAGAGTGCTAGGATTACAGACGTGAGGCACCTCAGCCAGCCTGGAAATGTTTTTAAAGCAGATATTATAGAAACACAAATATAGTCAACTCAACAGATATTTATTGACTACCTTCCATATACTGTGTACTTCAATAGAAGTGGATACAGTGTTGAAGAGCACAGAAATGGTTCCTACACTCATGGCGCATATAGTCTGATTGCTTAACCTTGATTTCGTTCTTTTTTTTGACGGCGCACACAGTCTGGGGTGCAGTGGTGTGATTTTGGCTCACTGCAGCCCTGCTTCCAGGGCTCAAGTGATCCTTCTGCCTCAACCTCCCCAGTAGGTGGGACCGCAGGCACATGCGACCATGCCTGGCTAATTATTATTATTATTATTTTTGTAGAGATGGGGTTTCACTATGTTCCTCAGACTGGTCTTGAACTCTTGCGCTCAAGCGATCCACCAGCCTTGGCCTCCCAAAGTGCTGGGATTATAGGCGTGAGCCACTGAAGCCAGCCTTGATTTGTCTGTAAAATGGGATCATAATAGTACCTAACTTATTGAACTGTTGTCAGGATTGAAATAATACACGCAAAGTACTTAAAAGAGTACCTGATATATTCTAAGAGTTATCTGTTGCTGATATTATTACTGTTGTCATTGAAAGAAACATAGCTTTTGGCCGGGCACGTGGCTCACGCCTGTAATCCCAGCACTTTGGGAGGACGAGGCGGGAGGATCACAAGGTCAGGAGATCGAGACCATCCTGGCTAACACGGTGAAACCCCGTCTCTACTAAAAATAAAAAAAAAAATATTAGCCGGGCGTGGTGGCGGGCGCCTGTAGTCCCAGCTACTCAGGAGGCTGAGGCAGGAGAATGGCGTGAACCTGGGAGGTGGAGCTTGCAGTGAGTGGAGATGGCACCACTGCACTCCAGCCTGGGCGGCAGAGCGAGACTCCCTCTCGGGGCGGGGGGAGAAAGAAACATAGCTTTTATTGAGTGATTAGTGTGAATCTGGTATGGAACCTAAGTGCTTTTTTTTCCCTCAGGCCATCCTTCTGCAGAACTTAAGTGCTTTATAAACATTCTCAACCAGGCATGGTGCCTCACACCTGTAATGCCAGCACTTTGGGAGGCTAAGGTGGGCAAACTGCTTGAGGCCATGAAACCAGCCTGTGGAACATAGCCAGACCTCATTTCTATAAAAAGGTTAAAAAGTTAGCTGGGTGTCGTGGCATGTGCTTGAAGTTGCAGCTACTCAGGAGGCTGAGATGGGAGGATGCTTTGAGTCTGGGAGTTCGAGACTGCAGTGAGCTGTGATCTTGGCACTGCACTCCAGCCTGGGTGACAGAGAGAGACCCTGTCTTGAAAAACAAAAACAGGGCGGGAGCAGTGGCTCATGCCTGTACTCCTAGCACTTTGGGAGGCTGAAGTGGGCGGATTACTTGAGGTCAGGAGTTTGAGACCAGCCTGGGCAACATGGTAAAATCTGTCTCTACTAAAAATACAAAAATTAGCCGGGTATGGTGGCACACACCTGTAGTCCCAGCTACTCTGGAGGCTGAGGCAGGAGAATTGCTTGAACTCAGTAGGC
Source organism: Homo sapiens (assembly GCF_000001405.40). Taxonomy (NCBI): domain Eukaryota; kingdom Metazoa; phylum Chordata; class Mammalia; order Primates; family Hominidae; genus Homo; species Homo sapiens. Next base: position 62,650,498 of record NC_000011.10, on the reverse strand, counting down.
GGAGGTTGCAGTGAGCCAAGGTGGCGCCACTGCACTCCAGCCTGGGCGACAAAGCAAGACTCTATCTCAAAAAACAAAACAAAGGCCGGGCGCGGTGGCTCACGCCTGTAATCCCAACACTTTTGGAGGCCGAGGAGGACGGATCATGAGGTCAGGAGATCAAGACCATCCTGGCTAACACGGTGAAACCCCATCTGTACTAAAAATACAAAAAATTAGCTAGGCATGGTGGCGGGTGCCTGTAGTCCCAGCTACTAGGGAGGCTGAGGCAGGAGAATGGCGTGAACCCAGGAGGCGGAGCTTGCAGTGAGCTGAGATCATGCCACTGCACTCCAGCCTGGACAACAGAGCGAGACTCCATCTCAAAAAAAAAAATTCTCTTATGAGGGAAGTATTTTTATTATCCCTATTTAACATAAAAGGCAAAGCTCATACAGGAAAGGTAAGTTGCCTAACATCTCACAACACTCTTAAGTCTGTTTCTTTTGCTTCCTTGTAGTGCTCAGGAGCTGTCCCAGGAAATCAAGGCTTTTCTGACTGGCGTAGACCCCATTCTGGGCCACCAACTCTCAGCCCGGGAACATGCTCGCTGTGGTCTTCTCCTGCTCCGTTCTTTGCCACCTGCTCGGGCTGCTGTGCTTGACCACTTGAGAGGTGTCTTTGATGAGAGTGTCCGGGCCCACCTGGCTGCCCTGGATGAAACCCCTGTGGCTGGTCCACCTCACCTCCGTCCACCTCCACCCTCTCATGTCCCTGCTGGTGGACCTGGTCTAGAGGATGTGGTTCAGGAAGTGCAGCAGGTGCTGTCTGAGTTTATCCGGGCCAACCCAAAGGCCTGGGCACCTGTGATTAGTGCATGGTCCATTGACCTCATGGGGCAACTGAGCAGCACGTACTCAGGCCAGCACCAGCGTGTTCCCCACGCTACTGGCGCTCTTAATGAACTGCTACAGCTGTGGATGGGTTGTAGGGCCACGCGTACATTAATGGACATCTATGTGCAGTGCCTCTCGGCTCTCATTGGTAGCTGCCCAGATGCGTGTGTGGATGCCTTGCTGGATACCTCTGTTCAGCATTCTCCACACTTTGACTGGGTTGTGGCACATATTGGCTCCTCTTTTCCTGGCACCATCATTTCCCGGGTTCTCTCCTGTGGCCTTAAGGACTTTTGTGTCCATGGTGGGGCTGGAGGTGGAGCTGGCAGTAGTGGTGGAAGCTCTTCTCAGACCCCCTCTACAGACCCCTTCCCTGGATCTCCTGCCATTCCTGCGGAGAAACGGGTGCCCAAGATTGCCTCAGTTGTAGGCATCCTAGGTCACCTGGCCTCCCGCCACGGAGATAGCATCCGACGGGAGCTCCTGCGAATGTTCCATGATAGCCTGGCAGGGGGATCTGGAGGCCGCAGTGGGGACCCCTCCCTTCAGGCCACGGTTCCGTTCCTACTGCAGCTGGCAGTCATGTCACCAGCTTTGCTGGGCACTGTCTCTGGAGAGCTTGTGGATTGCCTCAAGCCCCCAGCTGTGCTGAGCCAGCTGCAGCAACACCTTCAAGGATTCCCCCGAGAGGAGCTGGACAACATGTTGAACCTGGCTGTGCACCTGGTGAGCCAGGCCTCTGGGGCAGGTGCCTACCGCTTGCTGCAGTTCCTGGTGGACACAGCTATGCCTGCTTCGGTCATTACCACCCAGGGCCTGGCTGTGCCAGACACCGTGCGTGAGGCTTGTGACCGGCTAATCCAGCTGCTGCTGCTGCACCTGCAAAAACTGGTTCATCACCGGGGAGGGTCTCCTGGGGAAGGGGTGCTAGGCCCGCCCCCACCTCCCCGCTTGGTGCCCTTTTTAGATGCGCTCAAAAACCATGTTGGAGAGCTGTGTGGAGAGACGTTACGATTGGAACGGAAGCGCTTCCTCTGGCAGCACCAGCTCTTGGGCCTGCTGTCTGTCTATACCCGGCCTAGCTGTGGACCTGAGGCCTTGGGCCATCTGCTGAGCCGAGCCCGAAGCCCTGAAGAGTTGAGTTTGGCCACCCAGTTATATGCAGGGCTAGTGGTCAGCCTCTCTGGCCTCCTGCCCCTGGCTTTCCGAAGCTGTCTGGCTCGGGTGCATGCAGGGACATTACAGCCTCCCTTCACGGCCCGGTTCCTGCGCAACTTGGCACTGCTAGTAGGGTGGGAACAGCAGGGTGGCGAGGGCCCTGCAGCCCTAGGGGCGCACTTTGGGGAATCTGCCTCAGCCCATCTGTCTGACCTGGCTCCTCTCCTGCTACATCCTGAGGAGGAAGTAGCTGAAGCTGCTGCCTCTCTCCTGGCCATTTGTCCCTTTCCTTCTGAAGCCTTATCCCCCTCCCAGCTCCTGGGACTGGTAAGGGCTGGGGTGCACCGCTTCTTTGCCTCTCTGAGGCTGCATGGACCCCCAGGTGTGGCCTCAGCCTGTCAGCTTCTCACCCGCCTGTCTCAGACATCCCCAGCTGGGCTCAAGGCTGTCCTGCAGCTGCTGGTTGAAGGAGCCTTACATCGAGGCAACACAGAACTGTTTGGTGGGCAAGTAGATGGGGACAATGAGACTCTCTCAGTTGTTTCAGCTTCTTTGGCTTCTGCCTCCCTGTTGGACACTAACCGGAGGCACACTGCAGCTGTGCCAGGTCCTGGAGGGATTTGGTCAGTTTTCCATGCTGGAGTCATCGGCCGTGGCTTAAAGCCACCCAAGTTTGTCCAGTCACGAAATCAGCAGGAAGTGATCTATAACACCCAGAGCCTCCTCAGCCTCCTGGTTCACTGCTGCAGTGCCCCAGGGGGCACTGAATGTGGGGAATGCTGGGGGGCACCCATCTTGAGTCCAGAGGCAGCCAAAGCAGTGGCAGTGACCTTGGTGGAGAGTGTGTGTCCCGATGCAGCTGGTGCAGAGCTGGCCTGGCCCCCCGAGGAACACGCCCGGGCCACCGTGGAGCGGGATCTCCGCATTGGCCGGCGCTTCCGCGAACAGCCCCTGCTCTTTGAGCTGTTAAAGCTGGTAGCAGCTGCACCCCCAGCCCTGTGCTACTGTTCCGTGCTGCTTCGGGGGCTGCTGGCCGCCCTCTTGGGCCATTGGGAAGCCTCTCGCCACCCTGACACGACCCACTCCCCCTGGCACCTGGAGGCATCCTGCACCTTAGTGGCTGTCATGGCTGAGGGAAGCCTCCTGCCTCCGGCCCTGGGTAATATGCATGAAGTATTTAGCCAACTGGCACCTTTCGAGGTGCGTCTGCTGCTGCTCAGTGTCTGGGGTTTTCTCCGGGAGCATGGGCCCTTGCCTCAGAAGTTCATCTTCCAATCAGAGCGGGGTCGCTTCATTCGGGACTTCTCCAGGGAGGGTGGAGGTGAGGGTGGACCCCATCTGGCTGTGCTGCACAGTGTCCTCCACCGCAACATCGACCGCCTAGGTCTTTTCTCTGGCCGTTTCCAGGCACCTTCACCGTCCACTCTCCTTCGACAGGGGACGTAGCCTTTTCTTGCTCTGGAAGCCCAGGGAGGTTGAGCAGTGAGAGAGGGAAGGGACTAACGTGCTCCGGAAGGGTGGAGGTTTCTCTTCTAAGTCCTTGGTCTAAAGAGCGCTGTCACTTTTTTCTCTCCCACTTTTTTTTTTCTAAATAAAATTTGCCAACTTGAGAAAACCAGTCCAGTGCTTCTGTCATGCTGAGAGCGTGCAAAGTCTGACAGCGCCTGGCTCTGGACGTTCCCGCCCCTGGCCTGAAGCCCCGCCCCCTGCGATAATTTGGAGTGCGCACTCTACCAATGAGACAGCTGCCCGGCGGCGCTCAGGTCGAACCAATCATAAGGCCGGAAGGGGCGGGAACTAGGATACGTGGCTGAGCGCGCGCGATGGGGCGGGAGGTTTGGGGTCAAGGAGCAAACTCTGCACAAGATGGCGGCGGTAGCGGCAGTGGCGGCGCGTAGGAGGCGGTGAGGAGCCCGGAATCTGGGGGCGCGCCCGGGACGCCCCCAGATCCCCCAAGTCCCATTCCACTCCTTCCTGTGTGTCTCTTGACACTCTGCCACCCCCGGCCTCGTGAGGAACCTTTGTTCCTCTGGAGGCGGCCTCAGACGCCTCCGGTCTCCCCGTGGTAGATCCGAGCGACGCTGGGGGCCTTGCCTGTGGGGCTCCGGGCTCCCGCCCGGCGGTTTAGTAAAGCCACAGCTGTGCGTCTTTCTTGGTCTTGGCCGCTCTCAGCCGCCGCCCTCCTTTGGCTGCTTGCGGCGGTCAACGTCGCCGCCCCCTTCCTGCAGTGCGCGGGGTCGTCGGGGCGGGGGAAAAGATGCGGCCTGGCCTCGGGGAATGCAGCCTGCGGCCCCGCGGCCCCTCGGCTGAGCTGGAAGCACCGGGCCAGCAGTTAAGCCTGTACTACCCTTCTGGCTCTACCCTGTAGAGCTCCGAATCCTCCTCTGCCCTTGTCTTCACGTGAGCACCAGCTCTGGCTTAGTTCAGTGTCCACGGTCGCTGGGCACGGCCCAGGGTCCAGTAAGCTCACGGCGTGGATGGTGTTGCTCAAACACAACATGTAATCGAATGGCTTGGTCCACGCTCTCGGGTTTATATTACTGGGGAAAAAAAAAGATTCGAAACATATCACCAGTGCCACAAATGTTTACTAGGACCTAACGGATATACTGGGGTGGGGTAGGCGTGTACTCTCCAAAGCGATGAAGAAAGCGTGGATCATAAACTCAGTTCCCTCGGAGCCTGTGATCTGAAACAATAAATGCGTGCAACTTGCCCTGCAGCTTATTCCTGACTTTGGCCTATGAACACCTCTCTTGGGGTGGTCAAGGCCGCCGTGAATTCCTTAGGGCCCTCCAACAGGTCATATCTGAAAGATGCTTTAGGAATCCTATCTCCATTGGCATCTTTCCGAACCAATTTTACAGACTGTGCAAATAGGGCCCCAGAGGGTATTTAACTCACTGTACGTCTTTTTTTTTTTTTTTTGAGAGACAGAGTCTCGCTCTGTTGCCCAGGCTGGAGTGCAGTGGCGAGATCTCGGCTCACTGCAAGCTCCGCCTCCTGGGTTCACGCCATTCTCCTGCCTCAGCCTCCCGAGTAGCTGGGACTACAGGCACCCGCCACCACGCCTGGCTATTTTTTTGTATTTTTAGTAGAGACGGGGTTTCACTATGTTGGTGAGGATGATCTCGATCTCTTGACCTCGTGATCCACCCGCCTCGGCCTCCCAAAGTGCTGGGATTACAGGCGTGAGCCACCGCGCCCGGCCTCAACTCACTGTACTTCTATTTACTGCTGCTTTTGGCAGGTGGACGTGGGTCAGTGGCCAAGAGTGCCTGTTGCAGTCACTCAGGTCACTCACTGCAGGACCTGTGCCGCATGCCTTGCTATGGAGTTTTGTGGTAGCATTTATTCTGCTTGGCCTATTAAACCACAGTGCCTAGTGTTTTCTTCATTTTTCTGTCTGGCCTGCTGTGGAACAGTTGTTTCGTACATTCCTCTGGAGCTGGAGGAGAGTCCTGTGATGAGATCATAGTACACTCTGTGATCTCATTTCTGGTAATTTTCTTTTAGCTTTCAAGCAGATGCTGAAGCTAATGCTAGATAACTAGATACAATGTGTATAATAGACCCTGTCTTTAGTTACCTTATTATAGGTTGTCAAATTTTATTTATTTATTTATTTGTTTGTTTACTTATTGAAACAGGGTCTCGCTCTGTTGCCTAGGATGGAGTGCAGGGGTGCAATCTCGGCTTACTCCAGCTTCCACCTCCCGAGTTCAAGCGATTCTCCTGCCTCATCCTCCCGAGTCCTGGGATTACAGACGTGTGCCACCGTGCCCAGCTAATTTTTGTATTTTTAGTAGACACCCCATTGACCAGTCTTAATTAATTTACTTTTTTGAGACAGAGTCTTGTGCTGTGGCCCAGGCTGGAGAGCAGTGGTGCAATCGTAGCTCATGCAGCCTCAAACTCTTGCGTTCAGGCAGTCCTCCGGCTTCAGCCTCCTGATTAGCTGGGACTACAGGCACCTGCCACCATGCCTTGCTACTCTTTTTTTTTTTTAAGTAGAGACGAGGTCTTGCTGTGTTGCCCAATCTTCCCTTTTTGACCTCCCAAAGTGCTAGGATTATAGACGTGAGCCACTGTGCCTGGCTGGTTGTAAAACTTTATTGCTTAGAAGAACCCTCCCACCCCCAGTTTGAAACACTTTCTCAGAGTATGCTCGTATTCTGCCCATATCAGTGTCACTGGGAGAGCATGTTTAAAATGTGGTGTCAGCCGGGCACGATGGCTCACACCTGTAATCCCAGCACTTTGGGAGGCCGAGGCTGGCGAATCACCTGAGGTTGGGAGTTCGAGACCAGCCTGACCAACACAGAGAAACCCCGTCTCTACTAAAAATACAAAATTAGCCGAGTGTGGTGGCACGCGCCTGTAATCCCAGCTACTTGGGAGGCAGAGGCAGGAGAATTGCTTGAACCCGCGAGGCAGAGGTTGCGGTGAGCCAAGATCGTGCCATTGCACTCCAGCATGGGCAACAAGAGTGAAACTCAGTTTCAAAAAAAATTAAAAATAAAATGCGGTATCCAGGGTGGGTGCAGTGGCTCACGCCTGTAATTCCAGCATTTTGGAAGGCCAAGGTGGAAAGATGGCTTTAGCCTAGAAGTTCAAGACAAGCCTGGGCAACTTTTTTTTCTTGTTTTTGAGACAGAGTCACACTTTGTCACCCAGGCTAGAGTGCAGTGGTGCGATCTCAGCTCACTGCAACCTCTGACTCCCAGGCTCAAACCATTCTCGTTCCTCAGCCTCCCCAGTAGCTGGGATTATAGGCATGTGCCACTACGCCTGGCTAATTTTTGTATATATCTATTTTTTTCTAGGTGGTGTTTCGCTGTGTCGCCCAGGCTGGAATGCAGTGGCACAACCTTGGCTCACTGCAACCTCTGCCTCCCGGGTTCAAGCAATTTTCCTGCCTCAGCCTCCTGAGTAGCTGGGACTGCAGGCGTGTGCCACCATGCCCTGTTAATTTTTTTTTTGTATTTTTAGTAGAGACGGGGTTTCATCATGTTGGCCAGGCTGGCCTCAAACTCCTGACCTCAGGTGATCCACCCGCCTCAGCTTCACAAAGAGCTGGGATTACAGGTGTGAGCCACCACGCCCGGCCTAATTTTTGTATTTTTAGTAGAGATGGAGTTTCGCCATGTTGGCCAGGCTGGTCTAACTCCTGATCTCGTGATCTGCCCACCTGGGCCTCCCAAAGTGCCAAGATTATAGGTGTGAGCTACCATGCCTGGCTGATTCTTAACAGACATTAAAATTTGAGAATCTCTGTTTAGGATTTATTCAGAATCCTAAGGATGAATCCTGGATGAATATATTCTTCAAACTAACTTATTTAAATAAGCCTATTAGTCTCTTATCTGTCATTTCATAGCACATTGGGAAATTGACAATTCGTGATAACCTTGGGATGATGGTCCTCAATGAGACAGGCCCATTTCATCCTGCTAGTGATTAGTGTGCTGTATTGTGCATCATGGTAAAGCACATGGGCCCCAGAGTCAAGCACAACTGGGTTCAGTTCGTTTCATCCCTTACCAGCTATTTAATCTTGGGTGAACTATTCAACCTTTTATGCTTTAATTTTCCCATCTGGAAATAAACCCCAACCCTATATTCACCAAGAAAACAATGGAAGAAAGGGAAAAGAAGATGCATGTAAAGAAGTGGTTGTGAACCCAGGTTGCTCATTAGAGTTGTTTAGGGAACTTTAAAAAAACTTTAGCCAGTGGGGCGCGATGACACAACGCCTGTAATCCCAGCACTGTGGGAGACTGAGACGGGCGGATCTAGGTCAGGAGTTCGATACGAGCCTGGCCAACATGATGAAACCCCGTCTCTACTAAAAATACAAAAAATTAGCTGGGCATGGTGGTGGGCACCTGTAATCCCAGCTGCTCGGGAGGCTGAGGCGGGAGAATCGCTTGAACCCAGGAGGCAGAGGTTGCAGTGAGCTGAGATCATGTCACTGCACTCCAACCTGGGTGACAGAGCAAGGCTCCATCTCAAAAAAAAAAAAAAAGTCTGATGCCCAGGCTTCTCTCTGATTAAGTTAAAATTTTTAGAAGTGAGACCAGGTCACTGATATTGTTAAAAACTGCAGGCAGGCTGGGCACAGTGGCTGACACTATAATCCCAACACTTTGGGAGGCCAAGATGGGAGGACTGCTTGAGCCCAGGAGTTTAAGACCAGCCTGGGCAACAAAGTGAGGCCCTGTTGCTACCAAAAAAAATTTTTATTTATTTTTTTTGAGTCAGAGTCACGCTCTGTTGCCCAGGCTGGAGTGCAATGGCATGATCTGCTCAGTGTAACCTCCACCTCCTGGTTCAAGCAGTTCTCCTGCCTCAGCCTCCTGAATAGCTGGGATTACAGGCCCCTGCTCCCATGCCTGGCTAATTTTTGTATTTTTAGTAGAGATGGGGTTTCACCATATTGGCCAGGCTGGTCTCTTTGCCAGCCTGGTCTCGAACTCCTGACCTTGTGATCCGCCCACCCCGGCCTCCCAAAGTGCTGGGTTTACAGGTGTGAGCCACTGCGCCTGGCCAGAAAAAAAACAAAAACCACAACTTTTTAAAAATTAGCTGGGTGCTGTGGCGAGCAACTGTAGTCCCAGCTACTTGGGAGGGTGAGGCAGGTGGATCACCTGAGGTCAGGAATTCAAGATCAGCCTGGCCAACATGGTGAAACTCCGTCTCTACCAAAAATACAAAAATTAGCTGGGCATGGTGGCGTGCTCCTGTAATTCAGTTACTTAGGAGGTTGAGGCATGGGAATTGCTTGAACCTGGGAGGCGGAGGTTACAGTGAGCTGAGATCATGCCATGGCACTCTAGCCAGGGTGATGGAGTGAGACTGTCTCAAAGCAAAAAACAAAAACTGCAGGCAGTATTAAAAACTAGTAATATAAAGTGATTACCCAGGCCCCTAGGGGTGCATTAGGGCTCAGAACATTTTAGCTATTGTTATTTTTTTTCAGCTTTGGGTAGTGATGGTGGTGTTTTGAAGATACAGGAGTAGAAATCAGAGAAACAGGCTGCCTAGGGTGCTAGGGATGTTAGGACCCTAGGAACTGTAACCAGCAGGCTAGCTGAGGGTACATCTTTTTTTTTTTTTTTTTTCTGAGAGTTTTGCTCCATCACCTAGGCTGGAGTGCAGTAGCACAATCTTGGCTCACTGCAACCTCTGCCTCCCGGGTTCAAGCGATTCTCATGCCTCAGCCTCCCGAGTAGCTGTCACTACAGATGCTCAACGCCATGCCCAGCTAATTTTTGTATTTTAAGTAGAGATGGGGTTTCATCATGTTGGCCAGGCTGGTCTTGAACTCCTGACCTCAAGTGATCCACCCGCCTCAGCCTCCCAAAGTGGTGGGATTACAGACGTGACATGAGCCACTGCGCCCGGCCTTCATGTTTAGCTCTTTAACTTTGCATCCACCCAATGCCTTGCCGATAGAAAGATGTGGCTTGCTTTGTTTCTCTGTTCCACGCATATGGTACTACCATTTCCTCTGAGACTGGCTGTTACTGCTCCTTTCCTCTGAGAGGCTGATGTCACCAGAGTCAACACCAGGGCCTCTGAAGGTGAAAGATCCTCTGTGTACTCTGCCTTTTTTTTTTTTTTTTTTTTTGAGAGGGAGTTTTACTTTGTCGCCCAGGCTGGAGTGCAGTGGAGTGATCTCAGCTCACTGCAAGCTCCACCTCCCAGGTTCACACCATTCTCCTGCCTCAGCCTCCCGAGTAGCTGGGACTACAGCTGCCCACCACCACGCCTGGATAATTTTGTGTATTTTTAATAGAGACAGAGTTTCACCGTGTTAGCCAGGATGGTCTCAAACTCCTGACCTCGTGATCTGTCAGCCTTGGCCTCCCTAAGTGCTGGGATTACAGGCATGAGCCACCGCACCCGGCCCTTTTTTTTTTTTTTTTTGGAGATGGAGTCTCACTCTGTCACCCAGGCTGGAGTGCAGTGGTGCGATCTTGACTCACTGCAAGTTCTGCCTCCCGGATTCATGCCATTCTCCAGCTCCAGCCTCCCAAGTAGCTGGGACTACAGACACCTGCCACCACGCCCGGCTAATTTTTTGTATTTTTAGTAGAGACGGGGTTTCACTGTGTTAGCCAGGATGGTCTCGATCTCCTGACCTCGTGATCCGCCCACTTCAGCCTCCCAGAGTGCTGGGATTACAGGCGTGAGCCACCGCGCCTGGCTTTTTTTTTTTTTTTTTTTTTTTTGTCTAGCTCTGTCGCCCAGGCTGGAGTGCAGTGGCACGATCTTGGCTCACTGTAAGCTCCGCCTCCTGGGTTCACGCCATTCTCCTGCCTCAGCCTCCCGAGTAGCTGGGACTTCAGGTGGCCGCCACCACGCCCAGCTAATTTTTTTTGTATTTTTAGTAGAGACAGGGTTTCACCGTGTTAGCCAGGATGGTCTTGATCTCCTGACCTCGTGATCCGCCCGCCGCAGCCTCCCAAAGTGCTGGGATTACAGGAGTGAGCCACCACGCCCAGCCTACTCTGCCTTTCAAAGGGAAGGTGTGAGTGAGCCAACTTCTCAGGCCTGATCCTTAACCCTGTGTCCACTCTGCCTTGTTTTGTATTTGATGTGACTACATCTTTCTCCCCTCTTTCCTCAACTATCTTCTAGTGCTATGACAGGAAGAAGCTTTTCCTTTTGAAGGGGGCCCCTTCTGACCTCCATGCTGATTGCTCTGTCTTTGTCCTTTTCTCCTTAGGTCTTGGGCGTCTTTGGTACTGGCTTTTTTAGGGGTCTGCCTGGGGATTACCCTTGCTGTGGATAGAAGCAACTTTAAGACCTGTGAAGAGAGTTCTTTCTGCAAGTATGATATTTCTGGGGGAGAGGGATGGAATGTAGGGTTGTAGGGTAATGTGGGAGATATCTGTGGCAGATGGAGTGCCTAAGGACACTGCAGGTGATAGACTGACTTAGGGACATTGCAGGTGGCCTTTACCTTACTTCCCAACCCTTCACTTGGCAGGCGACAGAGAAGCATACGGCCAGGCCTCTCTCCATACCGAGCCTTGCTGGACTCTCTACAGCTTGGTCCTGATTCCCTCACGGTCCATCTGATCCATGAGGTCACCAAGGTCAGGAGAGACAAGGAAGAGTCTGGTGGGGGTGGGGCAATGGCTGTGGGGTAATTTGGAAAGGGGGAAATTGTGGCCAACATCTTGTCCCAGCCTAATCTTTGGACTTTTACTTTATGAAGAAATGTGATCTTGGCCTTTAGGCAAAGGGCTCAAAGGAAGAAACCCCTTAGGAGAGAATGGGTTCAAAGAGCATTCCATGGTGTATCCCATTTCCTTTCTCCAGATCCAAACCTCTGTCCCCGCAGGTGTTGCTGGTGCTAGAGCTTCAGGGGCTTCAAAAGAACATGACTCGGTTCAGGATTGATGAGCTGGAGCCTCGGCGACCCCGATACCGTGTACCAGATGTTTTGGTGGCTGATCCACCAATAGCCCGGTAAATTTTTCCTGAGAAACATCCATTTCTGTGGCCCCTTTCTCCTTCCTGATGAACCTTTTTTTGGTTGCTGATATTCTTTCCCAAAATAAGGTAGTAGTTAACTAGCATAGCACCTTGCCATACTCCTCAACCTTTCCCCACCTCTTCTTCTGTTTCACTTTTCTCTTTATCCCTTTATCCTCATTCATTCATTCAGCAAACAATTATTGCTTTTTCCTCCCTGACAGGCCTGGGCTGGATGCTGGTTATATAAGCAGAAATAAACAAGGCCCTGTTTATTTACAGATCTCGTTCTCCAGGAATACAATGTCTACCTGCTTGCTTGTTTGCTTGCTTCCTTCCTTCCTTCCTTCCTTCCTTCCTTCCTTCCTTCCTTCCTTCCTTCCTTCCTTCCTTCCTCCTTTCCTTTTCCTTAGATATTCAGAATAGGATTACTCAGATTCTTGTGTCATGATACTCTGTCACCAGTGTTCCATGCATCCATCCATGACTTTCTCTTAAATACATAATTCAGAAAATAACATAGTGGCCGGGCATGGTGGCTCAACGCCTGTAATCCCAGCACTTTGGGAGGTCGAGGTGGGCAGATCACGAGGTCAGGAGTTGGAGACCAGCTTGGCCAACATGGTGAAACCCCATCTCTACTAAAAATACAAAAATCAGCCAGGTGTGGTGGTGCGGACCTGTAATCCCAGCTACTCAGGAGGCCGAGGCAGGACGGTTACTTGAACCCAGGAGGCAGAGGTTGCAGTGAGCCGAGATTGTGTCACTGCACTACAGCCTGGGCGACAGAGTGAGACTCCGTCTCAAATACTCCACCCTATAAACTCTTCACTCAGCCCAACCCGCACTGTCCTGTACCCTTGACGGCTCCAGACGTAGGTAGTCGTTATTCTGAAGCTTATCCTTCCTTTGCCTTTTTTTTGTTCTTACAGTTGTATTATGTGTGTATACATATGCACACATATGTCTGTGTGCCTAAGCAATAAATTATATATATTTTTTGTTTTTGAGCTTTACAGAGGAAGTGTCTTAGTGCATGTGGTCTTCTGGGGTTTCCGTTTTTTCTTTTTTTTTTTTTGAGATGGAGTCTCGCTGTCTCCCAGGCTGGAGTACAGTGGCGTGATCTGCGTTAGCCAGGATGGTCTCAATCTCCTGACCTCGTGATCCGCCCGCCTCAGCCTCCCAAAGTGCTGGAATTACAGGTGTGAGCCACCGCGCCCGGCTGGGTTTCCGTTTTTCACATAACTTTATTTAATTCCATTTCATATAGCTCTAGTTCATTCATTTTTACTGCTGCATATTATTATGTTGTATGAATATACCCCAACTGATTAATCCATTTTTAGGTTGATAAGCCTTGGGGTTGTTTCCAGTGTTTTGCTAGCCAAAGTGTTGCTACGAACCTTCTTGTACATGTCTCCTGTTATCCTTGCTTGGGAGTTTCTCTTTGGTGTATAACTAGGAGAGGAATTGCAGGATTGTAGAATATGGAGATGATCAGCTTCGCAAGATAAAGCCAAAGTGGTTTACCAATTTACACTTCCACCAGTGATTTATAAGAAGCCCTCATTGAAGCTGGGCAAGCCAGGATGGTCTCGATCTCCTGACATCGTGATCTGCCCATCTCAGCCTCCCAAAGTGCTAGGATTACAGGCTTGAGCCACCACACCCGGCCAGCCTTCCCTATTATTAATATGACTATGGTTCATTTGTGATACCTAGTGAATTGATAGTGATACATTAGTTACTAAAGTTCATACTTGAGGTTTCTTTAGTTTTTGTGTATGTTCTTTTTCTGTTCCAGGATTTCATCCAGGATATGTTATTACATTTAGTTGTCATGTTTCCTTAGGGCCCTCTAGACTGATAAAATTTCTTAGACTTTTCCTTTTTCTTAATGATCCTAAAGGTACTTTTGATAAACAGAAATTCCTAATTTTAATGTATTTAGATGTATCAGTCTTTTACCTTCTGTTGTTAGCCTTTTGTTTGTTGTATTTAGTCTTTATCTACCCCAAGGTCAGAAAAAAATATATATATATATATTTTTTGAGACAGAGTCTTGCTCTGTTGCTTAGGCTGAGTGCAGTAGTGCGATCTTGGCTCACCACAACCTCCGCCTCCTGTGTTGAAGCGATTCTTTCTTCAGCATCAGCCTCCCGAGTAGCTGGGACTACAGGCGTGCACCACTATGCCTGAGTAGCTGGGACTACAGGCGTGCACCACTATGCCCGAGTAGCTGGGACTGCAGGCTCATGCCACTATGCCCAAGTAGCTGGGACTACAGGCGTGCGTCACTATACCCGGCTACTTTTTGTATTTTTAGTAGAGACAGGGTTTCACTATGTTGACCAGGCTGGTCTCAAACTCCTGACCTCATGATCCACCTGCCTCGGCCTCCGAAAGTGCTGAGATTACAGGAATGAGCCACCATGCCTGGCCAAAAATATATTTTTTAATTTTCTTCTAACACTTTTGCTTTCATTTATTTACTTATTTTGAGATCGGGTTATGAGACTGGCTAATTTTTGTATTTTTGGTAGAGATGGGTTTTTGCCATGTTGCCCAGTCTGGTCTTGAACACCAGGGCTCAAGCGATCCACCTGCCTCGGCCTCCCAAAGTGCTGGGATTACAATAGTGGGCCACCGAGCCCATCCTAAAGCTTTTACTTTTAAATTTTAAGCAGGCTGGGTGTGATGGCTCATACCTGTAATCCCAGCACTTCGAGAGGCCAAGGCGGACAGATCACTTGAGGTCAGGAGTACAAGACCAGCCTGGTCAACATGGTGAAACCCCGTCTCTACTGAAAATACAAAACTTAGCCGGGCGTGGTGGTGGGCGCCTGTAATTCCAGCTACTCGGGTGCCTGATGCACAAGAATCACTTGAAACTGGGAGGCAGAGGTTGCAATGAGCCGAGATTGTGCCACTGCACTCCAGTCTGGGTGATAGAGTGAGACTATCTTAAGAAAAAAAAATTTTTTAAGTCATAATCTTTCTGCAGTTGATACTTGTATCTGGTATTAGATAGAAATATGATATCAAGGGGTTGGGCGTGGTAGCTCATGCCTGTAATCCCAGCACTTTGGGAGGCCGAGGCAAGTGGATCACTTGAGGTCAGGAGTTTGAGATTAGCCTGGCCAACATGGCGAAAAATCATATCTCCTAAAAATACAAAAAAAAATTAGCCGGGTGTGGTGGCACCTGCCTGTAATATCAGTTACTAGGGAGGCTGAGTCAGGAGAATCACTTGAACCTGGAAGGTGGAGGTTGCAGTGAGCCAAGGTTGTGCCACTGTGCTCCAGCCTGGGCAACAGAGCGAGACTCCATCTCAAAAAAAAAAAAAAGAAGTACATCATTTTTCTTCATATTTGGAAAATCATTTTTTTTCCTATATGGAAAATGTTTTTTCAGTTCCATTTTTGAATAGTTCTCCTTTCCTCTCTCATCTGCTATGCCACCTCTTAGTATTTAGTACATTTAAAAAAGTAATAAGTGGCCAGGCACAGTGGCTCACGCCTGTAATCCCAGCACTTTGCGAGGCCGAGGTGGGTGGATCACCTGAGGTCAGGAGTTTGAGACCAGCCTCAACATGAAGAAACCCCATCTCTACTAAAAATACAAAATTAGCCAGGTGTGGTGGTGCATGCCTGTAATCCCAGCTATTTGGAGGCTGAGGCAGGAGAATTGCTTGAACCTGGGAGACGGAGGTTGCGGTGAGCCGAGATTGCGCCATTGCACTCCAGCCTGGGCAACAAGAGTGAAACTCCGTCTCAAAAAAAAAAAAGAAAAAAGTAATAAATATGCTTGGGTCTGTTTCTGGGCCCTTTGGTTCTGTTTATTAACTTGTCTATCCCTGCTCTGTTACCACACTGCCTATTTCTCTTAACAGGTAGATTTCCCCCGGTCTTCTAAAGTGTCATTACTCCTCTTGGCCCTTTGTACTTCCTTATATTTCTTTTGATATGTTTCCCAGGCTTTCTGTCTCTGGTCGTGATGAGAACAGTGTGGAGTTAACCATGGCTGAGGGACCCTACAAGATCATCTTGACAGCACGGCCATTCCGCCTTGACCTACTAGAGGACCGAAGTCTTTTGCTTAGTGTCAATGCCCGAGGACTCTTGGAGTTTGAGCATCAGAGGGCCCCTAGGGTCTCGTGAGTACAGGGGTTGGGACTGCAGGGAACCTAGTGTGAAAGAGCATAGGGGTGTTGTGAGGTCTGGCACGGGGAGGAGACGGTGGTGGGACAGCCAGGTAGGGCCTGGGGGCTGGGAGAAGCTCTCTGTCAGGGAGGGTAGGAACCAGACCCGGGTGCGGTTTTTTCCATTTCCTGTACAGACCAGGAGGCAGTCACTTTTGTCCCTGAGCTGTACCCTGGGCATCTCTGGGAGGCCTGCCTGGGTCTGTGTCTCCTTCTTCCCCTTCTCACATCATCACATTTCCCAGATTTATTTTCTTCGTTTTTATTTATTTATTTTTTTTGGTTTCTTTTTCCCCCCATCTCTGGAAGTTTGTCGACTGAAACTCACTTTTATGTTTCTGTTTTTGTGTTGGTTTTGTGCCTCTTTTTCCCCTTCCCTACCCATCTCCTCCTGCCCCAGTTTCTCGGATAAGGTTAATCTCACGCTTGGTAGCATATGGGATAAGATCAAGAACCTTTTCTCTAGGTAAATCCATGGCCACCGGTACTGTATCTGTTCCTCTGCCCTTACCCATTCCTCACTCTAGCCTTTGGGGGGAGGTGCCCCAGACCCTTCCAGCCTTTCACTCACCCCACTTTCCCCTGCTGTGTGATGTCTGGTCCTGTTACCTGTTACCCTGGCTGGGAGCCCCCAGAAGAAGGAAGGTGAGATACTGAAAGTCAGGTCCTTCGGGAATGTAGGGAGCTTATTGCTTTGCCAGGGGATGGAGAGATGCTGCCTATTGCTGGGGTTCCTGACTCTCAGCTGAGGGGCACCTGAGGTTCTGGGCAGAGCTACTTGCCCTTGAAAGCATTTTTTGGCAGAATCTCTTGAAGTCCCTATGTATGTCTGTAGAGGCTTGGTATAGTATGACCCACATGCCTTTGCAAAGCCATTGTGTCAGGCCAGGAGGCTGAGGCCCAGGGAGAGCACTTGGGGCCAGAATCTCTCAGTAGAGGCAACAGAGCCAGGATTGGCATTCATAACCCAGGCCCCTGAATCATTCTGCCTTTCTCTTCTGGGATGTTGACAGAGGCTGGTGTTCAGGCCTGTGCCTCCTGGTGGCACTTATTCCTCATTTTCCTTTCTCATTTCTCTCCCCATCCTTTGCAAACTTATCTGCTCATTGTGGGTTCCCTCTCCAAGCTTTAACATTTAGTCCCTTCCTCCAATGCCTTCGTTCCTTTGGACCCTTGGCTCTCTATTCCCCAACCCCTCCTTCCACTAGCCCCTCGTCCCTGCCCCCTCTGGATTGGAGCAGACAGCTCTCCTACCTTCCAGGCAAGGATCAAAAGACCCAGCTGAGGGCGATGGGGCCCAGCCTGAGGAAACACCCAGGGATGGCGACAAGGCAAGTTGGAGCGGGTGGGTGGTTGGAGGATAGGGCTGGCTGGGAGGGTGGAGGGGAGAGGCCCATGAGAAACTTGAACTTAGTCTCCCCATCAGGGATGGGATTTAGTTGATGGGAGCGGGGAAAGAGAGAACTGGTATGATTGGAGAGTGGTCCTCTTTTCTTCTTAACAGCCAGAGGAGACTCAGGGGAAGGCAGAGAAAGATGAGCCAGGAGCCTGGGAGGAGACATTCAAAACTCACTCTGACAGCAAGCCGTATGGTGAGGGGCTCGGGTTCCTTGGGCTGGGGTGCAGGGCTCCTTTCCAAGCAGAAGCTCTGAAGCTTGTTTGTTTTTCTTCCAGGCCCCATGTCTGTGGGTTTGGACTTCTCTCTGCCAGGCATGGAGCATGTCTATGGGATCCCTGAGCATGCAGACAACCTGAGGCTGAAGGTCACTGAGTGAGTCCTATGGTGACATCAGGAAGATGGAGGTGGGCAGGAAGGAGTCAGGCCTTTAGGGAGATGGGTGTGCATATTGGATACTCTAGGCAAGCATGGGTCATTTCTTGTGTCCAGAATCACCTTTGGTGATAGAAAATTTTTTGAGAAAGGACAAGAGGAGCCTTTGCTTATCTCTCACCTGTGTCTGTGGAGTGGTGTTAGCATATAACGCAGCCTGGGGCCAGTTAGCAGCCCAAGTCTGTCTGTTTGCCTGCAGGGGTGGGGAGCCATATCGCCTCTACAATTTGGATGTGTTCCAGTATGAGCTGTACAACCCAATGGCCTTGTATGGGTCTGTGCCTGTGCTCCTGGCACACAACCCTCATCGCGACTTGGGCATCTTCTGGCTCAATGCTGCAGAGACCTGGGTTGATATATCTTCCAACACTGCCGGGAAGGTGAGAGCACAGGCACGGGGAAAAAGGAGGGAGTGAAGCTTCCAGGCCTTGAGGCAAATAGGTATACTAGGGGCATTAGCTATTTGGGGACTGGGTTTAAGAAGGGGCTGTGGGCCTGGTGGGCAGCATTTGAGTTCCCTAATCACTCCCAGGTGACACGCTCACTCACATTCTTAGGGAAGGCATTGCCTATTCTGGGCTGACGGAATGCACTTATTATCAGTGTGTTACGTGCTAGGTACTCTTCTGGGTGCTGGGGATATAGTGTTAACTGAGGTTGAAAAGGTTCTGGGCTGGGTGTGGTGGCTCATGCCTGTAATCCCAGCACTTTGGGAGGCTGAGGTGGGCGGATCACCTGAGGTCAGAAGTTGGAGACCAGCCTGGCCAACATGGCGAAACCTCATCTCTACTAGAAAAACAAAAATTAGCAGGGTGTGGCGGCGGACTCCTGTAATCCCAGCTATTCGGGAGGCTAAGGCAGGTTAATTGCATGAATCTGGTTGGTGGAGGTTGCAGTGAGCGGAGATTTCACCACTGCACTCCAGCCTGGGTGACAGAGTGAGACTCTGTTTCAGAAAAAAAAAAAAGAAAGGTTCTGACTCACAGGGAGGAAGACACGTTAAACACATAACAAAGGAGGCAAGATGGGGCCGGGCATGATAGCTCATGTCTGTAATCCCAGCACTTGGGGAGGCTGAGGCAAGAGGATCGCTTGAGGCCAGGAGTTCGAGACCAGCCTGGGCAACATGGCGAGACCCCATCTCTATAAAAACGTTTGAAAAATAAAAATAATAAGCAAGATGATGCCGGGTGCAGTGGCTCCCACCTCTAATCCCAGCACTTTGGGAGGGCGAGGTGGACAGATCACAAGGTCAAGAGATCGAGACCATCCTGGCCAACATTGTGAAACCCTGTTTCTACTGAAAATACAAAAGTTAGCTGGGTGTGGTGGTGTGCGCCTGTAGTCTTAGCTACTCGGGAGGCTGAGGCAGGAGAACTGGTTGAACTGGGGAGGTGGAGATTGCAGTGAGCTAAGATCACACCATTGCACTCCAGCCTGGCAAAAGAGTGAGACTCTGTCTAAAAAAAAAAAAAAGAATGCAAGATGAGTTTGGGGTGATTAAGTGCTAACAAAGACATGAAAGAGAGTCTTTGTTAGCACTTAACCACCCCAAACTGGTGGGGTAGGGGTGGGGGCTGTACTGCTTTAGATAGTGTGGTCTAGGAAAGCCTCACTGAAGAGGCCCCGTTTAGTCTTACCGAAAGCAGCTTACATGAGCCAGCTCTGTGTGGACTCTGGGAGAAAATTGCTACTTTTTGTCTTGGGGTTGGAAAATGGGAGGGCAGGAGGTGTCTGACCCCTTTGTGGTCACCTATACAGACCCTGTTTGGGAAGATGATGGACTACCTGCAGGGCTCTGGGGAGACCCCACAGACAGATGTTCGCTGGATGTCAGAGACTGGCATCATTGACGTCTTCCTGCTGCTGGGGCCCTCCATCTCTGATGTTTTCCGGCAATATGCTAGTCTCACAGGTACATGGTTTTCCCTGCCTCATTCTTCTGCTCTTTTCTTGTCGGGTGATTCTATGTGTTTTCAGAGATCCTGTGCCCCAGCTTGTTTTCTAGGTTTATACCCCTCAGCCTGCCTCTAGTTCACAAGCCTCCCTCAGTTTCTGGGTGTTGGGCCTGATCCTCGTTGTGACCCCCATCCCTCATGAACCTGCAGGAACCCAGGCGTTGCCCCCACTCTTCTCCCTCGGCTACCACCAGAGCCGTTGGAACTACCGGGACGAGGCTGATGTGCTGGAAGTGGATCAGGGCTTTGATGATCACAACCTGCCCTGTGATGTCATCTGGCTAGACATTGAACATGCTGATGGCAAGCGGTATTTCACCTGGGACCCCAGTCGCTTCCCTCAGCCCCGCACCATGCTTGAGCGCTTGGCTTCTAAGAGGCGGAAGGTAAGGGGTTGCAGTCACGCTTGGTCTTCTCAGGGTAGGGCTGAAGCATAGTTTAGCCTTAAAGAGACCTGAACACCCCTGTTCCTTGCCCCCAGCTGGTGGCCATCGTAGACCCCCACATCAAGGTGGACTCCGGCTACCGAGTTCACGAGGAGCTGCGGAACCTGGGGCTGTATGTTAAAACCCGGGATGGCTCTGACTATGAGGGCTGGTGCTGGCCAGGTAAGCAGACCCAGAATTGAGGGAGAGTTGATTGGCCAGCGGGGTAGAATGGTGGCTCTTTTGCCCCTTAGGGGATTGAGAGCCACCCTTAACTTCTCCCAGGCTCAGCTGGTTACCCTGACTTCACTAATCCCACGATGAGGGCCTGGTGGGCTAACATGTTCAGCTATGACAATTATGAGGTAGGGAAGGCCTCTCCCCATGACCTGCGTCTGTCTGTTCCACCTGCCTCCCTGAATCTCTCTCGGCTTGCCAACCCTTCTATGGTTGATTGCCTGCAACATATCAGGGGGCCTTGATGATCCGGGGAGGGCCCTGAAAAATGCATCTTTTTAGATTCCTAGGAGCTCTCTTCTCTGACACTGTTTGTCTTCTTCCTCCCCTCTGTCCTTCTGTCCCCATTTTCTGCCCACGTTCCCAGGGCTCAGCTCCCAACCTCTTTGTCTGGAATGACATGAACGAACCATCTGTGTTCAATGGTCCTGAGGTCACCATGCTCAAGGATGCCCAGCATTATGGGGGCTGGGAGCACCGGGATGTGCATAACATCTATGGCCTTTATGTGGTAAGGGCCTGAGAGAGGAGAGTTGGTGGAAAGAGGGAAAACAGCCCAGAGACTGAGGGCCTAGGGAACTTGCACCAGATGACAGCTGGCTTTTGCTCCTCACTACCCGTCTCTTCTCTCCTCACCCAGCACATGGCGACTGCTGATGGGCTGAGACAGCGCTCTGGGGGCATGGAACGCCCCTTTGTCCTGGCCAGGGCCTTCTTCGCTGGCTCCCAGCGCTTTGGTAAGGTTTAGAGAATGGAGCTGTGGCAGAAGGGTGTGAAGGCCAGATCTCAGGAGCCATGGACCTGGACCTGCCTCTCTGAGGAATGGGAGCCACACACTGCATCTGTTTCCTCTCAGCTATGCGCTTTGAAGGAAGTCAGGGTGTGGGAGGTCCACTCCTTGTTCAAATGTTCTTGTGAACTGCATCTTCAGCAGGGTTCTGGGGACCCAGAGCGGATGTGGGAGGTCAGCCATGTAAAAAGCTGAACTCCTTTACCATGTGCAAGCTCCCCACTTCTTGTCTTCCTCAGGAGCCGTGTGGACAGGGGACAACACTGCCGAGTGGGACCATTTGAAGATCTCTATTCCTATGTGTCTCAGCTTGGGGCTGGTGGGACTTTCCTTCTGTGGGGGTAAGACAGGGAGGAATTTGGGGTCTTGGTTTGGTGGGAAAGGGGCAAAGTAGAGGGCACAGGACCAAGGTGTTGTAAGCAAAGAGAGTTGAGAGTCCAAGTTAGGGCCTTGGGAAGTTTCTCAAGCAGTATCTCTCCTTCACCCTCTTTTCCAACCTGCTTCCTCTCTCTCCTCTACCAGCGGATGTGGGTGGCTTCTTCAAAAACCCAGAGCCAGAGCTGCTTGTGCGCTGGTACCAGATGGGTGCTTACCAGCCATTCTTCCGGGCACATGCCCACTTGGACACTGGGCGACGAGAGCCATGGCTGTTACCATCTCAGCACAATGATATAATCCGAGATGCCTTGGGCCAGCGATATTCTTTGCTGCCCTTCTGGTACACCCTCTTATATCAGGCCCATCGGGAAGGCATTCCTGTCATGAGGTGAGGCATTCACTTGGGCTGTGAAGAGTGGGCTGAGGTGGCTGGGGGTATTAGGGACTGGGCTTCATCTCTGGGTCTCTTTCTTCACTCACTACAGCCTTGTAAAGGATGGAAAATCATTAAGGTCAAGAGTGAAGGGGAGCTTAATGGAGATGAATAATAGTAAACATTTAAAGAAAATTGACAGCAGTCATAAGCTCTTTCAGAAAAATAAAACAGGGTAATGGGATTAGGTGGTCATAAAATCCCTTTTTGAGGCCGGGCACAGTGGCTCACACCTGTAATCCCAGCACTTTGGGAGGCCGAGGTGGGCAGATCACCTGAGGTCAGGAGTTTGAGACCAGCCTGGCCAACATGGCAAAACCCCATCTCTACTAAAAATACAAAAATTAGCTGGGCATCATGGCGCCTGTAATCCCAGCTACTCGGGAGGCTGAGGCATGAGAATCACTTGAACCCAGGAGGTAGAGGTTGCAGTGAGCCGAGATTGCTCTGCTGCATTCTAGCCTGGGTGACAGAGGGAGACTCCATCTCAAAAAAATGAAAAAAAAAAAAAAAAAAAAGTTTTGAGAAGAAGGCTGTGTGAGATGAGGCCTGAATGAGTGGGACAGACCATGTTATGTAGGAAGAATCTTCCAAGCAGAGGGAATTGCAAGTACAAAAATTCTAAAGGAGAAATTAGTTTGTTATGTACTAGGAATAGAAAAAAACAGTATGTCTTGGGTAAAGAAGCAGAAGGAGAGCTAGGAGATGAGATTAAGAAGAAAGTGTGATCTGCTCCTGGAGGGCCTTGCAAGCCAGGGTTGCAACCCAGGGTTGTAAGCCAGGGCGGTGAAACATGCAAGGAGGCTACTGGCAGGCTGCTGTGCAGCATGGTTTCAGTAGAGGGCAGAGAAGAAGCAGGGAGATGGCTTAGGAAGTTAAATGTCTAAGACTGGATTGTATAACTGAGACCTGAACCCCAACCCGACTGTCTGACTGCAAACTCCTGGGTCTTAACCCCTGTGCTGTTCTTTTCTTTTCTTTTTTTTTTTGAGACAAAGTCTCACTCTCGTCCCCCAGGCTGGAGTGCGATGGTGTGATCTTGGCTCACTGAATGCACTCCGCCTCCCGGGTTCAAGTGATTCTCCAGCCTCAGCCTCCTGAGTAGCTGGGATCACAGGTGCCTGCCACCATGCCCGGCTAATTTTTGTATTTTTAGTAGAGACGGGGTTTCACCATGTTGTTCAGGCTGATCTCGAACTCCTGACCTCAGGTGATCTTCCCGCCTCGGCCTCCCAAAGTGTTGGGATTACAGGTGTGAGCCACCACACCCGGCCTATGCTGTTCTTTTCTTATTGCCAGTTCCTGGAGGAGCATTTCTGACTTGTGCCAAAATTGAAAAGTTTTCCTTTATTGTCTTTCTTCCTTCCTAGGCCCCTGTGGGTGCAGTACCCTCAGGATGTGACTACCTTCAATATAGATGATCAGTACTTGCTTGGTGAGAAATGAGGATAGTTGGTGGTGGGTTGGCTTTGGGCCAAGCAGCACTGCGGATGCCCAGGGAGGGACTAGTGAAGCTGGTGGTGCAGAGGGCAGGCACTTTGGTGTTCCCTGTTCTGGGAACTAATCCCCCTATTCAGAGTTGATTCTGGCATATTTTAGGGGATGCGTTGCTGGTTCACCCTGTATCAGACTCTGGAGCCCATGGTGTCCAGGTCTATCTGCCTGGCCAAGGGGAGGTGAGTTAAGGAAGGGCATGGTGGGGAAAGATGGTGGAAGCCAAAGGAGGCAAACAGGACGGGACCCCTGTGCACTGAGTGATCCGGTATCTTACCTCTTTTGTCACTCACAGGTGTGGTATGACATTCAAAGCTACCAGAAGCATCATGGTCCCCAGACCCTGTACCTGCCTGTAACTCTAAGCAGTGTGAGTAAGCCTGGTCTGGCTGCCGGTTCCATCTCCCTGTAAATTTCCAGAAGGGGAGGGAATGTGTGCCTTAGGGTCCAGTACCTATGTGGGCATACATGAGTAAGCAAAACATGCTGTGGGGCCCAAGGTTGGACAAGGGGGCAACTTCATCCTGGCATTGCTCTTGCCCTAGATCCCTGTGTTCCAGCGTGGAGGGACAATCGTGCCTCGATGGATGCGAGTGCGGCGGTCTTCAGAATGTATGAAGGATGACCCCATCACTCTCTTTGTTGCACTTAGCCCTCAGGTAAGTGCATAGGCAGCGAGTCTCCTCAGCCATTTGCCTGCCTTCCTAGGACTCAGTTCTCTGGGGTTGTGCCCCTCACTCCCTCTTGGGCTCAGGCGCTCACCTATCCCACTTCTTGCTCAGGGTACAGCTCAAGGAGAGCTCTTTCTGGATGATGGGCACACGTTCAACTATCAGACTCGCCAAGAGTTCCTGCTGCGTCGATTCTCATTCTCTGGCAACACCCTTGTCTCCAGGTAATGGGTCACCCACTCTTCCTTGGCTGCCTTTGCTGGGGCCTGATCCTTGTGGGGGCTCCCAGTTCACTGTGCTCTTTTCTCACATTCTGACCTTGCTTTGGGTCTCCTCCTTCCTTCTGTTCTGTTATTTTTCCCCCTGATGGACATCTGCTTTTACCATCTCCAGCTCAGCAGACCCTGAAGGACACTTTGAGACACCAATCTGGATTGAGCGGGTGGTGATAATAGGGGCTGGAAAGCCAGCAGCTGTGGTACTCCAGACAAAAGGTGAGTGACCAATCTGGCCCCTAGGATGGGGGAAGGAGGGGAAGCCGGGGCAGGTTTAGGGATGCCCTTGCCTGTAGGAACGTTGTTGTTATGCTATAGCCCATTGGTATGACTATGGCACTCTTTTATTCCTCCTCCAGGATCTCCAGAAAGCCGCCTGTCCTTCCAGCATGACCCTGAGACCTCTGTGTTGGTCCTGCGCAAGCCTGGCATCAATGTGGCATCTGATTGGAGTATTCACCTGCGATAACCCAAGGGATGTTCTGGGTTAGGGGGAGGGAAGGGGAGCATTAGTGCTGAGAGATATTCTTTCTTCTGCCTTGGAGTTCGGCCCTCCCCAGACTTCACTTATGCTAGTCTAAGACCCAGATTCTGCCAACATTTGGGCAGGATGAGAGGGCTGACCCTGGGCTCCAAATTCCTCTTGTGATCTCCTCACCTCTCCCACTCCATTGATACCAACTCTTTCCCTTCATTCCCCCAACATCCTGTTGCTCTAACTGGAGCACATTCACTTACGAACACCAGGAAACCACAGGGCCCTTGTCGCCCCTTCTCTTTCCCTTATTTAGGAGCCCTGAACTCCCCCAGAGTCTATCCATTCATGCCTCTTGTATGTTGATGCCACTTCTTGGAAGAAGATGAGGGCAATGAGTTAGGGCTCCTTTTCCCCTTCCCTCCCACCAGATTGCTCTCCCACCTTTCATTTCTTCCTCCAGGCTTTACTCCCCTTTTTATGCCCCACCGATACACTGGGACCACCCCTTACCCCGGACAGGATGAATGGATCAAAGGAGTGAGGTTGCTAAAGAACATCCTTTTCCCTCTCATTCTACCCTTTTCCTCTCCCCGATTCCTTGTAGAGCTGCTGCAATTCTTAGAGGGGCAGTTCTACCTCCTCTGTCCCTCGGCAGAAAGACGTTTCCACACCTCTTAGGGGATGCGCATTAAACTTCTTTTGCCCCCTTCTTGTCCCCTTTGAGGGGCACTTAAGATGGAGAAATCAGTTGTGGTTTCAGTGAATCATGGTCACCTGTATTTATTGCTAGGAGAAGCCTGAGGGTGGGGGGAGATGATCATGTGTGCTCGGGGTTGGCTGGAAGCCCTGGGTGGGGGGTTGGGGGAGGACTAATGGGGAGTCGGGGAATATTTGTGGGTATTTTTTTTACTTCCTCTTGGTTCCCAGCTGTGACACGTTTTGATCAAAGGAGAAACAATAAAGGGATAAACCATAAATAACTGGTGGTAGTCTGGATTCTAGTTCTAGCCTGAGCCACAGACCCTAGAAGCCTAGAGACCTTACATTTGCTTTCCTTTTTTTTTCTTTTTTGAGACTGAGTCTCACTCTGTTGCCCAGGCTGGAATGCAATGGCATGATCTGGGCTCATTGCAACCTCTGCCTCCCAGGTTCAAGCAGTTCTCGTGCCTCAACCTCCCGAGTCGCTGGGACTACAGGCATGCGCCACCATGCCCAGCTAATTTTTGTATTTTTATTAGAGATGGGGTTTCACCATGTTGGCCAGGCTGGTCTGGAACTCCTGACCTCAGGTGATCCGCCTGCCTCGGCCTCCCAAAGTGCTGGAATTAAAGGAGTGAGCCACTGCGCCCTGGGTCTTTTTTTTTTTTTTTTTTTTTTTGAGACAGAGTGTCGCCAGGCTGGAGTACAGTGTGTGATCCTGGCTCGTTGCAACCTCTGCCTCCTGGGTTCAGGCAGTTCTCCCACCTCAGCCTCCTTAATAGCTGGGATTACGGGCACCTGCGACCATGGCCAGCTTCATTTTTGTATTTTTAGTAGAGATGGGGTTTCGCCATGTTAGCCATGCTGATCTTGAACTCCTGACCTCAGGTGATCTGCCCGCCTTGGCCTCCCAAAGTGCTGGGATTACAGGCGTGAGGCACCATGCCTGGCCATGGGCCTTACATTTTCATTTGGCTTCAGCATAAGCATCCTTTTTGGGTTTTTTTTTTTTTTTTTTGAGATGGAGTCTCACTGTTGCCCAGGCTGGAGTGCAATGGTGTGATCTCGGCTCACTACAACCTCTGCCTCCCAGGTTCAAGCGATTCTCTTGCCTCAGCCCCCAAGTAGCTAGGACTACAGGCACCTGCTACCACGTCTGGCTGATTTTTGTATCTTTAGTAGAGATGGGGTTTCACCATGTTGTCTCGAACTCCTGGCCTCAAGTGATCCACCTGCCTCGGCCTTCCAAAGTGCTGGGATTACAGGGATGAGCCACTGTTCCCGGCCAGCATGAGCATCCTTGATTTCAGCAAAATGAGCAAGTGCAAGCCTTCCTTGGGTTGCTAGATATTTTCGTAGAAGAGCCCAGCAAGATCATCACATTTTAGTAGGCCTAGTTAGTAAGTGGTGATCAGAGCCAATGGAGTCCCTCTTGGATAGAAATAGCCATAAGGTCAGATAGCTGTTTCTCAAACTAAACTTTTGGAGGATGTCGGGGGTTGAGGAGACATAGTTTCGCTCTATTGCTCAGGCTGGAGTGCGGGGAGTGCTGTGGTATGATCCTGGCTCATTGCAGCCTTGACCTCCCAGGCTTCTAAAGTTCTGGGATTACAGGCATCGATCACTGTGCCCAACCTAGAGGCTTCTGCTTGTAGCTAACAGCACTTTTGTTTTTGTTTTTGTTTTTGAGACGGAGTCTCCCTCAGTCGCCCAGGCTGGAGTGCAGTGGTGCGATCTCGGCTCTTGGCAAGCTCTGCTTCCCGGGTTCACGCCATTCTCCTGCCTCAGCCTCCTGAGTAGCTGGGACTGCAGGCGCCCGCCACTACACCCTGCTAATTTTTTTGTGTTTTTTAGTAGAGACGGGGTTTCACCGTGTTAGCCAGGATGGTCTCGATCTCCTGACCTCGTGATCCGCCTGTCTCGGCCTCCCAAAGTGCTGGGATTACAGGCGTGAGCCACCGCGCCCAGCTGCTAACAGCACTTTTTAAAGTTTCCCATTGTTTTAGTGACAGGAAGTATACTGTTCCCCCTTCCCCTCATTTTGTAGACTGACCACAAGTCAGAGATTATTTTACCAGAAACTTTTTTTGGGGGGTTATTTTTTTTTTGAGACGGTCTCACCCAGTCACCCAAGCTGGAGTGCAGTGGCATGATCACGGCTCACCACAGCCTCAGCCTCCCATGTCAGCCTCCCAAGTAGCTGGGACTGTAGGCCCGCGCCATCACACCCAGCTAATTTTTGTGTTTTTTTTGTAGAGACGGGGTTTTGCCTTGTTGCCCAGGCTGATCTGAAACTCCTGGGCTTCTAAAGTGCCAGGATTACAGGCATGAGCCACTGGGCCGGGCCCTTTTTTTTTTTTTTAAAGGAAAAATGAGAAGGATGGCTTGTGCTTGTGAGGAGGAAGGGGATGCATTCATGGAATTCCCCAGCTCAGGAACTATTTCCAATCAATTTCCTGGTAGTTAAAACACTTCCTTGGCACCCCTGTTGTCATCTGTTGAAGAAATGTGGGCCAGAGGACACACTAGAGATGCTGGAATCGGGTGTCCAGAAAGGACACAAAACTGCCCTGTGGCAATGACATAATTTTTGTCAACTTTGGTTTCTTATCTATCTCAAAGTATTATAGTGAGGATTCCAGGAGAGACACCCAGAGGATCATGTGGTGGGCCTTAGATTTCATTCGTGTAATAAGTATTGAGCAACAGCTATTGGGTGGCGTGACTGACTGGATGGATGAATAAGGTGAAGATCTGGGCGCCAGGACTGGCTTTCTCAGGCAATTCCGTGATGAGGGGGCGGGTCTCGAGGTAGGTACCACGTGCACCTACTCGAGATTCTGCACCTACCCGGGGTTTTGACTGCCGGCCACGCGAGTTTGGCACGCCGGATGTGACGTCACCACCCGGTGGTTCCCGGAACCTGGCGGTGGGACCGGAAATCAAGTCTACAAGGCGGGGGGGTGCACAGATGACCGGAAGCGTGCCCTGGCGGCGCTGCCAGCCCCAGCTGGGAGCTGGTAGGGGAGTGCGAGGAAGGCGGGACGCAGGGCGGAGCCGCTGCAGGGGCGGGGCCTGCGGACAGGAGCCGGGGTTTGGGGCGGGAACCCCTCGTCCCCTGCAGACCCCGCCTGCTCGGGCGCGGGCGGCGGCGCGGCCATGAAGCTGAAGCTGAAGAACGTGTTTCTCGCCTACTTCCTGGTGTCGATCGCCGGCCTCCTCTACGCGCTGGTACAGCTCGGTGAGCGGGGCGGGGCGGGGGTGCGGCGGGCTGGCCCGAGGGCGCCCGCCGCCGTGCATCCCGCCCTGGGGATGAACCCCCGGCAAACACCATTCATCCGCTCGGCCCTCCGGACAGCTCTGCGGCCTCAGGCGCACTGCCCTCTATAGAACGCACCGCGGCTACCCGCCGCACCTCGGATGAAATCCAGACTCCTTCCCAGAGCCTGCAAGGCCCCGCATGATCCTGCTGCCGTCCGCCTCTCCCAACCCCATTTCCACCCCTCTCCCTCGCTCTGCTGCAGCCAGACTGGCTTGCTGACAGTTTCTCGAAAACCCCACGCTCATTACTCTCTCAAGCACTTAACTTGTTCCCTCTGCTTGGGGTGCTTTGCTTCCAGCGTTTCCCGGGCTGCCTCTTTCTCATCCTTCAGGTCTTAGCTCAAATGTCACCTCCTCAGAGAGGCCTTCCCTGACCACCATAGCTAAAGTTACCATTCTTAATTCCATTCCCTTTTATTCTCTATCCTGATTATTTTCTTCATGGCCCCATCACAGTTTGTAATAATGTTATTAATTTGTTTCTTTGCTTAGTGTCTGCTTCCTCCACTAAACAGAAAGCTCGATGAGGGCAGGGACTGTGTCTGTTTTGTTCCCTGCTGTATCCCCAGCACCTAAGGCAGTGCCTCCTAGGAAGAGTATTCAATAAATATTTATCCTACGATGGAATCAATGAATTTAACAATGAGTCTTTGGTCACCTAGCCAAGGGAATGGATCGAACCCTGCCCCTTATGCAAAGATTTAGGGACAGTGCCACTGCGTTATCCTCAGGTATTTGAAAGACTGTCCAAAAGGGGTTCCATAGTGTAATGGTTAGTTGGCACCTTGGACTCTGAAAAGACTGTCCTGTTTAAGGACATGAGCTTGTTAGAAGCCCAGAAGGCAAAATTAGGACCAGCAGGTAGAAAAGATGGAATCAGCTCAATATCCAACATAAAATTGTAACAATGGAATTTATTAAAGTTGGAGAGGGTCTGCTGCTTGAGGCAGTGAGTTTCCCACACGAGAGGTATAGAAAAGGCTACTAGGGAAGTCATAAGGTGATACCTGCATTGGTTAGGAATTAATGAGACGATTACGGCCCTTTGGGATGCTGAACATTCTGCGGTTCTCTGTCCCCACCTTCTTTCCCCATTAATGCTTCCTGGGACCAGGCCAGCCATGTGACTGCCTTCCTCCCCTGCGGGCAGCAGCCGAGCAGCTACGGCAGAAGGATCTGAGGATTTCCCAGCTGCAAGCGGAACTCCGACGGCCACCCCCTGCCCCTGCCCAGCCCCCTGAACCCGAGGCCCTGCCTACTATCTATGTTGTTACCCCCACCTATGCCAGGTATGGGCTCTGGTGCACTCAAGAGGTCTGCGTTGTCCAAGAAGTTGGAGTTGATGATGAGGAGTTTGGGGAGGCACTGGGCTAGGAGTTGTTCCTCAAACTAGAGCATGCCAAAGACAGGATAAATGAACCACATTTATACTCAAATATTTGTGGGAAAATAGTTCTTTTTCAGGCTGGGTGTGGTGGCTCACGCCTGTAATCCCAGCACTTTGGGAGGCCGAGGCGGGTGGATCACCTGAGGTCAGGAGTTCGAGACCAGCCTGGCCAACATGGCAAAACCCCGTCTCTACTAAAAATACAAAATTAGCCAGGCGTGGTGGCGCATGCCTATAATCCCAGCTACTGGGGAGGCTGAGGCAGGAGAATCCCTTGAACCTGAGAGGCGGAGGTTGCAGTGAGCTGAGAGTGCGCTATTGCACTCCAGCCTGGGCAACAAGAGTGAAACTCCATCTCAAAAACAAAACAAAACAAAAGAAAAAAGAAAAAAAATAGTTCTTTTTCTAGAAGGAAAATACAAAATTTCTACCAAATTATAAGATAGAACAATAACATTTCAAAGAAATTTTGAGCTTGGCAGTGAATTAACTCTCTCTCCTTAGGGACCGTTTGGCAAGAAAGTTAAAACCCCCTGATTAAAGTTGAAAGGGCTTGTCTGGGCGCAGTGGCTCACGCCTGTAATCCCAGCACTTTGGGAGCCCGAGGCTGGCGGATCGCCTGAGCTCAGGAGTTTGAGACCAGCCTGGGCAACATGGTGAAACTCTTGTCTCTGAAAAAAAAAAAAAAAAAAAAAAAAAGTTAGCTAGGCGTGATGGTGCATGCCTGTAATCTCAGCTACTCTGGAGGCTGAGGTGGGAAGATTGCTTGATCCTGGGCGGCGGAGGTTGCAGTGAGTGGAGATCATGCAGCCTGGGCGACAGAGAGAGCCCATTTCAAAAAAAAAAAAGTTGAAAGTGCTTGGCCTGATAGTCATACTAGGGTCCAGAAATAGTTATACCAGCTGTTACTTACAGTGTGTTTACTCTCTAGCAGGCACTGTATTTAGTGATTTACATTTGCTTTTGTTTTAAATCAAATGTAATTGGTTTTACTAATAAAACCAATTGGGGAATGTGGTTTTGGATCTGTAGCCATAAGGGTGTTAATACATCTTCTGGGAATCAGATGGCTGTCCCATTCACGCATAGGAAGCTCTAGACCCCACCTGCGACATGCACACACAACCAGCCCTGGGACAGGCAGGTAGATCTGAAGGATAAAGAAGTACAGAAGAGGCCAAGCCCCACGTTCCACATTCCTGGTTTGTTCCTTTTTTTTTTTTCTTCCCCCCGCCTCCCCGCAACACCGAGATGGAGTCTTGCTCTGTTGCCCAGGCTGGAGTGCAGTGGTGTGATCTTGGCTCACTGCAACCTCCACCTCCCGGGTTCAAGCGATTCTCCTGCCTCAGCCTCCCGAGTAGCTGGGATTACAGGCGTGCACCACCACACCAGGCTAATTTTTTTTTTTTTTTTCCCGAGATGGAGTCTCACTCTGTCGCCCAGGCTGGAGTGCAATGGCACGATCTCGGCTCACTGCAACCTCCACCTCCCGGATTGAAGCAATTCTCCTGCCTCAGCCCCCCGAGTAGCTGGGGTTACAAGCATGCGCCACCACACCCGGCTAATTTTTTGTATCTTTAGTAGAGATGGGGTTTCACCATGTTGGCCAGGCTGGTCTGGAACTCCTGACTTCGTGTTCCACCTGCTTCGGCCTCTCAAAGTGCTGGGATTACAGGTGTGAGCCACCATGCCTGGCCAGTAATTTTTTGTATTTTACTTTTGTATTTTTTTTTTTTTTGAGATGGAGTCTCGCTCTGTCATCTAGGCTGGGTGCAATGGCGTGATCTTGGCTCACTGCAAGCTCTGCCTCCCGGGTTCACGCCATTCTCCTGCCTCAGCCTCCCAAGTAGCTGGGACTACAGGTGCCCGCCACCACACCCAGCTAATTTTTTATATTTTTAGTAGAGATGGGGTTTCACCGTGTTAGCCAGGATGGTCTCGATCTCCTGACCTCATGATCCACCTGCCTCAGCTTCCCAAAGTGCTGGGATTACAGGTGTGAGCCACCATCCCCAGCTCTTATTTAATCTTTAAAACAACATTGTTATAAAGTACTGTTATTCCCATTTTACAGTTGAGGAAACTGAGGCTTAGGGAGATTGAGCCATTTTCCCAAATTGTCTCACATAATAAGTTACAAAACTGGATTTCAAACCCAGATCTACCTGATCCCAAAGCCTGTGCCCTTAATTTGTTTTTTTTTTTTTTTTTTTTTTTTTTTGAGACAGAGTTTCGCTCTTGTCGCTCAGGCTGGAGTGCAGTGGCACAATCTCGGCTCACTGCAACCTTCGCCTCCCGGGTTCAAGCGATTCTTCTGCCTCAGCCTCCCGAGTAGCTAGGATTACAGGTGACTGCCACCATGCCTGGGTAATTTTTTGTATTTTTAATAGAGACGGGGCTTCGCCATGTTGGGCAGGCTGGTCTCGAACTCCTAACCTCAGGTGATCCGCCCACCTCGGCCTCCTAAAGTGCTGGGATTATAGGCGTGAGCCAACATGCCCGGCCTTTTTTTTTTTTTTTTGAGATGGAGTTTTGCTGTTATCACTGAGGCTGGAGTGAAATGGTGCGATCTCAGCTCACTCCAACCTCCTCCTTCCAGGTTCAAGCGATTCTCCTGCCTCAGCCTCCCAAGTAGCTGAGATTACAGGCATGTGCCACTACACCCAGCAAATTTTTGTATTTTTTTAGTAGAGATGGGGTTTCACCATATTGGCCAGGCTGGTCTGGAACTCCAGACCTCAGGTAATTCACCTGCCTCAGCCTCCCAAAGTGTTATTATAGGTGTGAGCCACCATGCCCGGCCCTGTGCCCTTAATTTATAGTCTCCCACAGCCTGAGCTCTGGAGTTGAGGTGGGTGATGGACATGGACCAGAAGAACAGGGCAGGTGAGTGTTAGCATGAAGTTGACAGGCAAGAAAGAGGGAGTTTAGGCATTGGTTGGGAAGGGCCACAGGAGACGCAGGCAGTGGCCCAGGAGAAGCTGTCTGCCCTGGCTGGAGCAGGCAAATGGTGCCTGCCCCTTTTCCTTGTGCTGCATCTCTCCCCTGCAGGCTGGTACAGAAGGCAGAGCTGGTACGACTGTCCCAGACACTGAGCCTGGTGCCCCGGCTGCATTGGCTGCTGGTGGAGGATGCTGAGGGTCCCACCCCGCTGGTCTCAGGGCTGCTGGCTGCCTCTGGCCTCCTCTTCACACACCTGGTGGTCCTCACGCCCAAAGCCCAGCGGCTTCGGGAGGGCGAGCCTGGCTGGGTTCATCCCCGTGGTGTCGAGCAGCGGAACAAGGCCCTGGACTGGCTCCGGGGCAGAGGGGGTGCTGTGGGTGGGGAGAAGGACCCACCACCACCAGGGACCCAAGGAGTCGTCTACTTTGCTGACGATGACAACACCTACAGCCGGGAGCTGTTTGAGGAGGTGAGCACCAGGATGGGGATGGGCAAGAGACCAGGTGCGGCCAGCTTCATTCGTTACCTTGGTTAGCAGTGTTGCCGTTGGCTGCTGGGTGAGGGGCTGGAAGCAGTGGGGCAGAGTGAGCCAGGTGGCTCTTTCTGCTGCTCCCTTCCCCGGACCACCCCTCTGTTTCTTCTCTCCCGACCTCCGTTAGATGCGCTGGACCCGTGGTGTCTCAGTGTGGCCTGTGGGGCTGGTGGGCGGCCTGCGATTCGAGGGCCCTCAGGTACAGGACGGCCGGGTAGTGGGCTTCCACACAGCATGGGAGCCCAGCAGGCCCTTCCCTGTGGATATGGCTGGATTTGCCGTGGCCCTGCCCTTGCTGTTAGATAAGCCCAATGCCCAATTTGATTCCACCGCTCCCCGGGGCCACCTGGAGAGCAGTCTTCTGAGCCACCTTGTGGATCCCAAGGACCTGGAGCCACGGGCTGCCAACTGCACTCGGGTAAGGGAATGGAGATGGGCATAGAAACCTGGCTCTTGGATGGACAGGTGATGGGGGAGGTACAGTGAGACCCTGGGAATGGGTGGTTTAACCAGGAGGGACTCTCCAGATCTCTGATCAGCCTTGCTGACTCTACTGAAGGGGAAGCTGGGAACTAGCGGGGGAAAGTGGTCTCCTGCCACTCTGCCCCGAGTTCTGGGAACCCATGTGGCACAGAGAGGATGAAGGAATAAGGCCCTGTTTGTTGTTTTTTTTTTTTTTTCAGACAGAGTCTCGCTGTGTCACCCAGGCTGGAGTGCAGTAGCGCAATCTTGGCTTAGCGCAAGCTCCGCCTCCCGGGTTCACACCATTCTCCTGCCTCAGCCTCCCAAGTAGCTGGGACTACAGGCACCCGCTACCACGCCCGGCTAATTTTTTTGTGTTTTTAGTAGTGACGGGGTTTCACGGTGTTAGCCAGGATGGTCTCAATCTCCTGACCTCGTGATCCGCCTTCCTCGGCCTCCCAAAGTGCTGGGGTTACAGGCGTGAGCCACGCGCCCGGCCAAGGCCCGGTTTTAGAGGCACTAAGTCTTCCTCCACCCTGCCCTTTACACTTTGAAGCCTATACTGTATATGTCGATAGGGTTAGAGAATCCATTCCAGGCTCGGGGACCCAGAGGCCTGGCTGCAGCTGGGCCTGGCTCTCACTGCATCCCTCCTGGCACAGGTACTGGTGTGGCATACTCGGACAGAGAAGCCCAAGATGAAGCAGGAGGAGCAGCTGCAGCGGCAGGGCCGGGGCTCAGACCCAGCAATTGAGGTGTGATGGCGGCCCCACCCCAACTACCACCTCTTTTCAGGCACAGACCTTGTGGGACTGGGCCCCAGGCCTGCCCAGGATGTGGTTTTCCAAGTCCTGACCCTTGGAGCCAGAAGTGGCCCCTCTGCCCCTCCAGGCCCAGGGCATGGTCCTGCTGCTTCACCCCTCCCCTAGCCTGCCGTGTGGCACTGCCCACAGGCTGGGGACAAGCAGCCCTTGTGTTGAGTCAGGTTGGCCCTGTCTAGGGTGGAACAGAAGGACAGATGGACCCAGGAGGGAGGGCAGCTGAGTAACTGGGTAACTTATTGGGGCTGGGCATGCACTGGGGGGCTGGAGGAGCTGGGCTGGACCCTTCCCACCTGAGCATGCTGACCCCCTTCCTACCTCCAGAATAAAGAATCTCAACCTGGAGGGGCCTCTTGTTTTCCTTTGCTTCTTACATTGGGTTCTTGCTTTCTGATCCTTACAGATGTGGGCTCCTGTTGCTGCACAGGTCGAGCCAGGGTCCAAACTTTGGAGTCCTAGCTGCTCCATCAGACAGAAATCAGTTCTCCCAGGCCCCCATCCCCTTGACAAGAAAAAGCAATTGCTTCCATCCAAAAACTTTATTGAGTCTATATCAGAATCAGCCTCCAGGCCTTCTCATGTCACTTTCCCATCACTCTGTTCTTTGCTGTTCCCTGGTGGTTCTGACTACAAGGGCTAGGCCCTAGGACATCTGGTTTTCTTTCTTACCCCAGTCCAGCTCGCTGACTATCCTTAGCCCCTCTAATCCTACGATCCCCCCAACCTGGAGCCTTGGTAAGGAGTTGTGAGGTTTTCAGACTTGTCCATCCCTCCCTCTTCCTCACCCCAAGCTCCAGGCCTCTAGGCCTCAGATAGATCCTCCTTGGGAGGTGCTTCTCCTGGTGGGGCCTCCTCAGGTGCTGGCCTGCAGGCAACCCCTCCCTGTAGCCATGCTGTTTTCAGCATATCTTTCAGCCCACTGGGAAAGAGATAGCCCTGGGTCTCTCCTCCCGCATCAATGACCCCTCCAAGCCCCTCCAGTGCTGTTTGCAGGTACCGCAGGCCAAGGAGCACCAGAGCCTGTGGGGGAAGCAAGGGGAAAGAGTCAGGGAGAGTCAGCGGTTCCAAGAGGCCCAGGGTTGGAGGCAGGGAGGAGTCCCGGGTGGGAGGAGGTGTCAGATGCTTTGCTGACTCACCTGCAGTAGGAAGGTGACAGCCAGCATGCTACCCAGTGTGCCTGCCAAGTCCTGCAAGTGCTCCAGCAGCACCTCATGGCACCCTTGGGCCCAGAGGTTTTGGTTGGGTTGTCGGGGATCGAACAGGGGGTGGGCGTAGGAGTCTGAAAGACGGTTTTGCAGGCAAGGCCGGGGTGAGTGGGGGTTGCAACAGGAGAAAGGGACCCCATCAGTCAGGTATAGGCCTTCTACATTGCTCTGGATCCGGCTGCAAAGGGAGGGACAGAGGGGTTAGGATGTCTGGAGATAGAGGCCTGGGGGAGGGACTGAAGGGCACAGGTGTTCAGAAGGGAAAAAGAATAGTAAAACATTTACTGACTGCTGTACTATGTGCCAGCCAAGCATAATTCACATCTTCACAACAACTCTATCAGATAAGTACTATTATTTCCATTTTACAGGTGAAGGAATGGGCCCAGGGTGGTTTGGTAACATGCCCTGGGTTTCACAGCTAATAAATGGCAGAGCTGTAACCAGTCTCTCAGCCACTATGTTCTACTTATTGCCCCTCTGAGCGAGGTGGGGATTCAAGGCAGCAGGAGGGAGCCTGTCCAGGGAGGAGGAGGAGGAGGAAGGGAGACGCAAATCACTCACTCAGCCACATCCCGGTCACCGGGATCCAGGTAACGGCTGCTGACCCACTGGACCCCAAACCAATCCTTGTACCCGTGGCGCCCGCAGCAGTGGTACCTCAGTTGCAGCTCATCCACCAGCCTTTTGGCCTGACAGTGCCCAGGCACCTCTGTGTCCTTGTAGTGAGCCAAGGCAGTCACCAGGCCCTCCTCCAGCGCCTCATCCAGACTCCCAGGCAAAGCCAGGGCTAGCCCGAGGCCGACGACCAGGAGCCCCCCCCCACCAGCCGTGCCAGCCACCAGCAGCGGGCCCAGGACCCCTCGCCAGGGAGGGTATAGAGCTGCATTCAGACTTGCCCGGCTGGCTCCTACACCCACTAGTCCTGTGCCCAGAGCCACCGCGCCCGCTGCCAGGGCAGCCTGGGGCAGGACAGGGAACTGACAGGAGGGAGCCAGGAAGGTGCCAAGGTGCCTTAGCTGGACCAGGAGGTGCCCACTACAGAGGAGGATGACGCCACCAGCCAGCGCCAGCAGCCAGGAGAGGAGCCAGAGCCCTTGTGCCAGGCGGATGCGGGGCTGCAGGGGCAGCACCAGGGGCAACACCGGCGCCATCTCCCATCTCTGCCCAAGGGAATGCAGAGGTGTCAGGGATGGAAGCTGGCTGGGGCAGGATGCTGAGTCAGCCCGGCCCGGCTTGAGCTGGGCTAATGCCACCCTGACCCCAATACCCTGAGCATCCTCCCATCCTCAGCCCTAATAACCCGCCCCCCTGTCAGCCCCAATACAAGATGCCTTGGCCTTGCCCCTTACGAGAAACTCCGCCCCTAGGCCGAGGGCCCGTTTTGTGACCCCGCCCCTGCCCCTCGCGGAAGTGGTGGGGTTGGTCCGCTCAACCCTGAGGGGTTAGGGGCTGGGGGGCGGAGATATCGGGGCGGGCGCTCCCTTCCCCGTCCCCTGGGAATCCGGGGGCGGGGATCCGGGAAGGGCCTGGAGCCGGAGGCCGGGAGTAGGCCAGGGGGTCAGCCGGCTAGCCCCGCCCCCGTACTGAGCGGCGAGGCCCGGACAGGGAGGGGTTACCAAGCGGCCCGGCCCCCCCTCGGGCCCGCCCCCCCTCCCGCGCTTCCTG
Organism: Homo sapiens; assembly: GCF_000001405.40. Lineage (NCBI taxonomy): Eukaryota > Metazoa > Chordata > Mammalia > Primates > Hominidae > Homo > Homo sapiens. The sequence goes on along the minus strand of NC_000011.10, from coordinate 62,612,767 downwards.
GCGGCTCCGCGTCCGGCGCCTGTTTGTGCTGCGGCGCTGTGGCACCGGACGGCCCTGCCACCCCACCCCCGGGAGCCGAGAGCGGCCCCGGGAGAGTCCGAGGGCCCGGGGGGGTCTGGAGACTGCGGCCCCGGGCCCACAGCGCCCCCTCCAGGCCCCTTCCCCGCGCCCGACAGCGCCCCCTCGGGGTGGTGGTACGGCGCCCTTCGCGCGCGCCCCGGGGTGCTTCCCCTTCCCCTCTCCCCGGCCGTGGCCCCCGCGGCTTAGACGCCTCCTCCGCCGCCGCCGCTCGGAGCAACCCGGGGGCCGGATGGACGGGGCCGCGGGGCCCGGTGAGTACGGGGCGGGGCGGGCGGCGTGCCCCTTCCCGGAGCGCCCGGCTCGTCGGGTTATGCCAGAGCTGGACGGCTGTCTGGAGGCGTCCCCGCGTGCTCCTCCGCCCCAGGGGCTCCGAGCATCCTCCACAGTTCCTCCGGTCGCCCTCCCTAGTTGCTTGGGTCTTGCTGTCACTTCGGGCTTCCCCAGCGTCATTCTACGCCCCACGTAACTCCGGGCCCCTCGATGTTTCCCTGCCCCCTGCGTTACTCCGGGCCTCTTCTCGTGGTATTTCAGGTCTTTTTCCTTCTGATCCCCACTGCCCCCTGAGACCTTCACTGTGACTCTGCTCACCACTCACACTCTCTCCTGTCACTCTGGATCTCTTTTCTTGTACTCTGGGTCCTCAGTATGACTCCATTCCCGCACCCCGTTCTCTCTCCTGGTGTTCCCCCGGCTCAGTTACTCAGCTTTCGCTGGAGACCTGAGCTTGCTGGGGGCGCGTGGGGAGGGCTGCGGTCCCTGCCCTCACCAGTGCGGCGCCTCTCTCTGTGGCTCCCACGTTCCTCGGCAGTACTCCATATTTCCCCCCCGGTACTCCATGGTACTCCCAGTCTTTGCGGAGGCTGAGACGGCAGCAGGAAGGGAGCTTTGCCAGGTTTCTCGCCTGCCCTGCCAGAAGGAGGCCCTTGATCCTTTACCACCGTCTCCTCCCCTCTGGACGAGCATTCAAGCCTGGGGCTGCCTGAAAGGGGCAGTCCTACCGGACACATGTAAAGTTGTGGGGAGACAGAATCCCCTCTACGCTTTCTTCAGGTGATGGGTACATTCTGAGTACCTCTTGCCCTTTTCCCAGGTGACGGCCCTGCTCGGGAGGCCCTCCAGTCTCTGAGCCAGCGGCTTCGGGTGCAGGAGCAGGAGATGGAACTGGTAAAGGCAGCCCTGGCAGAAGCCCTTCGCCTGCTGCGGCTGCAGGTGCCCCCTTCCTCCCTGCAGGGCTCTGGCACACCAGCTCCTCCGGGGGACAGGTATGCATGTCATCACACCCCATTTTTCCTCCTCCTTGGGGCCTCTGGGGCTTCAGGTTAATTCAACATCTCTCCAGCAGTCTTGCAGCCCCCCCAGGACTGCCACCCACGTGCACCCCTTCCTTGGTGAGCCGAGGCACCCAGACGGAGACAGAGGTGGAGCTCAAGTCATCCCCTGGACCCCCTGGCCTGAGCAATGGACCCCCAGCCCCTCAGGGGGCCAGCGAAGAGCCTAGCGGGACCCAATCTGAAGGAGGGGGCAGCAGCAGCAGTGGTGCTGGCTCCCCTGGCCCCCCGGGGATCCTCAGGCCCTTGCAGCCCCCACAGCGTGCTGACACGTAGGTGTCCTGTGGCCCTGTGGCGGAAGCTGGGAGGGGTGGTAGGATTGCAGAGTACAGTTGGAGGGAATGACCTTCACTATGCCCCCACCAGGCCGCGAAGAAATTCTTCCTCCTCCTCATCCCCCTCAGAGCGGCCTCGGCAGAAGCTCTCCAGGAAGGCAATCTCCTCCGCCAACCTGTTAGTGCGGTCCGGGAGCACAGAGAGGTGGGTGAGGCTTCCCCTCAACCCACCCCGCCCCAGGCGCAGGCTCTCGACTTTCCATATCCCTCACCTCACATCCCTGGTTGGGGTGGGGGGACCTGATTGCCCAACAGGAATAAAGAAACAAACACTTCTGGGGCGCCTGCTGTGTACCGGGCACTGTGCTAAACCCTCGACCTCCTCCATCTCAGTCAGTCCCCACAACATCCTTGGGGGTTAGGTGGTCTCATGCTGCTCATTGCACAGGTGAGGAAGCAGGCTCAGAGAGGGTAAGTCATTTGCCTGGGGTCACACAGCTAGAGTCAGGATTTGAACCTAACTCTTCCTGACTCCAGTTCCCCTACCCTTTCCACTACATCACAGCACACCTTCTGCGATCCCAAGAGGCTTTTCTAGAAGCTTCCATGGCTTTCATGGACGGCTGTCCCTAGAGCTTCAGCCCTCTTTCCGCTGGATCTACCAAGTACCAATCTATTAATACTTACTTCTAGAGGGCAAGAGGACATCCTAGTGGCCGGATGTAGTTGCCTCAGAGTATGTACGGGCCCCAGGACACCCGGATGTTCATTCTAGCCCTGTCCTTGGCCTGTGCTTTATTCTCTGAAGAGACAGTATCACTTTACTGTTATCTAACGACAGGAATCTCTGGAGAGATGTGGACTTTCTTGCTTGCCTCCCGGATCCCTGAGAGGCGGAGCTGGTGTACATTCTCGACTCCCTTTGGTCCCATTTTACGGATGGGGAAATGAAAAGGTCAATAGCGGGGCCTAGTGGCGCGCACGTGTAATCCCAGCTACTGGGGAGGCTAAGGCAGGAGAATTGCTTGAACCCAGGAGGCGGAGGTTGCAGTGAGCTGAGGTCGCACCACTGCACTCCAGCCTGGGCGACAGAGCGAGACTGAGGCCTGGTGGTCTGGAGGAGAGAAAGGGCTCTGGCACCCTGCACTGCCTCTTCCAAGCTTTGTGGCCTTGTGCTGTGCGCTCAGCCCCTTCAGCCTCAATCTTCTTATCTCTTAAATGGAACTAGAAGTCTCCATCTACTAGGGCCCTGATACTCACGAAGCAAACTACAGGCTTGCAGAAGTGACTGTGGTTTCTGCAGTGACCTCTTTTCTTGTGTCCTGCCCCTCCCCGCTTAGGTCTTGGGACCTGACCCCAATCCCTGTGCTTTCTCTCTTCCCAACAGCCGTGGGGGAAAAGACCCCCTCTCCAGCCCTGGGGGCCCTGGATCTCGGAGGAGCAATTACAATTTGGGTATGTAAAGAGGGACAGAGAGGAAAACTTGGATGGCAGGGTTAGGATTTGGGCTGTAGCCCCAGGAGCTATTTTGGGTAGGTGTGGTGGGTAGGGTTCTGCTCTGTCTTTCCTGGAAGGGGGTAGTTGACACCACCCCTTTTCTCTGTAGAAGGCATCTCAGTGAAGATGTTCCTTCGAGGGCGCCCCATTACCATGTACATCCCGTCTGGCATCCGCAGCCTTGAGGAGCTGCCGAGTGGCCCACCGCCAGAGACCCTCAGCCTTGACTGGGTGTATCCTGCCCCTTCCAGTCCCATGAGAACCACCTTTCTCACCTTGGGACCCCTCTTACCTTTACAGTTTCCTCCTGGGTCTGTGGGGACAAGGAGCCTTCTAGATCCTCTCCTACCATCATTCTGCTCTAGGCCCTGCCAGCCAGAAGCTCTGTCTTTCTCCCCTCTTCCTCCTCCTGCCCTTGATCTAACCCTTTCCTTGACCGTGATCTCCACCCCAGTTATGGGTACAGGGGTCGTGACTCCCGCTCTAATCTGTTTGTGTTGCGCTCTGGGGAGGTGGTCTACTTTATCGCCTGTGTGGTGGTGCTGTACCGGCCTGGAGGAGGCCCAGGGGGTCCTGGAGGTGGCGGCCAGAGACATTACCGGGGGCACACAGACTGCGTTCGATGGTGAGGAGTCCGGGGCTGGTGGGCTTGGCAGGAAGAGGGTCTGGGGGGATGGAGAAGCAGGAGAAAAGAGTTGCCTTGCTGCTCTGCAAGCTTGGAGAAGGTGTCTTGGATGGTCTTGAGAGACCCTTTCCCTAGAGTGTCTTCCCCCTGCCTTAGCCTTGCTGTTCACCCTGATGGTGTTCGGGTAGCCTCGGGACAGACAGCTGGAGTGGATAAGGATGGAAAGGTAAGGCCAAAGTCAGGGAGCAGGCAGACATGCTGGAATTGCACTCCAATTTTGCTTCACACTTGTGACTCTTCCTCCACCAGCCCCTGCAGCCTGTGGTTCACATCTGGGACTCAGAGACGCTGTTGAAACTGCAGGAGATTGGACTGGGGGCCTTCGAGCGGGGTGTTGGGGCCCTGGCCTTTTCAGCTGCGGTGAGCTGGCCCTGAAGCCTCTAGACCCCCATTCTTGCCTAGGAACCCCACTCTTGCATGTCACCAGGAAGCCTTGGAAGTTCTGGCCTTCCTGAACCCCACCCAGCTGGTTCTCTTGAGAAAGGGCCATGTGTGTCAACTTTTTCTGCCCTCTCCATCTGTGATGGTACCTCTTAACCTAATGACCATGAACCCCTGGACCTCCAGGGTTCACTCTGCACCTCCTATGTGTCACCCTTCTTCAGGATCAGGGTGCCTTTCTTTGTGTGGTGGATGATTCCAATGAGCACATGCTGTCGGTGTGGGACTGCAGCCGGGGAATGAAGCTGGCTGAGATCAAGGTGAGGAGTCCATGTGGCTTGGAGGGGCTCTGAGGTTGGGGGTGGGAGTGGTGGAGTGCAGGGAGCTCCAGACTCACCCATACATTTCCTTCCTTTTTGGCTGGGTCACATGGGGCAAATCTCCTAGCTTCTCTGACCCTTAGTTTCTTCATTTGTGACATGGGTTCTGACCTCATGAGGCATAATGTGTTAGGTATTAGGGTGATTAATTATGATTGACAGGAAATAGTGCTCTTAGGGGACCAGGGTTTTGAAAGAAGGGTTGTCCTGGGGTTTCTGGACCTCTGCCAGCCAGCTGTCATGATGCAAATTGAGGAGAGTCAAGTAGAATGAAGGTACCCAGGGCTTGGGGTGGCTGAATCTAGTGTCTTCCCTTCAGAGTACAAATGACTCAGTCCTGGCCGTTGGCTTCAACCCTCGTGACAGCAGCTGCATCGTCACCAGTGGGAAATCTCACGTCCACTTCTGGAATTGGAGTGGTGGAGTAGGGGTTCCTGGGAATGGGACCCTTACCCGGAAACAGGGTGTCTTTGGGGTGAGGCATGGATAAGTGGAAGGTGATGGGGAGGGCAGAGTGGAAGAGGAAGCACTGGGCTGAGTACTATGGACCCTGAGGTTCCCTAACCCCCACCTGCCCCTGTGACCTTTTTTTTTTTTTCTTTTGAGACGGAGTCTTGCTCTTGTCACCCAGGCCAGAGTGCAATGGCAAGATCTCGGCTCACTGCAACGTCTGCCTCCTGGGTTCGAGCAATTCTCCTGCCTCAGCCTCCCGGAGTAGCTGGGATTACAGATGCGCGCCGGCTGATTTTTGTATTTTTAATAGAGATACGGTTTCATCATGTTGGCCATCATGCCCGTTTTTTTTTTGTTTTTTTTGTTTTTGAGACAGTGCCTTGCTCTATCACCCAGGCTGGAGTGCAGTGCGGGATTTCACCATATTGGCCAGGCTGGTCACAAACTCCTGGCCTCAGGTGACCCGCCCGCCTTGGCCTCCCAAAGTGCTGGGATTACAGGCATGAGCCACTGCACCTGGCCTGCCCTGCGACTTTTAATCTTTGCCCTTCCCTTTGACCTCTACTGTCTGCTCTCCCCTCCCACTAGAAATACAAGAAACCCAAGTTTATCCCTTGCTTTGTGTTCCTTCCGGATGGAGACATTCTCACTGGAGACTCAGAGGGGAACATTCTCACCTGGGGGCGGAGCCCTTCAGATTCCAAGACCCCAGGCAGGGGTGGCGCCAAAGGTATGTGGCTGGGAGGGGCATCTGGGAAGTGTAGTACTCCAGAGGTTCTGTGGGAACAGAGGAGAGGGTTTCCCATTCCCATCTTTTTTTTTTTTTTTTTTGAGATGAGGTCTTACTCTGTTGCCCAGGCTGGATTGCAGTGGCGCGATCTTGGTTCACTGCAACCTCTGCCTTCCAGGTTCAAGTGATCCTCCTTCCTCAGTCTCCCAAGTAGCTGGAAGTACAGGCACACGCCACCACGCCCAGCTAATTTTTGTATTTTTAGTAGAGATGGGGTTTTGCCATGTTGGCCAGGCTGGTCTCGAATTCCTGACCTCAGGTGATCCGCCCGCCTTGGCCTCCCAAAGTGCTGGGATTACAGGCGTGAGCCACGGCGCCCAGCCAGGTTTCCCACCTTTTTACCTTGAGAGTTGATAGTTCTCTTGGGGGCTAGTCTAGAAGCGTGTGGGCAGCACAGCAAAGGAGAAACGGCTGGAGCTTTGTGTTTGCCAGATCTCAGGTTCAGATTCCAGTTTTGCTATTAGTTGCCTTGCCTTTAGGAAGTTACCTCATTTCTGTGAGTCTCAGTTGTCCTGTTTGTAAAATGGGGAGAATAACAGATGTGTTGGCAGTATGAGGATGAGACATAGTAGTCAGTGCATGCAATGGCTGGGAGTTCTTACTGTATTGCGACAGCCAAGCTGGCCCTGTTTCTCACTCCCCTGCACCCCCAAAACATGATCTACCTGGGGCTTTGCCAACAGAGACCTATGGGATTGTGGCCCAGGCTCACGCTCATGAAGGTTCTATCTTCGCCTTGTGTCTCCGGAGGGACGGGACAGTGCTGAGTGGTGGCGGGCGGGACCGCCGGCTGGTACAGTGGGGGCCCGGGTTGGTGGCCCTCCAGGAGGCTGAGGTGAGGGCTGGGCTGGGGTCAAGGGAGTGAGGGAGAAGAGCAATAGTCAGTGGGCTCTTGACATTCTGCTACCACTCTGCAGATTCCCGAGCACTTCGGGGCCGTGCGAGCCATTGCTGAAGGGCTTGGCTCTGAGCTGCTGGTGGGAACCACGAAGAATGCATTGCTGAGGGGAGACCTGGCCCAGGGCTTCTCCCCTGTAATCCAGGTTGGGGGTTAAGGGCTCAGGGGAGGAAGGGACAAAGGGGTGTGAGAGAGGGGCAGGAGTGACAGTCATGCTGTGCTGCAGGGCCACACTGATGAGCTCTGGGGGCTCTGCACACACCCCTCCCAGAACCGCTTCCTCACCTGCGGCCACGACCGGCAGCTCTGCCTGTGGGATGGGGAGAGCCATGCACTGGCCTGGAGCATCGACCTCAAGGTAGAGCCCTGTGCCCCTGGATCCCCCATGCCACACCCACCAGGACACCTGTGGCCACCACGCCTTCCCCAGCACCTTGCCTTCTGCCTCCCAGAGGTGGCCAGTTTGTACTGGTATGGCTGCACTGGCTACTCAAATATTAATTTTTCTGTACTGACTGGTAAAAGCTGATGCTTCTAGTACCACCTGGGCACTCCCTGCCGCCCCCAGAACCCCTCAGACTTCCTCTTGATCCAGCACCTAAATGGTTAATCTCCAGCACAGCTATTGGCATCAGTTCTGTGGTTAAATATTTTGGTATCACTCCCTGTTCAGGCTCCAGTGATACCCGGGTATCCCTTCCCTCTCTTCCCATCTTCTCCTTGGGAGTAAGTGGCTTTGAAGTTAGGAGGACAAGGGGTTCACTCTGGTTCCCTCACTAGAAAGACATCATCTTGAATTCACCTTCTCCCCTCTCCCAGGAGACTGGTCTCTGTGCTGACTTCCACCCGAGTGGGGCAGTTGTGGCCGTAGGACTGAACACGGGGAGGTGAGAGAGAGCCAGGACTCCCAGGAGGGAAAGCAGGGAGGACTGGGAAGGGTTCCTGGTACTGGGGGAGTGGGCGAGAGTGACCACCTCTACCCAGGAGCCACCTGCGCCTTGGCACTCCTCTGTGCCTCTCCCTGCAGCCCCTGCCACCCGGGCTCCCCTCCTCTTCTGTGGTAACTGTTTCTCCCCCTCCCCCAACCCAGTGTCTCCTCCAAGCCTGGGAGTGGAGGAGGCAGCAGCCCAGGATAGAGAAACAGTGGGAATGGGAGGGGCATAGACAAACACAGGGAAGTGACAGGCTTCCAGCTTGCACAGTGCCTTTGTAGTCGGCCCCTGGTCTGTAGTTTCAGATTACTTTTTCAGACGACATCAGAAGCCCCTCAGCCTTTATCCACACTTAGCTCCTTCCCATTTCTCAGCATAAGAATGCAGTGGTGGCCAGGTGCGGTGGCTCACGCCTGTAATCCTAGCGCTTTGGGAGCTGAGGCGGGTGGATCACTTGAGGTCAGGAGTTCAAGACCAGCCTGGCCAACATGGTGAAACCTCGTCTCCACTAAAAATACAAAAATTAGACGGGCATGGTGGTACGCACCTGTAATTCTAGCTACTCAGGAGGCTGAGGCATGAGAATCACTTGAACCCAGGAGGTGGAGGTTGCGTTGAGATCTTGCCACTGCACTCCAGCCTGGGTGACAGAGTGAGACTCTGTCTCAAAACAACAACAACAACAACAACAAACTAAAAAAGAAGAATGCAGTTGTGACCTGTCTTCTACATCAGAGCCTTTCTGTGTGTGTCTCTGAGCTTCTCTTATTTGCCATCCCCAAGCCTACCCAGGGTGGCCTCCCTGGGGGTCTCCTTACATCCTGCCTTTTCGTCTTCCTATCTGCCTCCACTTCCCTCCCTTCCAGGTGGTTGGTTTTGGACACAGAGACCAGAGAGATCGTGTCTGATGTCATTGATGGCAATGAGCAGCTCTCAGTGGTCCGGTACAGCCCAGGTGGGAGCCACCCCAACCCTGGACTCACATGCGTCCCTGGCCCTTCCCTCTCTGAGTGACTGTATTTGCAGATGGGTTGTACCTGGCCATTGGTTCCCATGACAACGTGATCTACATCTATAGTGTTTCCAGTGATGGTGCCAAATCCAGCCGCTTTGGCCGCTGTATGGTGAGGAAGTTGGGGTGTGTGGTGGGGCATGATAACAGCTGCGAAACTCAGGGGTCTGATGCATCAAGGGGGCTCTGGGGATGGGAAATGGATGGGATACTTTAAAACTCTTGACCTTTGCTCCCAGGGTCACTCCAGCTTCATCACTCATCTTGACTGGTCCAAGGATGGGAATTTCATCATGTCCAATTCTGGGGACTATGAGATTCTTTACTGTGAGTGGCAGTGGAGCAGGACATGGGGAGAGGGTAATTGGAGTGGGTTTTGTGTAGGGGGGGCTGTTAGAGGTGTTGTTAGATAAGGAAGTGGAGATGGGGTTAAAGTGGAGTTGGAATTATATGTAGGAGAAATTTCGTGATTTGGAAACAACTAGTTTCACACCATGTCTTGTTGACTTGAGGGAGTTCAAAAATGCGCTAAGAAAAGATTGTTTGGGAAAAGTTTCTCAGGGCAAGTGTGGAGCACTTGACTTATCTAGGGAGGAGGAACTCGTGGAAGCTGTTAGAACTTCAGCCAGAGCTCAGGACAGGACGCACACAGGGTGGGTTTCACAGGGGGAGGAGGTGATGCTACTACGGTGACCAGATCACATGCCATCGCCGGGTTTCATGCCAGTCTTTCCAGTCTGGCTTTCCCTGGCATCTTCCCTACTGAGGGCAGGGTGAGAGCTGAGCTGGGCGGGCTCCCTCTCCCCAGGGGACGTGGCTGGAGGCTGCAAGCAGCTGAAGAATCGCTATGAGAGCCGAGACCGGGAATGGGCTACCTACACCTGTGTGCTGGGCTTTCACGTCTACGGTGAGCAGGGGCGTGGAAACCTGCTGGAAGGGTGGGGGACAAGGTGGAGCCCAGTTTGGGCTTGGAACGCTGGGCGTGTGTCGTTGGGTGAGAGTCCAGAAACCTGAAGATCCAGCCCAGGAGGCCCCTCGGGACCGGGAAGGCTTGCCTGGAACGCGGCAGTGGGTGGCCGCGGCTGCCGGAGCGCCTGAAATGGTGTAGCTCTGGGCCGTGGGTGGCGGTGGGTAGGAGGTCGGGCTGAGGCCGGCCGCTGTGCTAGGCGTCTGGCCGGACGGCTCCGATGGGACCGACATCAACTCCCTGTGCCGCTCCCACAACGAGCGCGTGGTGGCGGTGGCCGACGACTTCTGCAAAGTGCATCTCTTCCAGTACCCGTGCGCTCGTGCCAAGGTGAGGCCGCGGGGATCGCCGGGGTGGGACCGGTGGGCCCGAGGGCTCAGCCGCCACCGCAACTCTTCCCTCCGGCCCAGGCGCCGAGCCGCATGTACGGGGGCCACGGCAGCCACGTGACCAGCGTCCGATTCACGCACGACGACTCGCACCTCGTCTCGCTGGGCGGCAAGGACGCCAGCATCTTCCAGTGGCGAGTGCTGGGCGCTGGGGGCGCGGGGCCGGCGCCCGCCACGCCCTCTCGAACCCCCTCCCTGTCCCCCGCCTCCTCCCTCGACGTTTGATCGCTGCCTGGCGGGACCGACTGGCCCGGCGGCGTGGCCCCGCCCCGCCCTGCCCTTCCCTGGCCCAATCCCCCACGACTAGGGGCCGACTCTTTCCTGGACTGACTTCGAGACATTCCCGATCGCGCATTTTCCTGGAGGGCGCGAACGGCGCCCCTGCACACACTGTTTAGACCCGCTGGCTGAGCCGGGCAGCCCCAGCCTAGGCCTTGACTCCCGCTGCCTGCTGAGGGGCAATAAACCAGAACCAAAGTCGCCTCCCGGTGCTTTTGTGGGGCGCTGCCGGGCGCCTCCGGGGCTCTGTGGGGTGGGGACGAAGGAAAAGAGGCGTGCGGAAAGGGTAAGGGAGCGTAGACCATTTATGCAAATGACAGGCAAAGCCGCTTGCAAATAACCTGGCGAAGCGCTAAGGCGCGCGAGTCTTTGGGGCGCGAGGAGGAGCTGCAGGGCTCCAGCGAGGACAGAGTTAAGCCCGACTCCTCTCCCGCCCTCGGAAAAGGGGGTGGGGCCGAGCTGCGACGGAAATAGCCGAGCGGTTGCCCGACAGGAGCCGAACTTCTTCCGGAAGTAGCCGATCTGCGGGGTCTCGCTCTCCGACCTGAGCCGAGCAGTGGGCCTTGTTCTCCGGATCGGCCGAAGGTGTTCCGGAAGGAGGCGAACCCTGAGGCGGGCCCGGCAAGCCTTCCCTGCGGCCGGCAGAGCCCAACGACTAGTGGGACTCCGCGGGGGCGGGGGTAGCTGGAGCCTGGCTCTGGCCTGGCAGGAGCCGAGCTCGTTCCGGAAGAAGCCGAGCGGACGGGGGCCAGCCTCAGCGTCCCGGGAGTGAGGCGATAGCTGCGGCGGCGACAGCGCGGGCCGGGATGAACCGCGACGGCTGAGGCAGCGGAGGTGCCGGCTGCGCGGGCCCCAGTGAGACTCCCTCGAAGCGGCAGCCCACCGTTCGGGGCTTTGCCTCGAGCCGAGCCCTGCCCCCGCGAGCCTCCCGGACCCCTTTGTGCGGCCGGAGGCGGCGGCGGGAACGGCCATGGCGGCCAACATGTACCGGGTGGGAGGTGAGTACCGGGCGCAGGGATACGGGGCCCGGGGCGGGAGAGGTTGGGGTAGGGACCTGAGGGGCTCGGCACCGGGTGGCGCGAGGCGCAGCGTATGGGGCAGCGTGGACCGGAGCGCGGACCGGAACCGGAACCGGGAGACGAGGAGAGAGGGTGCGGGGAACCGCGACGCGGCAGGGCTCCGAGACTCCCAGAGAGAAGCTGCGGGCAGCCCCGACGGCACTTTCGGGGCTGCGTCAGGGGCTCCCCGGGGCACGGAGTGGCCTTCGGAACCGGTTCCGAAGGAGCTGACAGGGTAGGGAGGGAACGCGAGGGGCTGGGGCGACGGCTTTGCCACCGCGGGGGAGCCGCCCGGAGGTTTCCTCTTCCCAGGCGTTATTGTGCGCCTCGATTCGAAAAGGTAGGGGCCCTGCGCTAGAGCGGACAATTACTTCGCCGCGACTGGGGTGCAACTCATCGCTGAGTTGTGGGGACTGCAGGGGAACCCCTGCTTCTTGCCTGTTCCTTAAGGCTCTCTTTTGAGTAAAGGATCTAATTTTAGAACTAGGTGCGGTGGGGATGGGGGACATCCTTATTTTCTCTTAGTCTGTCCACTTTCACATCTCAGCGCCCTTTCTACCTGAATCCTTATCTCCTTTTGATCCACTCAGGCCAACTTTCTCTCCTACCCTGGTGCTCTGCGTCTCCCATCTCCTCTGATCTTCGTGGTTCTCCCCCCTCCCTTCCCTTACAGATTACGTCTATTTTGAGAACTCTTCCAGCAATCCTTACCTGGTTAGACGGATTGAGGAGCTCAACAAGGTGAGTGGAGCAGAATCCCTCTCCCTCCCTCCCGCAGTGGTCTCTTCTGAGGTTTCTAACTTCTGGTGGAAGAGAGGATCCTATACTAAGTACCCATTCATATTCGTTCATTCATTCATTGGATGTATTCAGGAAAGGCTATTGAGAGGTTAGCAGGAACTTTACTATTCTGTCTCTTGGGGGCAAAGGAAAGGGATTTGGAAGTCTATCCTTGAATGTAAGTCTTTACTCATATTTTCTTGGGCTTTTTAATTTAGGTCCCTCTGAAACTTACTGTTATTTGTCTCTTTGTGCATTTCTGTTCCCAGATGATCAATTTCCACTGCTACGTTGTTTTGTTTTTGTTTTTTTCCTCCCCTTAGACTGCAAATGGAAATGTGGAGGCAAAGGTTGTCTGTCTTTTCCGGCGCAGGGACATTTCTAGTAGCCTCAACAGCCTGGCTGATAGTAATGCCAGTGAGTATCTTCCTCCCTTTCTTTTTCTCCTACCCATGATCTGAGGCCTGGGCATGTCCCTGCAGGTATTTCCCCTGGTAGCATGCCCAAGGCAGAGGTGTGAGTTTGGGGGTGGGAAATGCCTGGCCTGAGGAGGGAGGCCTGTTTTTACATGTTGGGGTTGGAAGCAGGGTGGAGAGATTGTGATAAGGAAAGCGATAATATGGTTTGTATATGAGAGTAAGAGAGAGATGATAACATTTAGAGTATGAGGACGAGCTTTAGAGAAACAATGGTTTTCTAAAGGGGGGCAGTTTGGGGTACATTGAGACAGTAGGTGATGACTGAAGGTCAACGTGAAGAGGAAGACATTGTACTGAGAAGCCTGCGTAACAGAGAAGCAGGCTTATTTTGTAATCACAAGGTGATGAGAGTACCTGGAAGTTAGAAGATGGCTGGAAGTTTTCTTGCGCTTTTTAATTTCTCACCTCGCCCATTTCCCCGCCCGCCCCCCTCCATTTTACATCTTTCCCTTTTCATTTTGCCCTATCTTCATTCTCTTTAAGGTCTCATCTTCTTTTTTTAAAAAACATATTTTCCTTAGCTTCTTTTTCCTTTCCTGCTTTGGTTTTCTTTTTCCTTCCTTTTGTTCCACCTTTCTAAATTATTTTCCTTTTTCAGACTGCTCTGGGTGAGAAGGGGTTAAAGAGGAGCCCAGCTTACCAAGTTCCTTGGCCCTTTAGGGTTTCCAGCCCCATCTGGCAGGGGCTGACCTTGGCCTTGTCCAATCAGAAGGGGTGTTGGGGGTGTGGTCCCCCTTGCCTCAGCACAGGGTTTCCGGAGCACACAAGCGAGGGGTGGAGCCTACTGCACAACCCCCCCCTTCTCCCTGAGGTTGGGAACAATACACCAATGAGCCTGGGGCTGAGGTTCTTCTGCTCCCTCCCACTTTGGTTGGCGCCTAGCCAGGTTAACCCCTTCCGCTAGGTTTCAGGGCAAGCTGCAGCTCCTTGGGGAGGAAGGTGTTGGCACTGGCTTGAGAGGTGTTGTCCTTGGAAACCCCAGGAACTATTATTAGCCAAGTAGAAAATGAGGGATAGTTAGGGCTGCATGTGATGTTTTAGAGCAAAGAGTCTCCTGAAATTGAAAAGAACTGGTAAACACAGTCTTGTGTGATATTTTTTCATCTTGAGTTCCTGGACCTCAGGCTGGTTTAGCAAGCAAGAGACAAGTGTGATGTTCTTGCTGGCCCGTTGTGGACTTTGGTGTCTGAGTACTGGCAGCTGGGTAGCGATGTATTTCTAGAGCATTCTTCGTACTCTCAGCAGTTCTTCTCTAAAAGCATTACTGATAGAGTTGGGAGCATCTATGATGGGGCATAGAGCTAAGAAGGAAAGCTGGTGGGATAAGGGTATAGAAGGCAGACGCCTGGGAAATGTGAGAAAAAAACAGCCAAGATAGGAAATATTTTCCCTGAGTTAGAGTTTCCAGGGTGGTGTTTTGCTGGATCCATTTCTGACTTGGTTTCTTCCTCTTTAATCTCCCAGGGGAGTTTGAAGAGGAATCAAAGCAGCCAGGGGTGTCTGAGCAGCAGCGCCATCAACTGAAGCACCGGGAACTTTTTCTTTCTCGGCAATTTGAATCATTACCAGCCACCCACATACGGTACAGGACAACTGGGGCCAGCATAGCCTGCGTGCACTTACGTAGAAGATGGAGAGAAGGAGGTGGTATTGAGAGATGCTGTGGGGAGGGAGAGTGGGGCTCACCGGGGTTTTCCAATCTCTCTCCTATAGGGGGAAATGCAGTGTGACCCTCTTGAATGAGACAGATATCTTGAGCCAGTACCTGGAAAAGGAGGTGAGAAAGAGATGTTGAGAGAAGAGCGAGGGGAATGGGTATTGCCCGCAAAAGAGAGGGGGAAAGGAGCACAATGATGAGGTACAGGGTTGCCAGACTGCCGGTCATGGAAACTCAGATACACCTCCCTCCCCGCCGCCTATGTGGATTGCTGCCTTGCTTACCTTGTCTCTCCCCAATTCCAGGACTGCTTTTTTTACTCACTGGTGTTTGACCCCGTGCAGAAGACACTTCTCGCTGATCAGGGCGAGATTAGAGTTGGTTGCAAATACCAAGCTGAGATCCCAGATCGCCTAGTAGAGGGTAAGCAACAGGACAAGACTGTACGGCTACCAGGTTGTCTAATTCCAAGGGGCACTTTAACATTATAGTCTCTGTGAATGGCGTCACCTGGGGTTGTGCAGTGCACTGTCTGCAGGGCTCTCTGCCATGACCCTGACAGAATGGGCCTGTAGGAACCTGAAAAGGGAAAATGGGAACAGTTGGGAAGAGAAGTCGGAGAGTTGATAGAATCCAAGCAGAAGAAGAGAAGGAGGAGGTGCTATTGTGAATGAAAAGACACCAACTGTTCCCCCCTGCCCTCTCCCTGTTGATGCCATTGTTCTTTTCCCCAGGAGAATCTGATAATCGGAACCAGCAGAAGATGGAGATGAAGGTCTGGGACCCAGACAACCCTCTCACAGACCGGCAGATCGACCAGTTTCTTGTGGTGGCCCGGTGAGGGGTGGGTGGATAGGGAAGATGGGCTGGGGGAGGTGTGGACATTGTTCTGAGTCCCATGGTTCTTAGAGATGGACTTTATTTCTTTCATTGCCATGGATGTTTTCCTTCTTTCTCCTTTGGCTTAATTTCCCAGCCCACTTGGGCTTTTGACTTTTCTTTCGCTTTTGACTTCTCAATTTCTCCCTTAGAGCTGTGGGAACCTTTGCAAGAGCCCTAGATTGTAGCAGCTCCATTCGGCAGCCAAGCTTGCACATGAGTGCAGCTGCTGCCTCCCGAGATATCACTCTGGTGAGCAGAAGTTGGTGGGTAGTTGGGCAGGCTGGGTTTTCTGGGGACTTGCAGAGCCTGGGAACAGAAGAGGAGGGTATCTCTGAGGGAGTGGGAGTGTTTTTTTTTTGTTTGTTTTGTTTTGTTTTGAGAGGAGTCTTGCTCTGTCGCCCAGGCTGGAGTGCAGTGGCGCAATCTCAGCTCACTGCAAGCTCCGCCTCCCGGGTTCACACCACTCTCCTGCCTCAGCCTCCCGAATAGCTGGGACTACAGGCACCCGCCACCACGCCTGGCTAATTTTTTGTATTTTTAGTAGAGACGGGGTTTCACCGTTTTAGCCAGGATGATCTCGATCTCCTGACCTCGTGATCTGCCCGCCTCCGCTTCCCAAAGTGCTGGGATTATGGGTGTGAGCCACCGCGCCCGGCCGGGAGTGGGAGTGTTTTAAGGAGCAGGAAGGGAGTGGTGCCAAAAGTTTCAGGTCCTCAGTTGCTCTCCATCTTCCCCATAGTTTCACGCCATGGATACCTTGCAAAGGAACGGCTACGACCTGGCTAAGGCCATGTCGACCCTGGTACCCCAGGGAGGCCCGGTGCTGTGTCGGGATGAGATGGAGGAATGGTCAGCCTCAGAGGCCATGCTATTTGAGGAGGCCCTAGAGAAGTATGGGAAGGACTTCAATGATATTCGCCAGGATTTTGTAAGTGGATGGCACTAGGAGGAGAAGTGGGAGAGATGACAGGTGAGGGAACCAGGACCTGGGGCCAGATGCCAGCTCATTCTTCCTCCCTCTGCCCCCCTTAGCTACCCTGGAAGTCACTTGCCAGCATAGTCCAGTTTTATTACATGTGGAAAACCACAGACCGGTATATTCAGCAGGTATTATCTGGGCTGGGGAGGGTGGACCATAGGCTACCTGCTGACCTCTGCCTTTGAAGTTGATGACATTCTCCCTGCTATGAGGCTCTGATCCTTCTCTTTCTTTTTACCTTCTTACAGAAAAGGTTGAAAGCTGCTGAAGCAGACAGCAAACTGAAACAGGTCTACATTCCCACCTAGTAAGTGTGGTGGGTAGGGGAGACCAGAGTGTTTTCCTTCCCTTCCCCTAACTTGTGCCTTCCTCAGTGATTGGGGGTGGGCAGGAGGTAGGGGCACACTGAGAGTGGAAATTGATTCTTTTCCTTGACCAGTTTCTTGTTTTTTTCCCTTCTCCTCGCCTTCCCCGTTAGCACTAAGCCAAACCCTAACCAGATCATTTCTGTGGGTTCAAAACCTGGCATGAATGGGGCTGGATTTCAGAAGGGCCTGACTTGTGAGAGTTGCCACAGTGAGTTACGGGGGCACTGGGATGGTGGGGATGGGTGGAAGGCCTGCTGTGGCTCAAGAATCTGAGGGGCTTAGGTAGTATGCTTCTTCCCTGTCCCCCTCCTCTCCGTACTCTACAGCCACACAGTCTGCTCAGTGGTATGCCTGGGGCCCACCTAACATGCAGTGCCGCCTCTGTGCTTCCTGTTGGATCTACTGGAAGAAGTATGGGGGACTGAAGACCCCAACTCAGCTTGAGGGGGCCACTCGGGGCACCACGGTAAGGATCAGTGGGAAGAAAAGCAGGGGAGAGCAGTAAGCATATTGATGGTGAGCTTAGGTGAAGGCCAGAATATTCAACTCTTTATATGGTGATGGTTTGATGGACGGGGTGCTTGATGCTGGTTGGGGAGACACATAGGCCAAGAGGTCAGTAAAGAGATTAGACAGGAATAAATTGTCCCCTGCAGGGAATGGAAGAAAGAAGGGAGCCTCAGTGCTGATTTCTGCTCTCTCTCTTTCCTATGCTCTTCTTCTAGGAGCCACACTCAAGGGGTCATTTATCCAGACCTGAAGCTCAAAGTCTCTCTCCTTACACAACCAGCGCCAACAGGGCCAAGCTACTGGCTAAGAACAGACAAACTTTCCTGCTTCAGACCACAAAGCTGACCCGTCTTGCCAGACGCATGTGCAGGGACCTATTACAGCCAAGGAGGGCCGCCCGACGGCCTTATGCTCCTATCAATGCCAATGCCATCAAAGCAGAGTGTAAGGGCAGGGAGTGGTGGGACTGGTGGTGGGTTTCGGATTGCTCTGCCCAGAGACCGTTGTTTCTCTGGATGTCTAATAACAGGAGGGATAGTAGGCCACAGATAATTTTTTTAAGATTAGAGTTGGCTTCTGGCCTTAGAGGAGACCTGAATGGTGAAGCCCTTCAGAAGCTTTCTTCTTTGTTCTCCAGGCTCCATTCGACTTCCTAAGGCCGCCAAGACTCCATTGAAGATTCACCCTCTGGTGCGGCTGCCCCTGGCAACTATCGTCAAAGATCTGGGTATGGGATGGGGACCAGTGAGGTTGGCATCAGGCTCCCAGTCCTTTCCCTGTCTGACATCTCTCCCCTTGCTTTTTTTCTTCCTCATAGTGTCCTCAGAGATTTAGTCTAACAAACTGTACTTTTGTTGTTTAATAATTTTTTTTGTAAACTATTCAGTATTACTGTACTGATTTGATAAGGTCATACTGATATTTGAAATACTAGTGATAGCTTGCCAGAACATTCCCCCATTGCTACTTTTGGGGATGCCCAGGTAAACTGCTGGTCCAGGGAAGAGAGATGGAAGTAACAAAGGGGAACTGCGTGGGAAGAAAAGGTGCGAAAGTTTTCTGTTTTTTTCCAGTGGCCCAGGCACCCCTGAAACCAAAAACACCTCGGGGTACCAAGACACCGATCAACAGAAACCAGCTGTCCCAGAACCGGGGACTGGGGGGCATTATGGTGAAACGGGCCTATGAGACTGTGAGTTGACAGAAAGGGGTGGGCCAGATTGAGTTGGGTGGGCTTTTGTCTCTCATAGGAGTCTGAGAGGGTCCCTTCCCTCATTGTGCCATCCTACCCCTTTTCCAGATGGCAGGGGCAGGGGTTCCTTTCTCTGCCAATGGAAGGCCTCTGGCTTCAGGGATTCGTTCAAGCTCACAGCCAGCAGCCAAGCGTCAGAAACTAAACCCAGCTGATGCCCCCAATCCTGTGGTGTTTGTGGCCACAAAGGATACCAGGTAAGGCGTCTACCATGGGAGGGGCTGAGAGGGACAGTCCAGGCTGGTGAGTGTGGGGAGTAGGAGTATCAGAGCAAGAGCTCCAGGAAAGTTGTGGATGCAGGGTGGGGATGCCAGAAAAGAATGGGCCAGAAGGCATAATTGCAGTGTGGGGCTTCACCTGGAGGTCTTAATGTTCTCTAAGCCTTTTCTGTTTCCCACTTGCTCTTTCTGGCCAGGGCCCTACGGAAGGCTCTGACCCATCTGGAAATGCGGCGAGCTGCTCGCCGACCCAACTTGCCCCTGAAGGTGAAGCCAACGCTGATTGCAGTGCGGCCCCCTGTCCCTCTACCTGCACCCTCACATCCTGCCAGCACCAATGAGCCTATTGTCCTGGAGGACTGAGCACCTGTGGGGAAGGGAGGTGGGCTGAGAGGTAGAGGGTGGATGCCCAGGGCACCCAAACCTCCCTTCCCTTTCGTGTCGAAGGGAGTGAGGAGTGAATTAAGGAAGAGAGCAAGTGAGTGTGTGTCCCTGGAGGGGTTGGGCGCCCTCTGGTGTTACCACCTCGAGACTTGTCTCATGCCTCCATGCTTGCCGATGGAGGACAGACTGCAGGAACTTGGCCCATGTGGGAACCTAGCCTGTTTTGGGGGGTAGGACCCACAGATGTCTTGGACAGTTTTGGGGGGAGGGTTTTTTAATTTTTTAAAAATTTTGCCTCCCTTTGTGAAAGGGGATGGGGAGGGGAAGAGTAAACAGATAACAGGTGGTGGTACCTGGTTGGGGGAGGGGGGCGTGCACTGCCATGTCTTTTTTTTTTTTTTTTTTTTTTTTTTTCCTAATTGGGGGTTTCTCTTTCTGTCCGGTGTCCGGACTTTCCTAATTGGAGTTTGAGGCCCCTAAGCTGGCATCAACCCCAGGCCACGCTCGCTCTTTCCTTCCCTCCCCTCCCCCTCTGCCTTTTGTACGCCAGTTCTCAGAAATAAAGATCTTTTGTCCGTTTTTTTAACCTCGGATTCTGTAATTGGTTCTTATAGTAACAAATAAAAAGCTGTTTTCTTCAGCTTCTCCTGGCTCAGCTGTTCTTTGCCATGGGTGTGTGTTGTGTGTGTGTTGGGGGTGTCTTTGAGAGGGAAAATAAAGGACAAAGGACAACAAAGGAGGTACAGATGGTTCTTGCCCTGGGAACAGCTTTATGAGATAGGCAGCCTGGACCCAGGCGGCTTGCTCCAGCTAGGCTTCTTGTGGGACCCAAACTGCTCCCCAGCTCCCAGTGGTGCTGGAGCTCAAGAACCATCTTGGCCCAGATTCATTCAAAGGAGTTGAGATGAGCTTTCTGGATGACTGGTGGCCTCCATAGGAAAGGGGAATGGGGGTGTTTCTTCCTCTGTTTCCCACCTCTTACTCCCCTCTCCCTTTTGTTTAAGGAATTCTGGAAGTTGCTAGCAGCCAGGGTAACATGTATACCCCCTTGGGGGTGGTGGTGGGGTTATAGGAGGATCCCCTCACCTAGCTGTGTGGTGTATTTGGCAGACGAGAATTCTACCACTGAACCACCCTAGCACCTCTGGGTGTATGTGTACAGCCTGCTGCTTCAGGATCCTCAAGGCCAGTCTCGATGATATCCCGATCCACTGTAGCACTGTTTCCTGCCTTAAAGGTTTGGGACACTGAGATTAGATGCCTGAGCTGGGCCCATTAGAAGGAACACCTTAGGATAGAGAACAAGAAGTTCAGCCTGCTGTGTGCTCCTTGGGCACTTCCTTTAGAGATGGGAAACGGCCTCAACAGTTGTGACTTGTTCAAGGTCAAAGACCTTGGTGTCTGCCTTAGGTCCACTGCTCTTTGCGCCATTCAAAGCTGTGGGCTGATAACCACAGCACAAGCTGCTGAGCCCATCTGATAGTTCTCTCCACCTCGTTATGGTCCCTGTCCCTAGGGCATCCCCAGCTCCCCGTAGTCCCTCCCTGTCCTGAGCCTACACCTCGGCGGCGTTGGGATGAACTGACAATTATACCAGGAGGGGGTTGACAGCATTCGCCCCCTCCAGTGTCTAAACTCAGTTACTGGCACTCGGTTTTGTCTTGTCGCACTGCTCTGAGGTGCGCCAGTAGCTCTGGCGCCTCCGGCGTACACCACGCAGCCCACTACTGCGGAAGGAATGGGCCTGGCTCCAGGACCTCGTGGAGTCCGGAAGGTGCCCGGTGGTGGCAGAGCTCCCCAACCAGGGCTAGAAGCCGTCGCAGAACACCCGTTTTGCGGGAGGACAGGGGGCGGAGGGAGGGAGTAACAGCCCTGAAAAGGTTGGAAGTCCAGGGACAGCCCTGGGCTCCGTGGGGCAAAGAATTGGAAGCCGCCGATCCTCCGCCTTTATTCGTCGGGTAAATAAGGGTCGAGGGTACAGACGCACGGGTGTCTACTGCGGGGTGAAGGAGCTGCCGCAAGATGCCACCCGGCGCCGGCCTTTGTGGCTGCTGTCATGAATATTCACGATGCTTTGGGCCAATCAACGTCTGAACAGCTTAAAGCACACCAATCGGCTTACCGCATGCAGATAAGCATCGTAACGCGCCGCTTTTCCTGAAACGGGCGGGGACTGGACAGCGGCTAGAAACGGAACCCAGAGTCGAAGGAGCTTGGTTTCCGGAGGAGTGTGTCCGCGCAATTGAACGACTTTATGTCACTTCCTATCGGATCGGCGGAAGTTGCTTCCGAGCGCGTTGAGCTTTGGCGAAGTGGGTTCCGGTGGTGGCAGAGGTGCTTGTGTTTTTGTCGGTACAGGAGAGTCGCTATGGCGGCGGTGGATTCGGATGTCGAATCGCTGCCGCGTGGGGGGTTCCGCTGCTGCCTCTGCCACGTTACTACAGCCAACCGTAAGCGGTGGCTAGTGAGGGACCCGGGGGTGGTTGCGGGCTTTCGTCTTTTGATCCTGGCGAAAGTTAGGGTTATAGGTAGTCAGTCGTTCTTGTCAAGTTGATTGGTAGGGTCTCTCACCTCCGTTTTTCTCTGCAAGTCCGAGGGGATTTGGAGAGTCGGGAAAGTTCCACCACATTACACTCCTCAGTATATGAAATCTCCACAACGCAAGTTTAATTGTTTTATTACTTCTTTAACCATCATCTATTGGACATATGCTCTGTGCCTGGTATTCTGCTGATCTTTAGGGTGGGGGAGGGGGGTTCAGAGATGAAGGAGCTCACCGTCTAGAGAATGAGAAAGTTTCAATGCTTTATAGATATGTTCGGAGAACTGTGGGACCACAGAGAATTAGTAACTAAATCAGAGAAGCCCTACAGAGGACCTACTCAAAGGAGGGGATGGATGAAATAGGTGTGGCATGAATGACTAGACCATAAGGTACCAGTGAGGAAGAGACAGAAGATGGGTTTGGAAAAATAGACAAGGTTCTTGTATGACACACAAGGGGTTCACTGTAACTTCAAATTCCACTTTTTTTTTTTTTTTGAGACAAGGTCTTGCTCTGTCACCCAGGCTGCAGTGCGGTGGTGTGATCTTGGCTCACTGCAGCCTCAACCTCCCGGGCTCAAACCATACCCCTGGCTAGCCTCCCAAGTAGTTGAGTCTACAGGTGTGCACCACCATACTTGGCTAATTTCTTTTTTCTTTTTTTTTTTTTTTTGAGACAGAGTCTCACTCTGTCACCCAGGCTGGAGTGCAGTGGCACGATCTTGGCTCACTGCAAGCTCCACCTCCTGGGTTCACCCCATTCTCCTGCCTCAGCCTCCCGTGTAGCCGGGACTACAGGCACCCGCCACCACGCCCGGCTAATTTTTTGTATTTTTTAGTAGAGACGAGGTTTCACCATGTTAGTCAGGATGGTCTCGATCTCCTGACCTCGTGACCCGCCCGCCTCGGCCTCCCAAAGTGCCGGGATTACAGGCCTGAGCCACCGCGCCCGGCCTACTTGGCAAATTTTTTAGTTTTTTGTAGAGATGGGTTTTCACCATGTTGCCTAGGCTGGTCTCCAATTCCTGGCCTCAAGCGATCTTCCCATCTTGGCCTCCCAAAGTGCTGGGATTACAGGCGTGAGCCAATGTGCCCAGCCCTACTTTTGAAGTCTGGAATCACAGTGTTCCCTAAACAGGGTTTACTTCCATTCTTCCTTTTCACTGTGAATGGCACTATCACTGTTCATCCAGTAAGCCAAGCCAGAAACCTAGGAGTCTTCTTTGGCCCCACATTTACTTTGGTGACATCAAGCAGCTAACTCAATAAAATAATAGCAACGGTTAGTTTTTCAACATTTACCGTGTACCAGACTCTCTCTGCCAAGTGATATATCTGAATAATACCTGTGTGTGAGGTGCTAGATACTGATATTTCCATTTTATATCTGAGGAAGTTGATGCACAGTGAGGCTTCATAACTTGACCAAGGTCTCACACAGGTTGACAGAGCTGGGATTTGAACTTGGGCAATGTAATTTCAGATCCTGCCTTTGACATCACTATATTATACCATGTCCAAAGATGATCCACAAAGTATTCCATGATCCAAATTTTTTTAGTTCTTGTGTAGATGACCTGGATAAGTTACCTGTTAATTTGTTTCCAACTCTACCTAGCACAAATAGGTGGTTTAAGAAATACTTTACTATCACACTGTTCTTTAAGTAAAAATAAACAAAATACTTGTAGTGTAGCCAGTTCTCCTGGGAACCCTCGTCTCTACTAAAAATACAAAAATTAGCCGGGTGTGGTGACACACGCCTGTAGTCCCACCTACTCACGAGGCTGAGGCAGGAGAATTTCTTGAACCTGGGAGGCAGACGTTGCAGTGAGTGGAGACTGCGCCACTGAACTCCAGCGGGGGCGACAGTGAGACTCTGTTTAAAAAAAATAAATTAAAAAAAAAAGAATGTACTATTTAGACAAATGTATAAGAGAGGAAGGTGAAAGGAGCCAGGACTTTGTTTATTCAAAGGTCACAGTTTCTGTGGCTTGGAAGGATCAGTAAGATTTAGGTATGCAGAGAGCAAAGGCAGACACGTCGAAGAGTGCTTTGCATGTTTTTGTCTCACACTTGTCTTTGCAGGACCCAGCCTTGATGCCCACTTGGGAGGCAGAAAGCACCGGCACCTGGTAGAACTACGAGCTGCGAGAAAGGCCCAGGGACTTCGAAGTGTGTTTGTCAGTGGCTTTCCCAGGGATGTGGATTCTGCTCAGCTCTCTGAGTACTTCCTAGCATTTGGACCTGTGGCCAGTGTTGTCATGGACAAGGACAAGGTAAAGTGAATGGCTCTCGGGTTAAAGAATGAATCAGTGCTGGGCGCGATGGCTCACGCCTGTAATCCCATCACTTTGGGAGGCTGAGGCAGGCGGATTACCTGAGGTTAGGAGTTTGAGACCAGCCTGGCCAACATGGTGAAACCCCATCTCTACTAAAAATAAAAAATTAGCTGGGTGTGATGGCGCATGCCTGTAGTCCCAGCTACTTGGGATGCTGAGGCAGGAGAATCGCTTGAACCCGGGAGGTGGAGGTTGCAGCAAGCTGAGATCGTGCCACTGTGCTCCAGCCTGGATTACAGAGCAAGACTCCGTCTTAAGAAAAAAAAGAATGAATCAGATGTGCTGTGTACCAAAGAGACAAGAGAGAGAAACCAACAGCCTCTTTGAGCTGGTTCCTAATGTGGCTTATTCTTGATGGACATCACAGTACTTGGGCTAGACCAGCTTTGGGAGCTTCTCACACCTCCCCCACCCCTTGAATTTTTATTTTTATTATTATATTTTTGAGTGCAGTGGCACAATCTCAGCTCACTGTGACGTCTACCTCCTGGGTTCCAGCAATTCTCACACCTTAGCCACCCAAGCAACTGAGATTACAGGCGCGTGCCCCCATGCCCAGCTAATTTTTGTATTTTTAGTAGAGACAGGGTTTCACCATGTTGGCCAGGCTGGTCTCGAACTCCTGACCTCAGGTGATCCGTGCACCTCAACCTCCCCAAATGCTGGGATTACGGGCGTGAGCCACTGCTCCCAGTCCCACCCTTTGGATTTTATCACTTCACCAGAGTTAGTCACTGGGGGATTTTTTTGTGTGTGTCATCTATTGATTCAGTGAATTCTTTGCCAAATATTTATTCACAGCTAACTTTGTACTAGGCACTATGCTTAGGGCTGCATTCTGAGTAGTGAATGGGGTAGATATGGTCCCTGCTCTCACAGAGCCTATAGTCTAGAGGAGAAAGTAAACAATTAAGTAATTATAGTGAAAGTTGGTGCTTAAAGAACAACATACCATTGGATCAACTCCACAAGAACCTGGTTGATAAACCAGTTAGCAGTTTATTAACTTACACTGAGGGTACTAAGGTTGTTTGGTTAGAACACCCTGTCCTTTGGAGAGTGTTAGATAAACAAGCTTGTGCTTTTTGTGTTGCTTCCCTGTAGGTTTTGGTCCCTTGAAAAAAGTTCACTGTTGAGGTGCTGTGTTCCTTGGTCATACTGTGGTTCTGAGGCTGTACTCTTGTTATGTAGGCATGGCTTAGGTGATCCAAAATATCCCTTTGCAGCCCAGGTTATCTTTTAGAATGGGGTGGAGCCTGTGTTTGTTAGGGATTGCATTCAGCAACCAAACTACAAATGGCTTAAACAATAGGAATTTAGTTTTTCTCATGTAACAAGAAGTCCAGACCTGGACAGTTCAGGGCTTTGCTGTTTTCCTGCTCTGCCATTATTGGTATGTGGCTCTTCATAGTTACGATACTGCTGCCCCATATCTTCAGAAAAGAAGAAGGGGCAGCTTGTAGGGCAGAGTATAAAAGGTTAGTGTCGGCCAGGTCCAGTGGCTCACGCCTGTAATCCCAGCACTTTGGTAGGCTGGGGCGGGTGGATCATGTGAGGTCGGGAGTTCGAGATCAGCCTGACCAACATGGAGAAACCCCGTCTCTACTAAAAATACAAAATTAGCGGGGCGTGGTGGCACATGCCTGTAATCCCAGCTACTCGGGAGGCTGAGGCAGGAGAATCGCTTGAACCCGGGAGGCGGAGGCTGCCTTGAGCCGACATCGCGCCATTGCATTCCAGCCTGGGCAACAAGAGCGAAACTCCATCTCATAAAAAAAGGTTAGTGTCAGCTGAGTTTGAGTCCCCTCCTCTATTTTTTTTCCTTTTATTCTGAGAAAAATGCCTTTTCTTTTTCCTTTTTTTTTTTTTTTTTTTGAGAGGGAGTTTTTTTGTGGTAGAATTCTGGCCACTGAGATATAAGTAGAAGTTTACTGAGGAGGCCTTTAGAAAAAGTATTTCTCTCGACTGGGCACAGTGGCTTACGCCTGTAATCCCAGCACTTTGGGAGACTGAGGTGGGAGGATCACCTAAGGTCAGGAGTTCGAGACCAGCCTGGCCAACATGGCGAAACCCCATCTCTACTAAAAATACAAAAATTAGCTGGGTGTGGTGGCAGGCGCCTGTAATCCCAGCAAGCAATTCTCCCGCCTCAGCCTCCCGAGTAGCTGGGACTGCAGGCGCGTGCCACCACACCCGGCTAATTTTTGTATTTTTAGTAGAGACCAGGTTTCACCATGTTCGCCAGGCTGGTCTCGAACTTCTGACCTCAGGTGATCCGCCTACCTCGGCCTCTCAAAGTGCTGGGATTACAGGTGTGAACTACTGTGCCTGGCCTAATTTTTTGTATTTTTAGTAGAGACAGGATTTCTCCATGTTGGCCATGCTGGTCTTGAACTCCTGGCCTCAAGTGATCTGCCCACCTCAGCCACGCAAACTGCTGGGATTACAGGCGTAAGCCACTGTGCTCCGCCTAATGATTAACATTTTTATTGAGGAACTACTATGCATCAATTGTGTGCTAAGCACATTATGTACACTTGCATCTAATCTCCACAACATTCTCTTAAGGGAAATGGTCAGTAGGCAGTTGGAGATTTGGGAGTTTAAGACACTGCTTGTGAGGCAGTTACAAGTTACTTAACCTCTTTGAGTTTCAGTTTCTTAATTTGTAAAATGGAAATAATAATACATACTTCGTAGGTGTCTTATGAGCCTCAGACATCGTTTGTGTGAACTGCTTAGTTTATAATAAGCCCTCAACAAATAGTAACTCTAGCTATGGATGGTGGTGTTGAGAGGACAAAAATGGCAAGGACACAGGCTCCTTATTTTTATTTATTTATTTATTTGAGATGGAGTTTTGCCCTTGTTGCCCAGGCTGGAATGCAGTGGCGCGAACTTGGCTTGGGGCGATCTCAGCTCACCGCAAACTCTGGCTCCCGGGTTCAAGTGATTCTCCTGCCTCAGCCTCCCGAGTAGCTGGGATTACAGGCATGCGCCACCGCGCCTGGCTAATTTTGTATTTTTAGTAGAGATGGGGTTTCTCCATGTTGCTGGTCTGGAATTCCCGACCTCAGGTGATCCGCCTGCCTCGGCCTCCCAAAGTGCTGGGATTACAGGCTGGGATTACAGGCGTGCGCCACCGTGCCAGGCCTGTTTATTTATTTTTGAGGTGGAGTCTCATTCTGTCTCCCAGGCTGGAGTGCAGTGGCACGATCTTGGCTCACTGCAACCTCTGCCTCCTGAGTAGCTGGGTTTACAGGCGCCTGCCACCATGCCCGGCTAATTTTTGTATTTTTAGTAGAGACGGGTTTCACCATGTTGGCCAGGCTGGTCTGGAACTCCTGGCGTCACATGATCTGTCCGCCTCAGCCTCCCAGGGTGCTGGGATTACATGCATGAGCTACCACGCCCAGCTGACACAGTCTTCTGAATCTGCCAGTCCTGCCCTCCCTGATGCCTTCTGTGAGGTTTTGGAGAAAAATAGGAGCACAGACAGGCCCAGTGAAAGAGACTCTTAATTTCCATCTGGGGCTTTGGTTACAAACTTGGTGGTGTACTGCAGTCTGGTAAACTGTGGTTTATTAGAGTCAGAAGACTGGCCTGGGCAGGTCCAAGTAGCTACCTTTGTCCTTGGCCTCACTTCAGTTCTTTGCTGTGTTTGGCATAGGGGTAGAAGTAAGTCTGCGCATGGTGATGTGCCCCTATCATCCCAGCTACTGAGGAGGCTGAGGCGGGAGGTTCGCTTGAGCCCAGGAATTCAAAGCTACAGTGAGCTATAATCACATCACTGCACTCCAGTCTTGGTGACAGAGCAAAATCCTGTCTTTAAAAAAAGAAGGGTGTGGCCGGGCCAGGTGGCTCACACCTGTAATCCCAGCACTTTGGGAGGCTGAGGTGGTTAGATCACCTGAGGTCAGGAGTTTGAGACCAGCCTGGCCAACATGGTGAAACCGTCTCTACTAAAAATACAAAAAAATTAGCTGGGCGTAGTGGCAGATTCCTGTAATCCCAGCTATTCAGGAGACTGAGGCAGGAGAATTGCTTGAACCCGAGAGGCGGAGGTTGGAGTGAGCCGAGATCGTGCCACTGCACTCCAGCCTGGGCAACAGAGCGAGACTCCTTCTCAAAAAAAAAAAGTAAAATAAAATAAATAGTATACAATTCATTGGTTGGTTATTTACTATTGGGTAAAAAAATAAACAAACAAAAAGTATACAATTGGCTGGGCATGGTGGCTCATGGCCTGTAATCCCAGCACTTTGGGAGGCCGAGGCAGGTGGATCACCTAAGGTTAGGAGTTGGAGACCAGCCTGGCCAACATGGTGAAACCCCATCTCTACTAAAAATACAAAAAATTACCTGGGTGTGGTGGTGGGCACCTATAATCCTAGCTACTCGGGAGGCAGAAAGCAGGAGAATCACTTGAACCTGGGAGGCAGAGGTTGCTGTGAGCCAAGATCGTGCCACTGCACTCCAGCCTGGGTGACAGAACGAAACTCCATCTCAAAAAAAAAAAAAAAAAAAGTATACAATTTAGGGGTGGGTGTGGTGGCTGATACCTGTAATCCCAGCCCTCTGGGAGGCCGAGGTGGGAGGATCACTTGAGATCAGGAGTTTGAGACCAGCCTGGCTAATGTGGTGAAACCACATCTCTATTAAAAATACAAAAATTAGCCAGGTGTAGTGGTGCGTGTCTTTGATTCCAGCTACTAGGGAGGCTGAGGTAGGATAATTGCTTGAACCCCGGGAGGCAGAGGTAATAATGAGCCGAGAGTGTGCCACTGTACTCAAGTCTGAGTGACAGAGACACTCTGTCTCAAAAAAAAAAAAAAAAAAATACAATTCAGTGAGTGTTAGTATATTCACAGGGTTCTTCAACCCTCATGACTGATTCCAGAATGTTTTCACCACTCCAAAAAGAAACGCCTTATCCTTTCTTGGTTACTTCCCATTTGTGATTTAGGCCTGTGTACTGGTGAAGCCATCCTCCTGGTTGAGTTAATTGTTATGTATGGTGTGAGGTAAAGGTTCAACATCATTGTTTTGCATGTGGCTATCCAGTTGTCCCAGCACAATTTGTTGACAAGACTGTTCTTTCCCCATTGAATCTTCTTGACACCGTTGTTCAAAATCAGTT
Organism: Homo sapiens; assembly: GCF_000001405.40. Classification (NCBI taxonomy): domain Eukaryota; kingdom Metazoa; phylum Chordata; class Mammalia; order Primates; family Hominidae; genus Homo; species Homo sapiens. Next base: position 62,583,827 of record NC_000011.10, on the reverse strand, counting down.
GACCAAAGATGTGTGAATTTCTTTCAGGGTCTCAATTCCATTCCCTTCATCTGAATGTCTATCTTTATGCTAGCACCACTCTGTCTTGGTGCTACCTTACTCTAGCAGGAACCTTTTTATAAACAAGATGAGGGTCCAGCTTTACCATTGGAGGATATAAAAGAATATGGACTTTTTTGCCTAAAGCAGTCCTGTTTTTCCTCTTCTTTTTTTTTCTTTTTGAGACGGAGATTCGCTCTTGTTGTCCAGACTGGACAGACTGGAGTACAATGCACAATCTCGGCTCACAGTAACCTCCGCCTCCCGGGTTCAAGCAATTGCCTCCTGAGTAGCTGGGATTACAGGCATGCACCACCATATCTGGCTAATTTTGTATTTTTAGTGGAGATGGGGTTTTGCCATGTTGGTCAGGCTGGTTTTGAACTCCTGACCTCAAGTGATCCACCCGCCTAGGCCTCCCAAAGTGTTGAGATTAGGCGTGAGCTACTGCGCCCGGCGTTTTTCCTCTTCTTGCTAATATTTTACCTTTAAAAAAATATGGCCAGTGAATATCATTGAACTCACCAACTTACAACAATATAGTTGTTATATTGCTGTTATTCCTAGATAGTGAGTTCTTGAAGACAGGGTTTATGAGTTTGTATTTATGCCTCGCACAGTGTTTATTACATGAATTGATTTTTTTTTTTTTTTTTTTTTGGAGACAGAGTCTCCCACTGTCGCCCAGGCTGGAGTGCAGTGGCGCCATCTCAGCTCACTGCAAGCTCCGCCTCCTGGGTTCATGCCATTCTCCTGCCTTAGCCTCCCTAGTAGCTGGGACTACAGGCGCCCACCACCACGCCTGGCTAATTTTTTGTATTTTTAGTAGAGACGGGGTTTCACCATGTTAGCCAGGATGGTCTCTATCTCCTGACCTCGTGATCCACCCACCTCGGCCTCCTAAAGTGCTGGGATTACAGGCGTGAGCCACTGCACCCAGCTGCATGAATTGATTTTTTAAAAGATTTTTAAAGTGGACTCATTCTGTTACATGGATCCTTAATAAATGTTTAAAAAAATTCTAATTATATCAGGAAAAGTTATAGGGTGGGTCATAGTGTAATCACATCATTGGGAAGAGTAGGGGACAAATAATGTAGATAAAATGAGGTTTTTAGAGGCAGACTGGGGTGAGAGTAAAATGTTTGGAATAGGAGTGAGGGAAAGAATTGTTTTTCTACTTTTTTTTGAGACAGGGTCTCGCTGTCTCTCAGGCTGGTGTGTAGTGGTGCAATCACAATCACAGCTCACTGCAGCCTCAACATCCTGGGCCCAAGTGATGCTCTTATCATAGCCTCCCAAGTAATTGGAACTACAGGTGTGTGCTGCCATGCCTGGCTAATTTTCTTTTTCTTTTCTTTTTTTTTTTGAGACAGGGTGTGGTTGTGTCACCCAGACTGGAGTGCAGTGGTGCGATCTCGGCTCATTGCAATCTCAGCCCCCGGGCTCAAGCAATCCTCCCATCTCTTCCTCTCCAGTAGCTGGGATTACCTGGCTAATTTAAAAAAATTGTACTGGCCAGGTGCAGTGGCTCACACCTGTAATCCCAGCACTTTAGGAGGCCGAGTTTAGGAGTTTAGGAATTAGAGACCAGCCTGGCCAACATGGTGAAACCCCATTTTTACTGAAAATACAAAAATTAGCTGGGCATGGTGGCATGTGCCTGTAATCCCAGCTACTAGGGAGACTGAGGCAGGAGAATCGCTGGAACCTGGGAGGCAGAGGTTGCAGTAAGCCGAGATCACCCCGCTGCACTCCAGCCTGGGTGACAGAGTAAGACTCCATCTCAAAAAAAAAAAATTGTTTGTAGAGATGGGATCTCACTATGTTGCCCTGGTTGGTCTCCAACTCCTGGGCTCAAGCAGTTCTCCTGCCTCAGCCTCCCAAAGTGCTGGGATTACAGGCATGAGTCACTGCACCTGGCTGAAAATTGCTTTTCTAGATATGTCCCCTGTTATTATGAAAACAGCAAGCAAATATTCTCAATTTATGGGATAGTCTCCATTTCAAATATTCTCATCCACTGTAGATCTCGTGCTTAGATTCTTGGTTCCAAAATCATCATCTCTGCCCCTGTTGTTTACCAGGGAGTGTTTGCCATTGTGGAGATGGGGGACGTGGGTGCTCGAGAGGCTGTCTTGTCACAGTCCCAGCACAGCCTGGGAGGACATCGCCTGCGTGTCCGCCCACGGGAGCAGAAGGAGTTCCAGAGCCCGGCCTCCAAATCCCCCAAAGGAGCGGCCCCCGACAGTCACCAGCTGGCCAAAGCGCTAGCTGAGGCTGCAGACGTGGGGGCACAAATGATAAAGCTTGTGGGGCTGAGGGAGTTGTCCGAGGCCGAGCGGCAGCTTCGCAGCCTAGTGGTGGCCCTGATGCAGGAGGTCTTCACAGAGTTCTTCCCTGGTAAGTTACCTCCCCTACTATGTCTGAGCCCTCCCTGGCCTTTGCTCTCCTGTGTCTGTATCCCCAGTCCTTCCTCCGCTAGAGGTGTTTGGTTGCTCTTCCATCTTTGTGCTCTGTTTTGTTCTTCCCCCTGCTCCTCCCTAACTTCTCTTGACCTTTCTTCTCTGCTCGGCACCCAGGCTGTGTGGTCCACCCTTTTGGCTCTTCCATAAATAGCTTCGATGTCCATGGCTGTGATCTTGACCTCTTCTTGGATCTGGGTGACTTGGAAGAGCCCCAGGTGAGTGAGTGTCCCAGGGAGGCAGCTGGGAAAAGTCCATGAGAATGGCCATGTGACTGTGGGCAAGTCCTTTAGCTCTCCATGTCTTAGTTCCTCATCTACAATGCAGATAATAGGACCTACCTGAAAGAGTTTATTGTAATTGGAGAGATGTGAATATGGATGAGTATTAGATAGGATGAAAATGAACTGACAGGGCCAGGCGCAGTGGCTCGCGCCTGTAATCCCAGCACTTTGGGAGGCTGAGGTGGGTGGATCACCTGAGGTCAGGAGTTCAAGACCAGCCTGGCCAACATATAGTGAAACCCCCATCTCTACTAAAAAAAAAATACAAAAATTAGCTGGGTGTGTGGTGTACACCTGTAGTCCCAGCTACTTGGGAGGCCGAGGCAGGAGAATCACTTGAACCCGGGAGGCAGAGGTTGCAGTGAGCCGAGATTGTGCCACTACACTCCAGCCTGGGTGACAGAGGGAGACTCCTCAAAAAAAAAAAAAAAAAAAAAAGAATTGACATGGATACCTGGCAGTCATAACAAAAAAAAAATTTCAAAATGGTGTGTGCAATATGATCTTATTTTGGAAAAAATATATTTAAAATTATACAATAAGGTCCTTTTAGTTTTGCTTATGTGTATTTTTTTTTTTTGAGAGACCGTCTAACTCTGTCACCCAAAATGGAGTACAGTGCTGTGATCTCGGCTCACTGCAACCTCCACCTCCTGGGTTCAAGTGATTCTCGTGCCTCAGCCTCCCAAGTAGCTCGGAATACAGGCACACGCCACCATGCCTGGCTAATTTTTTGTATTTTTAGTAGAGATGGGATTTCTTCATGTAGGCCAGACTGGTCTTGGACTCCTGGCCTCAAGTGATCCACCCACCTTGGCCTCCCAAAGTGCTGGGATTACAGGAATGAGCTACCATGCCCGGCCACTTAACCTGTATTTTCTAACATCTAATGTACAGATTCTGTTTAGGAAAGGATTATTATTATTACTTAGAAATAGGGTCTCACTATGTTTCCCAGGCTGGTCTCGAACTCCTGGGCTCAAGGAATCCTCCTGCCTCATTCTCCCAAATTGTTGGGATTACAGGTTTAAGCCCCCATGCCCAGCCTATTATTATTTTCAAAAAATAGACTTGGCCGGGCGCGGTGGTTCACGCCTGTGTAATGCCAGCACTTTGGGAGGCAAGGCAGGTGGATCACCTGAGGTCAGGAGTTTGAGACCAGCCTGGCCAACATGGTGAAATGCTGTCTCTACTAAAAATACAAAAATCAGCCGGGTATGGTGGCACGTACCTGTAATCCCAGCTACTCAGGAGGCTGAGGCAGGAGAGACAGCTTGAACCCAGGAGGCGGAGGTTGCAGTGAGCCGAGATCGCGCCACTGCACTCCAGCCTGGATGACAGATTGAGACTCCATCTCAAAAAAAAAAAAAAAAAAATGGACTTTATTTTTTAGAGCAGTGTTAGATTCACAGCAAAAGTGAGCAGAAAGTAGTTTCTATATGCCTGCTGCCCCCGCAACAGGAGTTTTAAAATGTTTTATCATTATTTTTATCTTTCTCTACACACACACACTCTCTATTTATATTTTCTGAATCATCTGAGAGAAGGTTGCATGTATCACATTCCTTTACCCCTCAATACTTCAATGTGTGTTATGCAAGAACAAAGGTATTCTAGTGTAAAGGTATTCTAGTGTATAACCACAGTACCATTATCAAGTTGAGGAAATGTTACATTGACACAGATGTAAACCTTTACAGACTTTACAGTCCATACTCTAATTTGGTCAGCTGTCCTGTCAATGGACTGTTACAGTTTCTCTTTCGTCTGTAATAGTTCCTCTGTTTTTGTCTTTCACGACAATGACATTTTTTGCAGAGGTAGACCTTTTATTTTATAGAATTAAAAGGTTATCTTTAAAAAAAAAAAGGGTTCCTGTGAAGATTAAATGAGTTAATATGTATAAAGACCTTAGAATAGAGCTGAATAAGCTGGAAGTAATATTATCTTGAGAGATCCCTGCTTAGGGAACAGCAGAAACATTTCACTCAGTTCATTTCTGTCCACAGCCAGTCCCAAAGGCTCCAGAATCTCCATCGCTGGACTCGGCCCTGGCTTCCCCACTGGACCCTCAAGCCCTGGCCTGCACCCCAGCTTCCCCTCCAGATTCACAACCTCCTGCTTCTCCCCAGGATTCTGAAGCCCTGGACTTTGAAACCCCTTCCTCCTCCCTGGCGCCCCAAACTCCGGACTCTGCCTTGGCCTCCGAGACCCTTGCTTCTCCCCAGTCTCTGCCTCCAGCTTCACCACTGCTAGAGGACAGGGAAGAGGGGGACCTGGGGAAGGCCTCGGAACTAGCAGAGACCCCAAAGGAGGAGAAAGCAGAGGGGGCAGCAATGCTGGAGCTGGTGGGATCCATTCTCCGGGGCTGTGTCCCTGGGGTGTATCGAGTCCAAACTGTGCCCTCTGCCCGGCGCCCTGTGGTCAAGTTCTGTCATCGGCCTTCAGGTCTCCACGGTGATGTCTCCCTCAGTAACCGGTACCTTTCTTTTTTTTGAGACGACATTTCACTCGTTGCCCAGGCTGGAGTACAGTGGTGCCATCTTGGCTCTCTGCAACCTCTGCCTCCCAGGTTGAAGTGATTCTCCTGCCTCAGCCTCCCAAGTAGCTGGGATTACAGGCATGCGCCACCACGCCTGGCTAATTTTGTATTTTTAGTAGAGACGGGGTTTCTCCATGTTGGTCAGGCTGGTCTTGAACTCCCGACCTCAGGTGATCACCTGCCTCGGCCTCCCAAAGTGCGGGGACTACAGGCGTGAGGCACCATACCTTTCTTTGGGGCAGGCCAGCTGAGAATTCTGGGATGGGCCAGGAGAGTCTGGCTTGGGAAACTCCTGCACCTGCCAAGTCTCAAGTTTGTCCTTGTTTGGGACCATCCCTCTTTCTGTCCCTTATCTCCTCCTGCCTGGCTTCCATTTCAGTGTTTGTAAAGTGTGTTCCTTAGAATACTACTTTTTTTTTTTTTTTTTTTTTTTTGTGAGACGGAGATTTACTCTTGTTGCCCAGGCTGGAGTGCAATGGTGCGATCTCAGCTCACTGGATCCTCTGCCTCCCAGGTTCAAGCGATTCTCCTGCCTCAGCCTCCCGAGTAGCTGGGATTACAGGCATGTGCCACCACACCCAGCTAATTTTGTATTTTTAGTAGAGATGGGATTTCGCTGTGTTGCCCAGGCTGATCTCGAACTCCTGACCTCAGGTGATCTGCCCGCCTCGGCCTCCCAAAGTGCTGGGATTACAGGCGTGAGGCACCGCGCCCTAGAATACTACTTTCAAGGGATGTAGAAAAGAGCTCTGCGTTGAATAAATTTGGGAAATTCAAAGTTAGATGCAAAAAGGTTTCTCCATTTCCTCCCTTCGCCCCTTGCCCTCTCTCCTTTCCTTCCTTCCTCTCTCTTTTCCTGTCTTTGTTTCTTTGCATAGTAAAGGCTCTGGGCAGTCTTTTTTTTTTTTTTTCTGACATGGGATGTTGCTCTGTCACCCAGGCTGGAGTGCAGTGGTGTGACCATGGCTCATGAACAGTCTTATAATAATGTGCTGTGAATGTCCAGGATGGGCGTACAGGATGAAGTGTTTCCCGAACTCCTTTGTCCTTTCGCACACTGTCTCACAAGATCAGTGAGCAACATTTGGGGAAACTGTTCTGGCCTTATTCCAGCTGGCTCCAGTTATGCAAGTCTGGAATGAAAGCTGGGGGTGGTAGGTTCTGACATCCCCAAGCGCTAACACCCTTGTCCCTGCTTTGTCCCAGGCTGGCCCTGCATAACTCCCGTTTCCTGAGTCTCTGCTCTGAGCTGGATGGTCGAGTCCGGCCCCTCGTGTACACCCTCCGCTGCTGGGCTCAGGGTCGGGGGCTGTCAGGTGAGAATGGATCAGGACAGACTTGGGGCTGAGTTGGTCTCAGGACAAAGGCAGGGATTCAGGGAGAGAAGGGAGGTCAGAATGGGCACCGGGGTTGAGAAAACTGCCAGTGAGGGGATTAGAAGCACCTCTGATCTAACCGGAATTATTGCTTATTTACCCAGGGAGTGGCCCCCTTCTCAGTAACTACGCCCTGACCTTGCTGGTGATCTATTTTCTTCAGACCAGGGACCCTCCTGTGTTGCCCACTGTGTCCCAGCTCACCCAGAAAGCAGGTACTCGGCCTAGCCTCCACCCTCTCCATCTTGTTAGTTTCCTCTCTCTTCTTCATCACACTTAGATACACCAAGCAGCTCTGTGAATGAGATCTCTCTACCCCCACCCTCAATCTCCTTGCTTCCAGACTGACTCTCACCTTATTTACTTTCACAGGAGAGGGGGAACAGGTGGAAGTCGATGGCTGGGACTGCAGTTTCCCCAGGGATGCCTCAAGACTGGAGCCCAGCATAAATGTGGAGCCCCTCAGTGAGTTTGGGGAGCCTGGTAGAGGACTAGTAATGATGTTCATCAACAGTAGGTAACATATATCACACTAACTGTGTGCCAGGCATGGTTCTCACAGAAAGCCTGTGAGATACCTAATATTATTACTGCCATTTTACAGATGAAGAAACCATGTTTGGGAGCAATTAAGTGACTTGCCCAAGGTTACACTGGCTAGCAAGGAGCAGCAGCATCTGGGCAAGGACATCATGTGGGGGCAGGGAGAGAGGTTTGACCTCTTGTTTATAGGGATCAGAGAAGCCTAGCTTCCTGGGACTCTGCTGAGCCCCTTGGAAGGGAAAAAGTCCTGCTAAGGAAATGGCTCTGGTGCAGGACCTGTATCAGTTCTGGCCTCTAAGTGACCCCCCTTTCCCCACTCTTCCTCCTCCTCCAGGTTCCCTGCTAGCCCAGTTCTTCTCCTGTGTATCTTGTTGGGATCTTCGTGGCTCCCTGCTGTCCCTGCGGGAGGGTCAGGCACTGCCTGTGGCAGGGGGCCTGCCTTCTAATCTCTGGGAGGGTCTGCGCCTTGGCCCCCTGAATCTCCAGGACCCTTTTGACCTGAGTCACAATGTCGCAGCCAATGTGACCAGCCGGGTGGCTGGGCGCCTACAGAACTGCTGCCGAGCAGCAGCCAATTACTGCCGAAGCCTCCAGTACCAGCGCCGTTCCTCCCGGGGTCGGGACTGGGGGCTGCTCCCTCTTCTGCAGCCCAGCTCCCCCAGCTCCCTGCTCTCTGCTACGCCGATCCCTTTACCCCTTGCACCCTTCACCCAGCTCACTGCTGCCCTGGTGCAGGTATTCAGGGAAGCACTGGGGTGCCATATAGAACAGGCAACCAAGAGAACGCGGTCAGAAGGAGGTGGAACTGGGGAGTCCTCTCAGGGAGGGACAAGCAAAAGACTCAAAGTAGATGGACAGAAAAACTGCTGTGAGGAGGGGAAAGAGGAGCAGCAGGGATGTGCAGGGGACGGTGGGGAAGACAGGGTAGAAGAGATGGTTATAGAGGTTGGAGAGATGGTGCAGGACTGGGCCATGCAGAGCCCTGGGCAGCCAGGGGACCTGCCCCTGACCACTGGAAAGCATGGAGCCCCTGGAGAAGAGGGGCAGCCCAGCCACGCAGCCCTGGCAGAGCGGGGGCCCAAGGGACATGAGGCAGCCCAAGAATGGTCTCAGGGTGAGGCAGGGAAGGGGGCATCCCTGCCCTCCTCAGCGAGCTGGCGCTGTGCCTTGTGGCACCGAGTGTGGCAAGGGCGGCGGCGAGCCCGTAGACGCTTGCAGCAGCAAACCAAGGAGGGAGCTGGAGGTGGCGCTGGCACAAGAGCAGGGTGGCTGGCGACTGAGGCTCAGGTCACCCAGGAGCTGAAAGGACTGAGTGGTGGCGAAGAGAGGCCAGAAACTGAGCCCCTGCTGAGCTTTGTGGCGTCTGTCTCCCCGGCTGACCGAATGCTCACTGTGACCCCGCTCCAGGATCCCCAAGGCCTGTTCCCTGATCTCCATCATTTCTTACAGGTTTTCCTCCCTCAAGCAATTCGACATCTCAAGTGAAGACATGGCCCCTGAAGGGCAATAAAGCTGCTAGTTTATTAATACAGTCTCCCGTTTCCTTTCATTTCCATCTGGTCATAATCCCCCTTCCCCTCCCCCAGAACTTCCTGCAGCTGCTCCCGTCTGACCCCGAACATGGGTCTCTCCCTGTTGCTCTCCACCCCACCAGCTTCTCCTTCCTACAGTTCGCACAGCTCGAGGGGAGTGCGGGGGCAGCACCGCGCGTGGCACCTGGCACCCGCGCAGAGTTCCTGAATGGCAGAGCGGTGGGTGGCTCCAGCAGTACTGAGAAGAGCCAGGTTTGCCTCCACATTCTTCCTGTCGCCTCAGATTTATGCGCACAAGGACGGAGATTTGCGTTCAGCGTTCTTCATTCTCTCCTTTAAACGAGGAGAGTTCATCCCGTTCTTAAACTGGGTAAGAGATTTCAAACCTGAACATGGGTCAAAAGCCATGAACATCAGAAGCGACGATGTCAGGTCTTCCAGCGTCAGCCCCTCCAGGGGCCGAGTCCGGAGGAGGTGGGAGGGACAGGGCGCGTTCTCCCTCATGTCCCTGCCCTGCTTCGGGCCGGAGGGCCGGTGCCCTGCTCGCAGTAACAGCACCCTGGAGCTGTCAGGGGTTGGATGTGAGCAAACCTCACTTTGGCAGGCGGGTTCAGACCGGGGCCCCTGTTAGACGCTCATCCCTTTCTGGAGGAAAAGCAGAGCAGGAACTAAAGGGATTTAGCACACACACTGCCACCTCCGCGCAGCAGCTGTTCCTCGCTCCCATGAGTTTCATAGAATCATGTGAGGGGCTTGGCAAAATCTACCATCAAGTCACTTGTCCCTGGGAGGGCCAGAGAGGGACGCCCCCAGTAGCACTGGCCGCGCCGGGCCAACAACCGCGCCACGTAGCCAAGAACTCGCGGCTTTTCCAGCGGGTTCTCACAACTTCCCCGCCCTCCACGCTGTCTACCTCCACGTCTAGACTCCGATTGGCCCGCTGCACCTGGGGGGCGGGCCAGTCAAGAGCTCCAATGCGCAGGCCCGAGCTTTTTCCGCGCTGGCCAGCAGGCCCCACCCACCCAGTTCTTTTTCCAATTCAGCGCCACTGGATACCGAACTGTCGTACGTATGTCTTCTGTTTCGTCCTCGCTTTCCGGCTGCTGTTTCTCCACGGCTCTCCTCTTTCCCCCTCCCTTCTCTCCCGGGCGGCTTACTTTGCGGCAGCGCCGAGAACCCCACCCCCTTTCTTTGCGGAATCACCATGGCGGCTGGGGTAAGTTTGCTGGCTCTGGTGGTTCGGGTCATCCTATCCACCGCCATCCTTTGCCCGAGTGGGGCCAGTCGGCGCCAGAGGAGTTCTGAGGTTGAGTGGGGAACTGATTCGGGGGTCTACAGACTGTACTGCTGGAGAGTAGGGTTCCTAGGGCCTGGAGGGGAACTGAGGCTGGGGCTCTCGGAGGCCAGAGGTGGAAGGGTCTGGGGAAGAGGAGAAAAGAGATGCCGGGTCTGGGCCGTCCGAAGCCTGAGAAAGGGGTTCGGCTCTGTTGCCGCTTTGAGGCGTGGTATCTGGGCAGGTTGACGAACTTCTGTGTCCGTTTTGTGGAGTAACACAGGGGACAGGTTGAAGAGGAGGGTCTTTGTAGGCAGGTCCGGCTGGCACGGTTAAAGGTCGTCTCTCAGGGAGGTTTGGGAGCGAGAGGATTCTCCGGACAGTGAAGTCAGACCAATTGGACTCCGCTGGCCGGCATAATAGAGAAGCCCAACGCCGGGGAACTCGCTGCGGGACAGGACCGGAGGGATGATATTCGCGACACGGAAAGAAAGGCTTTTTGAGAGAGAGGAGTTGATTTAAGAAGACGGCATGCCATCCCCTATCTCTGGCTAGTCTGAGGGGAACTAGAAATCTCTCGATCGTCGTGCGTGCCTTAGAGACAGGACGATGCTTTTGAAGCGGTGAGCAGCTGAGCAGTAGAGTAGGCAGGCGCTCGGAACCATCAATGAATGAAGCGAGGGCTCCGGGAAGGGAGGAGAGTATGTTTGTAGGCAGATGGAGTCTGATGGAGCTAGAAGTTCTGGATTTCTTGGAGATAGATTTGAGAGGAAGAGAATACTTCCAGAGGTGTCCTTAGGGAAGGTCAAATCTGTCAACAAGCTTTATTTAGCAGTTGGTGTGTAGTTCTGTTCTTGGTATTTCGGAGGATTCTGATTACATATGACAAGTACTAAAGGACTTGGTTCACCAGAGGAAGTAAAAGGGTGAGTTGAATACATTGGGATTATTCAGGAAAGTCATCCTGGAGAGTGGCATTAAGGACTGGGACCCTTCTACTCATTAATTTTGTCCCTCTCTTTCTCCCATAGACCCTGTACACGTATCCTGAAAACTGGAGGGCCTTCAAGGCTCTCATCGCTGCTCAGTACAGCGGGGCTCAGGTCCGCGTGCTCTCCGCACCACCCCACTTCCATTTTGGCCAAACCAACCGCACCCCTGAATTTCTCCGCAAATTTCCTGCCGGCAAGGTGAGTTGGGAGATGGGGAGCATCCTTCGGTTCTGAGAAACCAAGGCCCTGCGATTCTGTCACTCTGGTGGTGGCCCCCATCTCTAAAAGGGAGCTTCCCATGTTGTTTTATTCAATTTCGGTGATTTTATTTTGAGATAAATACAGATTTACATGTAGTTGTGAAAAAAAATACAGAGCTATTCTGTGACTTTATAAAATTCACGAGTTTACTTTGTGGGAAAGAGAATGAGTTTTGACTAAGCATTTTCAGTGCAAATATATCAGATATCTGTTATGAGCAGAATTCTTACCCCAAGGGGTTTATAGAGATAGGTGAAGAAACATGCTAAGAATGGAGGAGATGAAGTGCTGTGTGGGTCTGGGTCACACACTAATACTTTAACTGATACAGACATTGATACAGGAGTTGCTTTTGGCCTTCTGCTTGTTTGATCCAGAGATTTCATACAAATATCCTGTAATATTCAAATCTATTGGGCTTCCTAGTTAACATTGTGAATTCAGATTGCAAAGGAGGCCAAGTTCTTGAAGTATTTATTTATGGTTCTTGAGTATCAAGAGTTTGGATAGTGAGAATCATCAGCCTTATATAAGTATTTTCAAAGCAGTTTGGCTCCTGGTATTGGTTAGGAAGAAATTTTGTGTGTTTTACCTTATCTTTTCACTGCTTTGTCCCCAGGTCCCAGCATTTGAGGGTGATGATGGATTCTGTGTGTTTGAGAGCAACGCCATTGCCTACTATGGTAATTTGCAGGGGTATATGGGAATGGGAGAATTTGGAGGTGAGGGTGTAGGAGAGGATAAGTGTGAGCGGGGGTGGATATGAAGGAATTCTCCAGGACCTGGACTGGTGTTGGCATTCCCCCAGAGTTCTGACCTTCGTGTTCTGCCTCTGCAGTGAGCAATGAGGAGCTGCGGGGAAGTACTCCAGAGGCAGCAGCCCAGGTGGTGCAGTGGGTGAGCTTTGCTGATTCCGATATAGTGCCCCCAGCCAGTACCTGGGTGTTCCCCACCTTGGGCATCATGCACCACAACAAACAGGTGAGCCTTGGAACTTTGAGAGAAGCCAGGGGCAGGGGTGGCATCAGCTCCTGGGTGTTGGGAGTAAGAAATAAAATAGGTTGAAAAAAAGATGCCAAGGATATGTAGGCAATGAGAAGACGTAATCTCTAGGGTACGAGTTTGAAGCAGTGGGCAGTTGATGGAGGAAGTGTCTGTCATGAGTGATCAGAAGAGGGATTGCTGCTGTGAAGAGATTATACCAAATGGTAAGGGGGTGGCTGGACCAGAGGACCTCTGAAGTTCATTGTTTGTAATACATTTAGAATGACCCTAGGATCTGCCTCCATTGAAAGAGAGTGAGGGTGAGCTCAGACTTCTAGGTGAAAATAGCCCTCTTAGTTCTATTAATGGGGGAGGTGAGGGAAAGGGATTGGTACCCACTGATGAGTTTTATCATGTTGAATCACTAGGCCACTGAGAATGCAAAGGAGGAAGTGAGGCGAATTCTGGGGCTGCTGGATGCTTACTTGAAGACGAGGACTTTTCTGGTGGGCGAACGAGTGACATTGGCTGACATCACAGTTGTCTGCACCCTGTTGTGGCTCTATAAGCAGGTGAAGTTTATGGAAAATCCATTTGGCAGTGGGTAGATGGGGATTAGAAACAAAGTGACGAGGTATCTAGGTTACCCTGTATTCTGCTGAGGACTTGGAAAACAGCTAGAGGTGGGTGCAGTGGCTCATGCCTGTAATCCGAGCACACTGGGGGGCCGAGGTAGGCAGATCACCTGAGGTCAGGAGTTTGAGACCAGCCTGGCCAACATGGTAAAACCCTGTCTCTACTAAAAATACAAAAAATTAGCCAGGTGTGGTGGCGCACACCTATAGCCCCAGCTACTTGGGAGGCTGAGGCACAAGAATCACTTGAATCTGGGAGGTGGAGGTTGCAGTGAGCAGCGATCGCCCCACTGCACTCCAGCCTGGGTGAGAGTGAGACTTCGTGTCAAAACAAACAAAAAACAGCCAGGAATCCCAGGACTGAGTACCATCACTTGCTTTCCATTCTCTTAAGAAGCTGGGTAATGTCTTGCCTTTAGTTTCTGTTTGGCAGCTAAGATGTTTAGTTTGTTGCCATATTTCCTGGGAAGATTGGTTATTCTTAGTTGTGAAGACAGAGGTGATGATGGTAGCTTCAGCATTAAGATCTTTTTGGAGGCAGGCCAGGCACTGTGTCTAACACCTATAATCCCAGCACTTTGGGAGGCCTAGGCGGGTGGATCACTTGAGGTCAGGAGTTCGAGACCATCCTGGCCAGCATGGCGAAACCCTGTCTCTATTAAAAATACGAAAATTAGCCGGGCGTGGTGGTAGGAGCCTGTAATCCCAGCTACTTGGGAGGCTGAGGCAGGAGAATGGCTTGAACCCAGGAGGTGGAGGTAGCAGTGAGCCAAGATCCAGCTACTGTGCTCCAGCCTGGGGGACAAGAGCGAGACTCCATCTCAAAAAAAAAAAAAAAGCTCTTTAAGCTCTTTTGGAGACAGATACAGGTTCAAGCCTTGGCTTCATTGTTTACCAATGTAGGTAAGGGGTTATATGCGGGTGAATTCCTTTAGTCCTGTTTTTTACTCTTTGCAATCTATAAAATCAGGGTAGTAATAATCACTGTCAAGGTTATTGGGTCAAAAAAGAATGACAAGTCACTGGTTTCCAAATAAAAGCTCTTGGACTGATGCTGGTCCAGAATAGTAATGTGATCATAGCAAAAGAAAAAACACTTACTGCATGCCAGACCCTGTGCCAGGGGCCTCATGGGGATCATCTTAGTGAGTGAATCTACTAAGTGGTAGAGTAGAATTTGAACCCAAGTACTGTGGAACCAGCACTCTGACTGCTGTGTTCTGTTTCCATGACAAGATTTTTTTTCCTCTTCTGGTCTTTGCAAACTAAAAAATGACAACAGTTCTACCTGAAGCTTTGCAAACTGAAAACTGACAACAGTTCTACCTGAAGCTGTTTATTCTTATTTTTCTTTGACCATGCTTAATACACCAGACACTAAGTTTAATTTGAAGGACTGTCCATTATTTATTTATTTATGTATTTATTTTGACAGAGTCTTGCTCTGTCACCCAGGCTGGAGTGCAGTGGCACGATCTTGGCTCATTGCAACCTCCACCTCCCAGGTTCAAGCGATTCTCCTGCCTCAGCCTCCCAAGTAGCTGGGATTACAGGCATGCGCCACCAAACCCGTCTAATTTTGTATTTTTAGCAGAGATGGGGTTTTGCCATGTTGGTCAGACTGGTCTTGATCTCCTGAGGACCTCAGGTGATCCACCCGCCTCGGCCTCCCAAGTGCTGGGATTGCGGGGGTGAGCCACCACACCCAGCCAGGACTGTCCATTATTCTAAATGCGTTTGAATATTTTCTTTGAATGTTCTTTACTTTCTGAAGTTTGATGGATGGGTGGGTGTGGGGGGTGTGTGTGTGTGTGTGCGTGTGTGTATAGTATGGCCAATATAGATAGTAAATACCTATAGTGTTTAGATTTTATTTGGCAAAAAAGTCCTCGATAGCCCTCTGTGGGTCTCAATCTTTTTTTTTTTTTGAGACGAAGTCTCGCTCTTGTCCCCCAGGCTGGAGTGCGATGGCGCGATCTCGGCTCACTGCAACTTCTGCCTCCCGGGTTCAAGTGATTCTCTTGCCTCAGCCTCCTGAGTAGCTGGGATTACGGGCATGTGCAACCATGCCTGGCTGATTTTTGTATTTTTAGGAGAGGCGGGGTTTCACCATGTTTGCCAGGCTGGTCTCGAACTCCTGACCTCAGGTTATCTGCCCGCCTCGGCCTCCCAAAGTGCTGGGATTATAGGCGTGAGCCACCGCTCCTGGCCGACGTTTGAAATTTAAAAGATTGGAAACAGTAGATCTGAAATAGTTTTGTAAAGGAGCAAGACAATTATTACTCCTACTCCTAAATGGAGGATGGACCCAAGCATCCATCCATTAAACTGGACTACACTGAAAAAAAAGATTAGAAAAAGAAATGGAGGCCAGGTGTGGTGGCTCACGGGTAATCCCAGCACTTTAGGAGGCCAGGGCAGGAGGATTGCTTGAGCATGCGAGTTCAAGATAAGCCTGGGCAACATAGTGAGACCCCATCTCTATTAAAATTTTTTTTTTTTTTTTTTTTTTTTGAGACAGAGTCTCACTCTGTCACCCAAGCTGGAGTGCAGTGGCGTGATCTCGGTTCACTGCAACCTCCACCTCCTGGGTTTAAGTGAGTCTCCTGCCTCAGCCTCTGGAGTAGCTGGGACTACAGGCACGTGCCACCACGCCCAGCTAATTTTTTTTTTTTTGAGACAGAGTCACTCTGTCACCCAGGCTGGAATGCAGTGCCGCGATCTCCGCTCACTGCAAGCTCCGCCTCCCGGGTTCACGCCATTCTCCTGCCTTAGCGTCCCGAGTAGCTGGGACTACAGCTGCCCGCCATCACGCCCAGCTAATTTTTTTATTTTTAGGAGAGATGGGGGTTCACCGTGTTAGCCAGGATGGTCTCGATCTCCTGACCTCGTGATCCGCCCGCCTCGGAGATCCCAGCAGTTTGGGAGGCCGAGGTGGGCGGATCACTTGAGGTCAGAGTTCGAGAACAGCCTGGCCAACAGGGCGAAACCCCATCTCTACTAAAAGTACAAAAATTAGCTGGGTGTGGTGGCAGGCACCTGTAGTCCCAGCTACTCAGAAGGCTAAGGCATGGGAGGCTGAGGCACGAGAATCACTTGAACCCAGGAGATGGAGGCTGCAGTGAGCTGAGATCACGCCATTGCACCCCAGCCTGAGCGATAGAGTGAGACTCTGTCTCAAAAAAAAAAAAAATTGAAAAAAATGAAGAAATGGGAAGTAATCCAGGGAAGGATGATGTTGTATGAAGCTATTGTCTATAGGGTTTGAAAAGAAGGTGAGCACTGGGACTTAGGTAGAGCAAGGACTCTTGCTGTGAACAGAACTCTTCAGGGCCTTTCCACTGACTTTGTTTACACCCTTATGTCCTGGCAGGTTCTAGAGCCTTCTTTCCGCCAGGCCTTTCCCAATACCAACCGCTGGTTCCTCACCTGCATTAACCAGCCCCAGTTCCGGGCTGTCTTGGGCGAAGTGAAACTGTGTGAGAAGATGGCCCAGTTTGATGGTGAGTCTGAGGAGACTGGGAGGCATATGGCCAGGATCAGGGTCTGGTTTGCTCTGCATCAACCCCTTGATTTCCTGTCTTGCTTTTGGGTTATGGGGACCTGCAGAATGTAGGGTGTCAATGTGGTAGCTAATATTATGTGCAGTTTCGTGTACACTCATACCCTGACTAATTTGTATTACTATATAGATTTGCGATATAAAGTATTTGTTGCTGAGTGTGTTGTTGCTGGAGGACACACAGTGAACTGATGAGCAGTCTGGGGCCTAAGTTCCTTACTTGTCCCATTCGTCAGTTTCCTCTGTTACCTTGCTTGCTCTGTGTGGTTTTGGAGGGGTGTGGAAAGAGGCAGAACATTCGTTCACTTTCCTGCCTTCCTCTGCACCAGCTAAAAAGTTTGCAGAGACCCAACCTAAAAAGGACACACCACGGAAAGAGAAGGGTTCACGGGAAGAGAAGCAGAAGCCCCAGGCTGAGCGGAAGGAGGAGAAAAAGGCGGCTGCCCCTGCTCCTGAGGAGGAGATGGATGAATGTGAGCAGGCGCTGGCTGCTGAGCCCAAGGCCAAGGACCCCTTCGCTCACCTGCCCAAGAGGTAAGGATATTGGAGGGTGGAGGGTGTGGGACCAAAGAAGGCCTGTTCTCACCTCTGTATGTCCCCCCTCACACACAGCTAGAGCCAGAATTTTAGGTTGTCCATATAAAGTTAAAGGTATATTTTAGTTGCAAATAAAGCAGCTTTCTGGCTGATAATCAGGAATTGGGCAAATTTTGATTGTGGAGAGCAAGTTTCAAGTACAGCCAGTACTGGGGAAGATTGAACTCCTATTCCAACAAAGACAGGAACAGATTTTGATATAGTGGTAAGTTGGTTTTGAGCAAGCTCATTTGACCATTTGAGAGCTCTGAGAACAAATACAGGGAGAGGCGTGGGGAGGAAGAAAGTGCAGAGAGCCTTGCGGTGCGCCACGCGCCCGGCTGTGCGGAGATAGTGGATGCCAGAGCAGGGTCCTTTGAATTGTTTTGTTTTCTGTTTTGCTGAATCAGACTGTACAAAAATTGCTCACTAAGAAAAAGGATGAAGATCATAGCTAAGTAGTGTCTGTCTAGTTCATTGTTCCACAACCGAGTAAAGTCCCCAAGTAGAAGAAAGTAGGTGTCCTCTGTATCCCTTTTTCAGTTAAAGGTAGGGCTTCTTGGAAGAAATAATATAGTAAAAACGAGATTTTTGGCATGAAAAATGTAGGACGCTGAGTGCTTGCCCAGTTCTCTGGGATGGAGTCTTTCTTCCATCACTGCTCCAAGTCATTTTATTGGGAGTTCAAGCAGTTTGAGAAATATATATTCTGTGGTCACTTTGCTTTGGAACTCCTCTTTCTCTGTACTTTTTCCTCCCACTCACCCTGTCATTTCCAAAGCCGTTCATCTTTTTACTGCTTGGTCTGCTAGGGTTTACATTTCACCCTCTCCCATCTTGTAATGGCTTGGATACCGGGTGAACCAGCCTAAAGGAGCACCCACTGGTAGGGACACAGTAGCTGTGCATAGAATTGTGAATTACAAGCATTGCACTAATAGATGGGAGCAACTTGGGGTATAGCTGAAAGTTCTTACTCCCGGGTATTTTGTACAAGACCAGGAAGGCTCCATCCAGACACAGGCACTCTTTAAAGATGTATTTTTTGAACTAGTGATTTGCCTTGAATTTAGCACAGGTGCAGGTCAAGAGTGAGCAGGATTTTTGGTGTGTGTAAATAGGTCATGATAATTAACCCAAATTACATATTGTGTTGTAACTCAGACGTTGTTAATTATTAGCTAGAGATTTTCACATATAGTAGGTCAGTACTCTGGGCAGGAAATAAATGAGGCAGTAGTAAACTTAAAATCTTTATTTAATAAACTTTACATTTTCTTAACATGGTTTTGGGAATGTTTATTAATGTCTATTTATTGGGTTACCATGATGCCCTACAGGGCTGCCAGAAATGCTTTCCCCAAGGTTTTTTTTTTTGGAAACAGGGTTTTACTTTGTTGTCCAATCTGGAGTGCAGTAGCGTGATCACGGCTCACTGCAGTCTTGACCTCCTGTACTCAAGCGATCCTCCCACCTCAGCCTCTGGAGTAGCTGGGACAAAGGCACACACCACCACACCCAGCTAATTTTTTATTATTTGTAGAGACTAGGTCTCACTATGTTGCCCAGGCTGGTCACAAACTCCTGGGCTCAAGTGATCCTTGGCCTCTCAAAGTGCTGGAATTACAGGTGTGAGCCACTGTACCTGGCTCCTTTTTGTGTTTTTTGTTTTTTTTTGGTTTGTTTGTTTGGAGACAGAGTCTCACTCTGTCACCCAGGCTGGAGTGCAGTGGTGTGATCTCAGCTCACTGCAACCTCCGCCTCCCCAGTTCAAGCGATTCTCCTGCCTCAGCCTCCCGAGTAGCTGGGACTACAATGACAGGCGCGTGACACCACGGCTGGCAAATTTTTTGTATTTTTAGTAGAGACGGAGTTTCACCGTGTTAGCTAGGATGGTCTCAATCTCTTGACCTCGTGATCCGCCCACCTTGGCCTCTCAAAGTGGTGGGATTACAGGTGTGAGCTACCGTGCCTGGCCCCCTTTTTTTTTTTTTTTTTTTTTTTTGAGATGGAGTCTGGCTCTGTCGCCCAGGCTGGGATGTAGTGGTGCAATCTTGGCTCACTGCAACCTCCACCTGCCGGGTTCAAGCAGTTCTGCTTCAGCCTCTTGAGTAGCTGGGACTACAGGCACGCACCACCATGCCCAGCTAATTTTTTGTATTTTTAGCAGAGACAGGGTTTCACCATGCTGGGCAGGCTGGTCTCGAACTCCTGACCTCGTGATCCGCCCGTCTCCGCCTCCCAAAGTGCTGGGATTACAGATATGAGCCACTGCTCCCGGCCTTTTTTTTTTTTTTTGTGAGACAGAGTCTCACTCTGTTGCCCAGGTTGAAGTGCAGTGGTGTGATCTCGGCTTACTGCAGTCTCCGCCTCCTGGGTTGAAGCAATTCTCCTGCCTCAGCCTCCCGAGTAGCTGGGGATTGCAGGTGCGTGCCACCATGCCTGGCTAATTTTTGTATTTTTAGTAGAGATGGGGTTTCACCATGTTGGTCAGGCTGGTCTCAAACTCCTGACCTCAGGCAATCCGCCTGCCTTGGCCTCCCAAAATGCTGGGATTACAGGCGTGAGCCACCGCCCCTGGCTCCCCCAACATTTTTAATGTCATAAAAGTGATATCCTAAAAGACCAAGACTATTAATGTCCAGATTTTAATTCTAGTTCTTTTAAGACCCAGCTAGGTCAACTGCAGTGGCTCATACTACTTGGCAGGCTGAGGTGAGAGGGTCACTTGAGTCCAGCAGGTTGAGGCTGCAGTGAGCCATGATCGTGCCCCTGCACTTGGGTGACTGAGCAAGACCCTGTCTCAAAACAAATAGCTTGAACAGTTCAGGAGGGTGTGAAAAAATTCCCAGCCCCAGTTTTGGTGTGGTTGAGGTTTTAAGGCTCCTCAGATGAGGTCTCTTATGCATTTGGAAAGGAACCTGGGACCTAGGGTTAAAGGACAGATCCTCTGCTTTGCTACAGTGTAATCTTGGACAGGTCATTCTACTTGGTCTCATCTGTAAAGAGAGGGGAGGGTCAGGGTAACAGTTGATAACTCATGGGTTATAAGGATTGAGTGAAATTGGAATACTCATGGCAATATTTATGCTATGAACAATAGAACCAACTAAACATTCAGTTTAATATTCAATGTTTAGTAGATTTATGGCACAATCCTGCATTAGAAGATTGTTTGGCCATTAAAATGTTTGCAAAGAATTCTGTTTTTGAGGTAGGGTCTTGCTATGTTGCTTAGTCCGGTGTCCAACTCCTGATCTCAGGTGGTCCTTCTACCTCAGCCTCTTGAGTAGCTGGGACTGCTAGTGCAAAAAATTGTTTTGTTTTAGGCTGGGCGCGGTGGCTCACGCCTGTGATCCCAGCACTTTGGGAGGCTGAGGCGGGTGGATCACGAGGTCAGGAGATTGAAACCATCCTGGCTAACACGGTAAAAATACCGTCTCTACTAAAAATACAAAAAGTACAAAAAATTAGCCGGGGGCGGTAGCAGGCGCCTGTAGTCCCAGCTACTCAGGAGGCTGAGGCAGGAGAATGGCGTGAACCCAGGAGGCGGAGCTTGCAGTGAGCCGAGATTGCACCACTGCACTGCAGCCTGGGCAACAGAGCTAGACTCCGTCTCAAGGAAAAATAAAAAAAAAAGGATTGTTTTGTTTTTTTGACAGGGTCTTGCTCTTCTCCCAGGCTGGAGTGCAGTGGTGTGATCTCGGCTCACTGCAACCTCTGCCTCCCGGACTCAAGCAATTCTCTTGCCTCAGCCTTCTGAGTAGCTGGGATTACAGGCGTGAGCCATGGTGCCCAGCTCCCAGCTAATTTTTAAATTTTTTTGTAGAGACAGTGTCTCGCTATATTTCCCAGGCTGAAAGAATTCTTAACAGCATGGATAGGATGTCCAGTAACAACAAAGTATAAGCACAAAACTGCATATGTCATGGCTACATCTTTGAAAAATCAAAGGCTGTAGGAAAATACATAAAAGATTATCCTGGGCTGGGCACGGTGGCTCATGCCTGTAATCCCAGCACTTTGGGAGGCCGAGGCGGGCGGATCACGAGGTCAAGAGTTCAAGACCAGCCTGACCAACATAGTGAAACCTCGTCTCTACTAGAAATACAAAAATTAGCTGGGCGTAGTGGCACGTGCCTGTAATCCCACTACTTGGGAGGCTGAGGCAGGAGAATCGCTTGAACCCGGTAGGTAGAGGTTGCAGTGAGCCGAGATCGCACCACTGCATTCCAGCCTGGGTGACAGGGCGAGACTCCATCTCAAAAAAACAAAACAAAAAAAAGATTATCCTCTTGTTGGCATTATAGGTGATTTTCTTCAGTCAGCATATATATATATATGTGTATGTATATGCACACACACACATATATACACACACATGTTGTACCTGAGCGAGTTAGAGAAAACGCCACACTTTGAGACGAATTAAGAGTCCTTTATTAGCCGGCAACCAAGAGACGGCTAACGCTCAAAAATCTCTCGGCCCTGAGGAAGGGGCTTGACTAACTTTTATACCTTGGTTTAGGAAGGGGAGGGGAACTCAAATGCAATAATTTTACAGAGGTAAAAACATGCAAGAATCAAAAGAAGCAAAATGGTTACAGAGAGATAAACAATTTAAAAGACAAATGGTTACAAAAAGCAACCGTACCAGGTGCAGGGCTCTAAATCCTTCATTATAATTAGATATGGGGCTATGCGGGACACAACTCAAGGCTTTATGTTGTTATCACTTTGAGAAAAATCCTGGGAACTTCATACATTGTTTGTGCCAGTACCTTATCAGTTAATTGGGCTCCTTTGAAATGCTGAGGATCTGCTTAACACAGGTCAACTCCTTGTGGAAGGGGGTTGGGTGAGGAGCCCTTAGTGTCTTGTAAATTAAAGGGTCAATTGGAGTTTGTCCGGCTTTCCCAGCTAGAGAGAGAGTCTTATTTACATGAGAAGCAAGGCTAGGTGGTTAAAGAGACAAACAGGGAAGATTCAAAGTAGTGAGTTAGAGTAAAAACAAGGTTAGGCATTTAACACATGTATGCACACACACATATATGTGTTTTTTGGTTGTTTTTTTTTTTTTTGTTTTTTTTTTGTTTTTTTTTTGAGACGGAGTCTTGCTCTGTTGCCAGGCTGGAGTGCAATTTCGGCTCACTGCAGCCTCTGTCTCCTGGGTTCGAGCAAGTCTCCTGTCCCTGCCTCCCGAGTAGCTGGGACTACAGGCGTGTGCCACCAATTTTTTTTTTTTTTTTTTTTAGTAGAGATAGGTTTTCACCATGTTGGCCAGGATGGTCTTGATCTCTTGACCTCGTGATCCGCCCGCCTCGGCCTCCCAAAGTGTTGGGATTACAGGTGTGAGCCACCCTGCCTGTCCTTTTTTTTCCCCCCAGACAGGACTCTTCCTCTATCGCCCAGGCTGGAGTGCAGTGGCGCGATCTCTGCTCACTGCAACCTCTGCCTCTCGGGTTCAAGCTATTCTCCTGTCTCAGCCTGCCACCACGCCCAGCTAATTTTTGTATTTTTAGTAGAAACGGGGTTTCACCTTGTTGGTCAGGCTGGGCTTGAACTCCTGACCTGAGGTGATCCACCTGCCTTGGCCTCCCAAAGTGCTGGGATTACAGGCGTGAGCCACCGCATCTGGCCAGTGTATATGTTTATAACTGGAAAGAAAGAAAACAGAGCACCAATCGTGGAGGGAGTGACCTCTGCTATATTGATGCTGGCATTCTTGGCTCAGTATGCCAGATTGCTTTTAAGATAACCTGAACCTAAGGGCTTTCCAGCATCGGAAAACCTTGGAAAAGACTAAAGCTTGTTTATAGGCAGAGATGGACTAAAGGACATGGGTGTAAGATTTGGGGTGGAGGCCCTTTGAGAATGTTCACTGCTTACATTCCTGTTACAGCTTGTGTAACCTGAAGAGGCCTGTATGGTGGGGGGGAAGAGACTTGGGTGAGTCAGTGACTTAGTGTGGTTCATGGAAAACAGCCTGGGGAGGGCCTGAACAGGGAAAAAGAAGTCCTCACTCTGTCTCCACCTGGGGGCAGCAGTTAGCCATGCCCTTCCTGGGGCAGGTCTCAGAGTCCCACTTTGAGTTCCACCCTCCACATGCCTTGCATACTTATGCAGAGGAGTGTCCTAGGCCCCTGTTCAAACCCCTTGAGCTTACTTCCCTCATAAGGTCATACACATCTGCCAGCACAATGACCATTTCCTTTATATTAGTAAATTTTAAGTGAAAGCACCCTTCACTTCTCTTAGCCTGGCAACCTTCCTCCTTATTGATTGACCCCTGTGCTTTCTTCCTCTTAGTACCTTTGTGTTGGATGAATTTAAGCGCAAGTACTCCAATGAGGACACACTCTCTGTGGCACTGCCATATTTCTGGGAGCACTTTGATAAGGACGGCTGGTCCCTGTGGTACTCAGAGTATCGCTTCCCTGAAGAACTCACTCAGACCTTCATGAGCTGCAATCTCATCACTGGTAAGAGAGTGGGTCTGAGAAGGAAGGAGAACAAGGTGTAGCAAGTGCTGTGATTCCAAAGGCTGAATGTTCTCCCTTGCCGCTTCAGGAATGTTCCAGCGACTGGACAAGCTGAGGAAGAATGCCTTCGCCAGTGTCATCCTTTTTGGAACCAACAATAGCAGCTCCATTTCTGGAGTCTGGGTCTTCCGAGGCCAGGAGCTTGCCTTTCCGGTGAGGAAGGTGGAGGAGAGGAGTCTCTTTAGGGTGGGGCAGGGATATAAGAAGCACTGTGTTTTATTTCTGAGTTGATGGATGTTTAGGAGGGTTCAGGAATGCTTATAGGAAGGAGCAGTTCATGTTCACAGGAGACCTGGGGTCTGATGACATGTGTTTGAGCTGGAAGTAACACAGGTGTGGGGTGGTGTCTCATAACTTGACCACATGCTGGCTTTTTATCCCCAGCTGAGTCCAGATTGGCAGGTGGACTACGAGTCATACACATGGCGGAAACTGGATCCTGGCAGCGAGGAGACCCAGACGCTGGTTCGAGAGTACTTTTCCTGGGAGGGGGCCTTCCAGCATGTGGGCAAAGCCTTCAATCAGGGCAAGATCTTCAAGTGAACATCTCTTGCCATCACCTAGCTGCCTGCACCTGCCCTTCAGGGAGATGGGGGTCATTAAAGGAAACTGAACATTGAACCCTTTCCTGTCCTGCCTCCTTTGTGAGTGGTGGCGTCTTCAAGGGGAGTAGATATGTTGAAGCAGGGTACTTTCTGTGTTCGCAGTACCTCGATATGCAGGAGAGAAGACTTCAGAAGAACAGAAATAGAGGCCTGTGTTCACTTGTGATTTTAATTACCCTGCCTCCTACGGTGATGACTGTCTTCTAGCTGGGAAAGAGCGGAAGCAGTTGGGGCGGGTAGTGACATGGGGCTTTGTGACTACCTAATTCTTAGGGATCAGATTCCAGGCCTTTCCCAGTGAAGGGAGAGAATAGCTGCTAATAACAAGAGCTAACGTGTATAATTCACAGAGCGCAAAGGAACTTTACATTATTTCCTGTAACTGTCCTGTGAGGTAGGTAGCTGACAATATGCAAGGGTTGTAGTTTCTTTTTCTTTTTTTTTCTTTTTTTTTTTCAGACAAGGTCTGGCTCTGTTGCCCAGGCTGGAGTGTAGTGGTGCAGTCTCAGCTCAACCTCTGTCTCCCAGGCTCAAGCCATCCTCCCACCTTAGCCTCCTGAGTAGCTGGGACTATAGGTGTGCACCACCACGCCCGGCTAATTTTCGTGGTGGGTTTTTTTTTTTTTTTTTGTAGAGGTAGGGTTTCGCCACATTGCCGAGGCTGTTCTCAAACTCCTGACCTCCAGCGGTCGTCCCGCCTTGGTCTCCCAAAGTGGTGGGATTGCAGGCATGCATCACCATGCCTGCCCTAGGGCTGTGGTTCAAATGCCTCAAACCTGCAGGACAAGGCACAGACTACTCAGAACAGACACTGGCCTGGCCCATTGGCCCATTCCTGGCTGTGTTATCAGTCTGGTGGTGGTATCCCTGATTTCTAACGGGAAGCATAGGGATTTACAGATTTCACTAACTTGACTGTGATCACACATTTTAAGTGGTAGAGGCAGAGTTTTGAACCCAGTGGGTGTCACTTTTTTTTTTTAATTTAAAATTTTTTTGGTAGAACTGGGTCAGGAAAATGTTTTAAATTTTATTTATTTGAGAGCTGGGGTTCTTGCTATGTTGCTAAGGCTGGAGTGCAGTGGCTGGCTGTACAAAGGCTCAATCGTGCTATAGTTTTTTTTTTTCTTTGAGACGGGAGTCTCGCTCTGTCGCCCAGGATGGAGTACAGTGGTGCGATCTTGGCTCCACTGCAAGCTCCGCCTCCCGGGTTAACGCCATTTTCCTGCCTCAGCCTCCTGAGTAGCTGGGACTACAGGCACCCGCCACCGCGCTAGGCTAATTTTTTGTATTTTTAGTAGAGACGGGGTTTCACCGTGGTCTCGATCTCCTGACCTCGTGATCCGCCCACCTCGGCCTCCCAAAGCGCTGGGATTACAGGCGTGAGCCACCAATCGTGCTACAGTTTTGAAGTCCTGGCCTCAAGTGATCCTCCCACCTCAGCCCCCTTAGTAGGTGGGATTATAGGTGCATGCCATCACGCCTCACTTGGGTGTGACTTTTTTTTTTTTTTTTGAGACAGTTTCACTCTTGTTGCCCAGGCTGGAGTGCAATGGTGTGATCTCGGCTCACCACAACCTCCACCTCCTGAGTTCTGGTTCAAGCAGTTCTCCTGCCTCAGCCTCCTGAGTAGCTGGGATTACAGGCACGTGCACCATGCCCAGCTAATTTTTGTATTTTCAGTAGAGACGGGGTTTTATCATGTTGGCCAGGCTGGTCTCGAACTCCTGACCTCATGATTTGCCCACCTTGGCCTCCCAAAGTGTTTGGATTACAGGCGTGAGCCACCACGCCCAGTGGGTGTCACTTTGAAGCCTGTGTCCACACCCTGCTGCCTCCTAGAAGGTAGAGTAGTTGTAATTGTCAGCTAATATCCTGCTCAGGCCAAAGGTTACTATTTTTTCCCCTTTGAGCTTAATTTTTATTAATATCCTTTTCAGATTTTCTTGCTCTTCTGTCTTTTCCGAAGATCATTTAAGATCTTCCTGTAAATTTAACAGCTCAGGTGAAACTGGAAACCTCTAGATTGAGTCACATTTTGAGGCATATGCAGAAACGGTTGACTGCCTTTGGTCCCCAGCTTATGATTTTCTGTGTGGTTTTTTCATTCTGTTTCTTAGTCCAGGCACAGAAGAGGGCTCTTGGCTTGGATGGGGAAACCAGGTACATACAATGGGCTGGTAGTTGGGAGGGGATAGGGCTGTCATCTGCAGCTGAGCACTTTGACCTGCAGTTGGAGTGGGCAGAAAAGAGTTGTGGTTTAGAATCCATATGGGTGGAGATGGGCTGATGCTTGCTCAGACTGCTCCCTGGCTGCTCATCTTGAGCTGGGTCCAAACTTGATAACCTTTCTTCTGAGCCTCCTGAGCTCTTGTTAGCTAGGATCTGAAAATGCTAGGTGCAGCTGGTGCATTGACATGTTCCTGTAGTCTTGGCTACTTGGGTGGGGGGATGGCTGAGGCCAGGAGTTGGAGGCCTTAGTAGTGCTTGCCATGATTGCAACTGAAAGTGCTAGATGCAGGCTTGGGGCGTGCCTTTTAGCTTGTTGCTGGGGCCTCACTGAAGCTGTCAGACTCTTCCCAAATTCTGTTTCAAATCACACCTCCTTCTGTGGTTGTGGGACCTTCACCACCTTCCTGGTGTTTGCTTACCGTAACCTCCTGTGGCTGAAGCCTCAGGCAGGAGGGACCAAGTTGGAAGAGTAGTTTAGGTTTTAGAGGGCTGCTTGAAAGGCTCAGGAGGGAAGCCCAACTGTGAAGTGGGTCGGGGGTTCTGGGTGGGCCATGGGCAGCAGCGGGCCTGGCAGCCCACATGGACTAGGTGGTCTGCGCTGGGGCAGAGACCCCTACCTCAGCCTTCCTCTGCCTGCAGGAAGAGTGAGTCATCTGCACATCCTGCCTCCAGCCCTCGCCACGCGGTGCAGAGTAAGGGTGGCCAGGTTGTTGTTTGAAGCAGTGCTTGCACTTGGGCTAGGGCCAGTACCCACAAGCAGGAGGAGGAGCCTCAAGACGAGAGGGTTGTGGCCCCAGGAAGGCTGGGCCGTTGGCCTCTAGATGGGGGTGGGATGCAAGGGCTTCTCTGCTGTGGTGGGTAGGGGAGAGGTTAACAGTGGAAGTTTCTAACGGCAGATGTGAGGCAGGAAAGGGGAAGCACATCTGGAGTTCTTTCTGTCCCCCGCCCTGCCCCAGGGAGGCCTGAGTCACTGCAGCAAGGGCTCTTGCCCTTCCCATCCCCGCTGGGCTCTCCATGGCTTGCTGGATCCTTCCTTTTCCTTGCTTTTGCTGTGGGCAGCCAATCAGAGCCTGCGCCTGTGGATGTCTGTGGTTGCTGGGCAGTTTTCTCTTGGTGCTAGGGAGTCTCATGCCACCCAAACACCACATAGAGCTGGCGACCCGACTCCATGGTCCAGCACATGGCACAGAGACTGGGGTGAGGAGCAGAAAGGGAAGGGGGTGTTTGAATGGATCAGGGGCTGAGGGCAGGGCATGATCTTAGAAAACTAGGGTAGAATGAGGGAAGGGGGAGGCTCTTTTATCCACTTACTGGGCAAAATCTCAGAACCTCCACAGAGGGAGGGTGAGAGAAACTGGAGAAGGGGTCGGGGCTCAGGGCTGCAGTTGACTCAGATAAAATCTTTACAGAGCCTGGAGTGTGAATGGGAGGGGCTGAGAGAGACTTGGTTAGTTTGTAGATAAACCAGTAGATACTGGTTATAAGCAGCTATTTATCTTAGCTTTTTTGGCACTTCTGCTTAAGTCACTTATTAAAAAGTTAAAAACCTTTAAAGTTCTTCCAAGAAAGACTTATATTGTTTCCTTTTTTTCGTGCCCTGCTTTGAGCTGGAGCTGGACAGCTGCTGCTCTCACTGGGTCGGACCCATCCCACCAGCTGCCCACATGCCCCAAATGTGCCACTTCCCCTTTTGAAAGGTGGGGGAAGCCTAGAATGTTGAAGGGAGGGGAATGAAGTGCTTTGGAGGCTCCACCCAGTCATTTCTGAAATTAATACTGTGGTTTTCATGGCAACGGGCACTCTTTGTTGTCAACTCAGAACTTTCCCTCCACACATCAAATGGATTTTTCTGGGTGCTGTAGCTTCCCCAGCTCCTCCAACCAGTGTACCTATAGGGCACTGCAGGGCACTGACTTTCCCCACTTGCTGTGTTCCTGTGTTTTTGTTTTTTTTTTTCGAGACAGAGTCTCTCTTTGTTGGCCAGGCTGGAGGGGCAGTGGCATGATCTCGGCTCACTGCAGCCTCTGTCTCCCGGGCTCAGGCAATTCTCCCACCTCAGCCTCCCAAGTAGCTGGGATTACAGGTGTGTGCCACCATGCCTGTTAATTTTTTTTTGTATTTTTAGCAGAGATGGGGTTTCACCATGTTAGCCAGGCTGGACTCGAACTCCTGACCTCAGGTAATCCACCCGCCTTGGCCTCCCAAAGTGCTGGGATTACAGGCGTGAGCCACCGTGCCTGGCCTGCTCCTGTATGTTTGAATGTGATTCTGGGGTTCCCACCCCGTTCTCTTCCTCTAGTGCTGTGGAGCTCACATTGGTGCTCCTGAAAGGTTACAGAAACTGCCACCTGTTCCTGTCTGTTTGCTCCAGTCAGGCTGGCATGGCTCCCAGAGCAGGCTGTTGTTTTACTCCAGGGGAATTACTGGGGTGTCCCAGTGCCTCAGCACCCAAGGGATGGGTGGAGTAGGGTATGGTGGGGGGTGCTGGAGGGCAGCACTGCCATCAGTTGCATCTCCCATTAGAGGGAGAATACCTTGGGCTGGTGGTACTGGCTCAGTGGTGATGTCCTGGCGACCCCGTCTCAATGTTCCTGGGCTCTCTTCACTCCCCTAGGCCCCTCCCTTCTCCACCCCTCTTTGTTTTCTTGATTTCCTCAGGATTTTGAGGCAAGCCTATTGAATGGGCGATGTGCAGATCATTGGGGCAGATGGTCAGTTAGGGTTTGGGGCTATTTCTGATAGGATCTCCCATGGAATGTGCCTCCACTCCCAGCTGCCCCCTCCCCTCTGCAGCAGGAACAGCTGTCATGTGAAGGCCTCTCTGCTGGCTCAGCCCTTTTGCAATCATCTGGCGGGCTCTGCTGGGATGGGGTGGATGGTGAAGATGGGCAGAGCCAAGGGGTGAAGGAGGGAATGTGGTAGGGCAGGGGGAGCTGTCAGAGGGTAAGGAGGGCTCTAGAGTTCAGGGCTGAGGGAAGAAGGGCTGCCAAGGTCAGGCAGGAGGGGTGGAAGCTGCTGAGCAGGCCAGGGAGGTGGAATGATGAGCTTACGGTACCCATCCTGGGAGACTTTCAAGGTGGAAGGATAGTTGGTTATAGCGGGAACCCAGGCAGTCATCCTTCAGGGAGATCCGCATTTCCCCTGACTCACAGGGGACCCAAGGGGTGCTTTCCGGCTCTTCTTCCATGTGGGACCTGAGTCACCAAGATGCCTAGGGTGTTGGCTGCCCTATGGTGGCAGGTCCTGTGCCCAGCCCTGCCCTACCCTACCCACTCTTACTGTTAGGACAGGGGTTAGCAAACACGCCCCTTTTATCCCACTCTTCAATAGTAATTACCCATCTCTTTGACTCAGACATACAGAATGTACCTCTTGCAGGGACTGCCAGAGACCGTCTCTAATAACCCGTTATTTTACCAGTGGGGAAACTGGAGCCCAGAGAGTTGAAGTGACTTATCAAGGGTGCATCCGAGCTTTTCCACAATCCTTGCAGTCACTCACTGAGTCACTTCTGCTCCAAAGCTGAGCAGGAGGATGCTGCCCTCAAATGCTGAGGGATAAGGGTGGTGGACACAGCATACCAAGTGTGGAGGGGCAGGGAGAGCGAGGCATCTAAAGGCTTCCTGCACCCGTAGCTTGGTAAGGGTAGCTTGGTAAGGAGCGTGGAAGTGGAGCCAGCCCTGGGGCCAGGGTCAGATGTAGCGATCCAAGTCCTGGGGCGGGCACAGGGCACGGAGTGTAACAGAGGCGGGACTTCGAGTGACAGGAACCTCAACTATGTGGTGACTCAGGCTCTGGGCAGCCTAGGCCCTTCCTTCCCTGCTCAGCCTGATCTCCTTCAACTGGACTTAGGGAACTGTAAGCAGAGGAGAGAGGGAAACCCAGGCTGGTCTCTCTTTCCCCAGGAAGCTGGGGGAAAGGCAGAGGAAGTTGGAAAGGACAGGAGAAAAGCAGATTCCAAGAAAGGGGTGAGGAGGTGGTGTTCCCCGCTTCCTCAGCCCCTCCCTCCCTGCTCCCCACTGGGGAGGGGAGCTGGCTGGGGCGTTGGCTGCTCCGTTTACTCCAACTCCCTCCCTCGGCTCCTGTTTACAACTCAGCCCGCCCAGTCCTTAGCTCAGTGCTGAGCTCTTCTGTTTTCTCTCTCTCCCTCCCTCCTTCCTTCACAGCCTCATGTCTTGTCGCTTCTTTTCCTTAATCTCAGGTCTGCATCTCCTCTTATTGCCCCACAGCATTCCCACACCCCTAACTCTGCCTGAAATCCAGCCATGACCCATCGTGTCCACCTGCCCCACTCTCCCTGCCCAATTTCTTTCCCTTCCACCTGCCTGGACAGTCTTTCTTTGCCTTCTTTCCTCCCAGACGGTACTCTGGAGACAGCCTCATGTCTCTTGTTCTCTAACCAGCTTTAACTTGGGTTCTGGTTGGGCTTGAAGATTTCATTAGGACTGAGTGTAATTGGAGAGTTTCTGTGTATCAAAGCTCTCTGATCTAAGAAATTCAGGAACTCCTTATTTGAAGCTTGAAGTTTAAATACAGGCTGGGATTTGAATTGAGCTGGGGAAGGATGATTTTACTTGGCTTTATATTTTCGGCTAGGGTTAAGGGTTTGGGGCTTGAGAATTGCTTAGGAAATAATGTTTGGATTCCAGAATCACCAGATAGATTTGCTTTTGGGGGGTGGGGTGGACAATGACAGATTAGGAAGTGACGGAAGTGAATGGAGAAGGGCCTGTTTGGCAGGGATGCTAATCCCTGGGCTGGTGTGTGTATGGGGTGGAGGCGGGGTCTGGGAGATCCCAGATGGTGCTAAGAAGGGTTAACAGTCATTTCTTTGCTGCTGCTGCTGCTTTTTTTTTTTTTTTTTTTGAGACAGAGTTTTGCTCTTCTTGCCCATGCTGGAGTGCAATGGCGCAATCTCGGCTCACTGTAACCTCCGCCTCTCAGGTTCAAGCAATTCTTCTGCCTCAGCCTCCCGAGTAGCTGGGATTACAGGCGTGCACCACCACGTCCGGCTAATTTTGTATTTTTTGTAGAGACGGGGTTTCACCAGGTTGGTCAGGCTGGTCTCGAGCTGCTGACCTCAAGTGATCCACCCGCCTTGGCCTCCCAAAGTGCTGGGATTACAGGCGTGAGCCACCAGGCACAGCCCATTTTTCTGCTTCTAAGAATATCATGCAAAAGAACCTTCATGGGGGGAAAAGTCTGCTTCTAAAGAGACTGCAAACAGACCACACACTTCATTTGCCTTCTGGGATCAGAAACTGAGATTACCCTTTGAGCAGTCAACCTCTTTTCTTCCTTGTAACATGCTGATTTCAGAAAAGGGGACTGTGGAGAGAAGGGAGGGGAAGGGGAATCCCCTGGCCAGGGGCCTGCCCACAGAGCTCCCCTTTGTGGTTACTATGGAAACAGGCATAATAGGAACAAAATAGAGGCAGGTTGCCTGGCAACAGAAGAGCCCAAGGTTCATTACAGACGCGCGCACACACACACAAACTGACATATACACACACACGCAAAACAGGTACATATCAGGGAACCTCCCCCACTCCCCAGGGAGGCAGTGTCACTTCTGGGGAAGCTGGGGTATCCCTGTGATGACAAGTCCTAGAGCTCATCCAGCTTTGGCAGTGCGTGTGGAGCACTGTGGTACCAGCTCCCTCTGAATGGTGGTGGAGCACTAGCGGCAGGGCTGACCTCCCTCTTATAAGAGGAAAGCCTTTACTTTATATCACAGAGGAGTCTAAACCTTCGAGAAGATGGAGGTTTTCTTTGCAAAGTAGGGACCGAAAGAACTCCTTAATACTCCTTATAAAACATGGTGTGTAAAAACAAACAAAAAACAGGCCAGGTGTGGTGGCTCACGCTTGTAATCCCAGCACTTTGGGAGGCTGAGGCAAGCGGATCATGAGGTCAGGAGTTCGAGACCAGCCTGGCTAGCATGGTGAAACTCCGTCTCTACTAAAAATACAAAAATTAGCCAGGCGTGGTGGCGCGTGCCTATAATCCCAGCTACTTGGGAGGCTGAGGCAGGAGAATCGTTTGAACCCAGGAGGCAGAGGTTGCAGTGAGCCAAGATGAGCCAAGATCGTGTCACTGCACTCCAGCCTGGGCGACAGAGCTAGACTCCATCTCAAAACAACCACCACCACCACCACCACAACAACAAAACAACAAAAACACCCAAAACATAGTGTGTCGGGGGGGTGCTGGCGGGGGAGTAGCTGTGTAAATTACCTGGTAGGAAAGATAACTCCAATTCTCTGGAGGCATAGGACCTCCAAGGAATTCAAAGGACAAGGTAAAGGGGTATCGGAGCCGTTTCCGCCTGGACTGAGCTTTTTGCTGGGATTCCATCTTGCCAAGGTCTCTATTGCTTCCACCACCACCACAGTTCCCCAACCCCATATTGGACACACAATAAATGTTTGGGTAGCTGCAAGAAAGACCCACAAGTAGAGGAATTGCTCCCTGGGGGCTGAGAGCCAGAGGAAGTTGTGACAGCCTGGGATGCAGGATGCTATCTATTGTAGAAAAGGCAAGGGCTTTGGAGCCAGTTATACCTGGAGTTCATTCATTCATTTGAAACATGCTCTTGAGTGATTGCTATGTGTCAGTCAGTGCTCTAGGCATGAGGGGCCAGGGTGCGGTGGCTCACACCTATAATCCCAGCACTTTGGGAGGCTGAGGTGGGAGGATTGCTCAAGCCCAGGAGTTCAAGACCAGCCTGGGCAACATAGTGAGACCCTATCTCTACCAAAAAAAAAAAAAAAAATTAGCTGAGCATGATGGTGTGTGTCTGTAGTCCCAGCTACTTGGGAGACTAAGGTGGGAGGATCACTTGAGCTTGAGAGGTTGAGGCTGCAGTGAGCCATGAATGCTCCACTGCACTCCATCCTGGGCGACAGAGTGAGACTGTCTCAAAAAAAAACAAGCAAAAAACCAAAACAAAACAAAAAATCAGTTAATCTAGGCACAAAGCATACAGCAGAGAAGAAAGAACCCTGTCCTCATGAGGCTTAAATGCTAGCGGAAGCTTTGACTCTTGCCTCTGTGAGTTGTGTGATTTTAGGTAAATCACGAACCCTTTCTGAGACCATTCCTCACTAAGTGCCTCCCTCCCAGGGTGTGCAAGGATTAAATGAGCTGACAGATGAAAGTAGCTCCTGACAAAGTGGCTCACACCTGTAATCCCAGCGCTTTGGGAGGCTGAAGTGGGCAGGGATCACCTGAGGTCAGGAGTTCGAGACCACCCTGGCCAACATGGTGAAACCCCATCTCTACTAAAAAATACAAAAATTAGCCAGGCATGGTGGCACACGACTGTAGTCCAGCTACTTGGGAGACTGAGGAAGGATAATCACTTGAACCCAGAGGTGGAGACTGCAGTGAGCCAAGATCACGCCACTGCAGTCCAGGCTTGGCAACAGAGCGAGACTCCCTCTCAAAAAACAAAACAAAACAAAACAAAACAAAACAAAAAAAAAACCAACGAAAGTAGCTGCTGCAGGATCAGACACAATCATATTAAGGTAGTTTTGGGAGGGGGTGTGGGGGAGGCTACACCAGCGGGCAGAAGGAGAAGAGTTGGCAGAAGTTTCTAAAAGTGTGCGTTTCTCCACTTAACACCACTGAAAACTTTTGAAAATATTCCCCTCCCTTGGGCTGAGGTGGCAGTCTTAGGAAACCCCAGCTCTGTTCCAGCCTGCAGGATCATTTTTTTTTTTTTTAGACAGAGTCTCGCTCTGTTGTCAGACTGGAGTGCAGTGGCACGATCTCAGCTTGCTGCAACCTCCACCTCCTGGGTTCAAGCGATTCTCCTGCCTCAGCCTCCCGAGTAGCTGGGACTACAGGCGCACACCACCATGCCCGGCTAATTTTTGTATTTTGAGTAGATACGGGGTTTCATCATGTTGCCCAGGCTGGTCTTGAACTCCTGACCTCAGGTGATCCGCCTGCCTCGGCCTCCCAAAGTGCTAATTTTTATATTTTTAGGAAAGACGGGGTTTCACCATGTTGGCCAGGATGGTCTCGATCTCTTGACCTCATGATCTGCCCCCGCTCAGCCTCCCAAAGTGCTGAGATTACAAGCGTGAGCCACCGCCCCCGGTCAGGATCATGGTTTTTTAGAGGGTAGGGTTGAGGTTAAGCCTTCTCTAGCCCTCCAGTCTGGAATGGGACAAGAGCCAGTCCTCAGAACTACCCCCCGACCAGGTAATCTTGACATTCATATCCCTGAATGAAGTACCTGGTCAGTGATCTCTGCTCTGGGGCTGCTTCAAAAACCAACCTCTCCCTCCTGCCTTCTTCCCTGTTGACCAAGAGGGTGGCCAGAACAAACAATGGAGCAGATAAGTTGGCTCTGAGCCTGGGACTCTGGCCTCTGCTGTTTGGATCCTGGGGGGCCGATCTAGCCCAGTCGAGGCGAAGACACAGCGTCCACGCCTTTCCGTGCTCTTCTTCCTTTTCTGCTCTAGCAGCCCCCCACGCCCCCTTAGCCCTTTTTGCAGATACCCTGTGTTTCCAACCTAGGTGTGAATCAACTCCTGTTTTAATATGCACTGGGAACATTCGCTCTTTCAAGGAACGAGATGATGATTCATTCCATAAAGTTAAAAATCCTTTGGTAAACTGTTAACAATGGTTACTTTTGGGAAGAGGGACTGTGATAGGGGAGGAGGGAGAAGTCTGTGTTTTATTGTACTTTTTTTTTTTTGAGATGGAGTCTCGCTCTGTCACCCAGGCTGGACTGCAGTGGCACGATCTTGGCTCACTGCAACCTCTGCCTCCCAAGTTTAAGGGATTCTCCTGCCTTAGCTTCCCGAGCAGCTGGGATTACAGGCTGCGCCACCATGCCCTGCTAATTTTTGTATTTTTAGTCGAGGCGGGGTTTCACTATGTTGGCCAGGCTGGTCTCGAACTCCTGAGCTCAAGTGATCCACCTGCCTTGGCTTCCCAAAGTGCTGGAATTACAGGTGTGAGGCATCGCGCCTGGCCTTGGTAATTTTTTTTTAAGTGTTCTATAGCTCAAAAGTTTTAGATTTGTTTTTTCTTTAAATAAGGTAGGTGCTAGGAAAGGGGTGCAGAACAAAATGGGGGAGCAGGTGATTCTTGGGAAAGTGTGAGTCTGTGACTGTGTGCTTGGGATGTGTTGTGGCGAGGCTGCCTCTGCCATGGGGTTGAGTCATTATCTGGGCACCTGTGTGTGTGTATTAGAGAGAGCAAGAGAAAATGCTGGTGCCCAAGTCTCCGCTTTGTGTTTTCACATGTCTCTGCCTGTCTGGATGTCTGCACATGCGGCTCCACCTTTCTGTGTCCATTATATGAGTGCCCATGTCTGTGGTTCCTCTGGCTGTCTCTTCCCTCCCCCACGGCCTGTACTCTGTGCCGGTAACTGGACCTGGACACAGCCCCCAGGGCTGGCAGCAGAGTTGACTGCTGGGTATTTTTAGCCTGTAAACATGTTTGCCATTTCAGAGGACAGGGCCGAGCTGGTCTCAGCTCCAGCCCACTCATGATCTTGCAGCAAGGAGGGCGCTCCTGCCTTGGCCAGGTCTCCTTAGTTCCCCAGCCTGGGGTCTCTCTTTCCTTAGCATTTGGGAAGGAGGGGAAACTGGCTTGGAGCGGGCAGTGGGTGGCCACCTAGGAGGGAGGATAAAAGGACTCATGAGGGAGAAGAGAAAGGGAGTGTGGAGGGGAGTGTGTAGCCAGAAGGCCCCCGCACCCCATCATTAAACGTTTAATAAAATCTCGATGTAGTTAGAAGTGGCTGTGGGAAATCGCTGTAAATTAGGAGACTCAGCGTCCCGCAAGTGGGGAGGCGGGGGCGGCGCTCAGAGAAGGAATGGGAGGCAGAGGAAGCGCTGGGGCTCTGGCTCCTGGGGGCGGGAGTCTGGAGAGGAAGGTGGGCGTCGGGTCCGCTGTCCAACGCCCGGGGTCCTCACCCCCGTATGCCCGCGGCCTGCGCAGCACCGCGGTGCGCGAGGCACTGGTGACCCCGGCTCCTGGGGGGTGGAAATCCAAGCCAGTTCTGTGCGGATATGGACGGAGGGGCCCCCAGAAAGAGAGAACGCGAGAAATGGGCGCGGCAGCACGGAGCTTGGGAACCAAGCAAGGAGGCTGGGGCCTGGGATCTGAAGTGTAGTTGCCTAAGCTGAGAGAAAACTCAAAGGTCCGGAGCAAGCTGACGGTCGCGGCTGAATCACCCAGCCACCTTCAGAGCCCCCAGGCCCTTCCTGCAAAATAAGTTGATTCGCAGTTCCAGCTGTGAGGGTGAGCCCAGGGAGCCTGCAGGAGTTTCTTGCCAATGAAGCCACACAGTGCACATGTTGGAGAGCAGGTCCAGGTCCGGGACAGGACAGGGGGCAGTGGATGCGGGGAGGGGGGGAAAGAATGTCCCCGCGTCCCCCAGCGGCCCCCCTCCCCAGCAGCCCACTCCCGGGTCCCTCCAGGGTCTGCCCCGCTCGCCAGTCCCAGCCCCGCTCCGGCCCCGCCCGGCCCCGCCCTCTCCCCACAGCTCCGGGCAGACCCGCCCGCCCGAGCCGGAGTTACAAGAGCCGCCTCCGCGCACGGGGGCCCGGCCACTCGGAGCTGCTCTGCCGCGGGGACTGCACCGCCCGCCCTGCCAGACCCGCCCGGAACGGGGCTCGTCGCCGCCAGTAGCCGCAGCACCGCAGCCTTGGGCCTCGCGCCGGCTATGGCCGTGCCCTGGGGCTGAGCCCTCAGGTAGGGGCGCCAGGCGCACCGTGGCGCCATCGGGGTCCGGGGCACCAAGGGCGGGTCGCGGGGAGGTGGGTTGCGGTGCTCCGGCAGGGCGCGTTGTTGGGGGTGTCACTGTGAGGATTCAAGCAGTTTGGAGCAAGCGGGGCCACCCGGGGCGGCGACGCGTCGCTCTCTGGGAGCGGAGTTCTGCCTCTGGAGTTGGGGCGCAAGTTGGTTAAAGTTGGAAAATCGCTCCGAAGTGCTTTGCTCCACTCTTTATTTCTCCGGAGGGCGGACTGTTGGCTCCACTGCAAGGCAGGGCGCCCCGTTCCGGGCCTGGTGGCCTCTGTCCCACCTCCTCTCCCTGCATGGGGCGGTGGCTCGGGGGCTGCTCCGTTCGTATCCCATGTTTACTGGAGGGGAAATTTCCGAGATCGCCACCGCGGCCCCCAGCGCCTCCGCGCCTCCGCGACCCCGCACCGTGCGCCCCCTCGGCTGTCCTTCCGCGCTCCCTGCACCTCTGCCCCTAACCGCGTCCCGAGTCGTCCAGGCCCCACCCTGTTCTGTACCACCAGCCCCTCAGCCTCCTCCAGCTGCCCCGCCCTAGCCTTGCCTCTCCGCGTTCCCCGCTCCAGAAAACCTTCCTCTCGGGCCGCGGAACCTGGAAGTTTGCAATGCGCCTCCCAGCGGGATGGGTGGGGAGGGGGACAAAATTAGGGAGATTCCTATGCTGAGGTGGGCGAGGAGGGGGGTGCGCTGCGGCGGCCCAGTCCTCGGGACCGCCCCTTCCCCTCCGGAGGCGGCGCTTTCCCCCCGCCCAACTCCCAAACCCGTCCGGGCGGGATGGCCCCCGCCCCAGAGCCTGGCCCGGCGCCAGCAGCCTGAGGAATGTGGTGGTTGGAGCCGGTGACTAATTCAAACCAGAACTCAGGGAGGAGTGGTGAGGGGCAAAGGGGAGGAGGAAGGGGCTGTGTGTGGGAGTTGGGGGCAGGAGCCGGGCTTGGCGTGGGAGGAGGGCTAAGCTGCGCTCGCTGGAACCCTGCGCTCCAGCGGTGCGCGCCAGGAGAGGGGGCCCGAAGCGAGGTCTCGCCTAGAGTTGGAAAGGCAGCGTGCTTAGGGTGTGTGCAGAGCTGTGTTATGTAAGGCTTTCCCATGCAAGGGGAGGGGGTGTGTGTGTGCAGTGTGCGAGGGCCTGGGCCGTCCCTGGCAGGGCTGGTCGCCCCCCAGCAGTGCCCAGGCCGGGATGTGGGGGCGCAGCCCCTTGGCGGCGCTGACCATGAGGGACTCCAGGGGCCCAAACAGGGCTGGCTGTGCCCCTTGCTGGGAGGGGTGCGGAGGGGGCAGATGGGTGTTCTCAGCTGTAGCCGAGGCCCCACAACAAGGTGGGGAACGGCTCTGGCCCCTCTGCACAATGAGGCCACTGAGGGTTGTGTGCGATGTGTGTGCTTGCCGGTTTCGCAGGGTGTGGCTCCCGCCGCGGCGACCGTGGCAGTGAGGTGCTCCCAGGGAGCGTGCGGTCGCTGCAGAGTGCCCTGCTCTGTGGAGGGGATTTGTGGAAAGGCAGTGTGGGAGCCTCCCAAGTCAGTCAGGTCCTTAGACCTCCGGAGTCTCCGGAGGAAAAGGGACCGAGATATCTACCTCTGTGTCTCCAGCACAGCGCTGGGCGCTCAGTAAATACTGGTTTCGAACCCGTCTTCATTAGAATCCAACCTCGGATTGCAGGGCTCCTGCTCTCTGCTTGCCCGTCCCAGCACAGCCTAGTGCATGGTAGGTGTTGGGTTGATTTTGTGGAATACAGTGAGGGGCTGCAGCAGTGAAGCTGAGAGTGGGGGAAGGCGTTTAAGGGCCCCTGCACCTATACTGGCTGTAATTCAGGGTAGAGATCTCGCTTTCATCCCCTCCCCGTGAGGGAAATCCCAGGGGCAGGGTGTGGCACTCACTTCCTTTCAGAAGCTGAATGGGGGGAAGCTTCCTTCTCCAGTCCTTAGGGACAGCGGGGTCACCCACCCCCCACCGCGTGGATAGTGGCCTGTGCAGAATGGGGAGGACAGGGGAGCCCCCAAGTTAGGGGCACCTCTTTGCTCTGAGCTGTGAGCTTTGGGGTGAGGGAGGGTGGGAGAGGAGCTAGGGAGGGTAAGAGTGGAGCTAGGAGAGGTCGCAGGGTTTGGGGGCTGTGGGAATGTGGGTTAGAGGGTGTCTGAGCCCCTCTCTAAAGCCTTTGTCCCTAAGAGGTTATGCACAGGGACACTGGTCAGAGAACAGGGACACATGGGGAGCCACATAAGTCATGCGGGCTGATATGGAGGCCCACAGCAGCGATTCAGGGGTCCTGGTCCGGGAACTCCTTGAGGAGCCAACCCCTCGGAGCTGAGGACTTGTGGCAGCCAGACATGGTCCAGGGCCAGGGGTGGGACACAGGGACCTGTTGAGGGAGAAGGTCCAGCGTCAGCCCAGGGTACGGAGTTGGCTGGGGGTCCCCGGAGTCATCTTAGCCCTCAGGAAGTCCTGGGGAAAGGTGGCGGTGCTGCCAGGCTGGATTCTTTTGCTCGACTTGGAATTGGCTGGTGGGTCCTGGCAGAGCCGGTCACCCTGAGCCTGAGGAGCTGGTTTGAGGGGTTGGGGCAAAGCCGTGGGGGCGGAGGGGTGTGTGGGGCTCTGGGGTGTGGTCACCACCTTCTTTAGAACTTGGGAACTGCCTGGAGACAGACAGAGAGACAGACCGGGAGAGCTAGTCCTACTCCTTATGGGAACAGTGTGGCTCTCTCCCCCACCATTCCCGAGGCCCCAAAGTTTCTCTCCCCGGAGCTGGGCTGGCACCGTGCTGTGCACGCTTAGGTTTGAGGAAGGGTGATGGCCGCTGGGGAGGATTTAGAATGTGCTGCTTGGGCGGTGGCAGTGGCAGGGATGGAGGGCCTTCTGACTTCTCTTCGTCCCCCATCGATTCATCCAGGCTGGCATTTCCCTGGGCTCAGGCCATCCGGTGGGACTCCCAAGGCTTCCTGAGCACGAGCAATTTCCAGCGTTCCTGGGTGTGCCCGAGGGAGTGTGGGGGGCACGTGGGTGGGCCACAAGAGGATTCCGAAGGAATGAAGCCCCTTTTCCTCCCTGCTGGCCTCAGTTCCCACCAGGGCTGTGGCTGAGCTGTCGCTGGCAGTCTTAGGTAGGTCACTGATAGCATTGCAGGTGTCGTCCCACTGTGGCTTTAGGTCCTTGTGACCACCATGTCACAGCTTGTCTCTGAGTGAGATGTGTGTCATTGCCTGTGAGAGAGTATCCCACTGGTTGTGAATGAAGGTCTTCCCCTTGTGGCGTGCCTGGATGTGTCACCTCTGCCTGCGTTGTCATCGGGCTTGGAGGCAGAGGATGGCAGTGGCATTCTGCTCTGGTGGTGGAGGTTTCCTGCGGGCCCGTAGGGGTTGTAGGTAAGGACTGAAGTGAGTTTCTCGGTCCTGGACATGTCCGCACGCGCAGTTTGTGTCCAGAAGCCTTTGGGAGGTTGAGGACAGCCTTGGGGGTGCAGGCCCCAGCTGAGCAGGCTAAGCAAGGCACTGCACACGGCCTGTCAGGGAGGGGCATCCTGCCCGGTCCCCCGGGGGCTGGAGCGGAGGTTCTGGGGGAAGGGGAAGTGCCTGGAGCTGATCCCGTCTACAGCTACGTGTCCTGGCGGGGCTCGGGGGTAGCTCTTCAGCGACAGAGCCGGAGCGGCCTGGCCCCACGCCCCTGCAGTAGCGTGGTCCGACCGCTGGGGGGAGAGCAAGCAGCGCCCTCCCCAGATCCCGGCCTTGGGTGGGGCAGACAGGCAGCTTCCAAACTGTAATCTACCCCACAGGGCAAGACCAAGCGTTCTGCTCCACCCCCTCTCCTATAGGACGCCACCCTCAGAGTTGGTGTCTTAATCCCAGTGGTTCTGGGTAAAGGCCCACTCTTCCCTGCTTCTGTGTCCAGGTGTGGGGACTCCCCACTGGATCATAGGCTGTCCCCAGCCCCCTTTCACAAGGATTGCAGAGTCCCTCCTGGCCAGGGAGGGAAGAGGGAATCTCCCTCGCTGCTGGAAGTGAGAGCTTGGAGCTTCAGGGCTTCCAAGCTCACTGTAGCATGGGATGGGGCTGTGCGTGGCTGGGGTAGAGAGAGATGGAGAAAGGCGTCACAGCAGAGTCAGAAAGCAACCAGCTGGCTGAGGTTGGGGTGTAAGGGCTGCCCTGGAAGTCAGCATGATGTGAGGGGCCAGGGGAAGGGGGTGATGGGGAGGGGAGGGCTGGAATGACAAGGATGGAAAAACTTCCTCCTGGTGGGAGTTGTGGCTGGGCTGGCGCCTCCCTCTCCTAAGGGCAGGGAGCAGGGAGGAGGCCAGGCAGGTGCACACACACAAGGGGAGGTGCAGGCTCAAGGGACACAGGTGCCAGGTAAACAGGCATAGGGACCTGCAGGACAACTGTCTATTGTGAGCCGGTGAAGGCTGGCTGGGGCTGCAGGCTGCCCTGGGCTGTGTAGAGTGGAGAATGGGGCTGAGGGTCTCCGTGTACTAATGGTGTGTATGTGTGTGTGTGTGCTTGTGTGCCTTTCTTTGAAGGTGCCCAAGTTGCATGTGTTTTGCAACATGTTCATCTAATTCTTCCTGGTAATTCCACCTCCCTAACCTGCCCCTCCTCCCTGCACACTGCCCAGAATCAGCTAGGTGGGTTTGTAAAAGTTGTTAATGCCAGCTTAGACTCTGAGATGTCTGCGCACTTCTGCTCCGGTTAGAATGTGGCATAATGTTTTTTCCTAAACAAGCCTGGCAGCTGCATCCTCGGGGGTCCATTCAGAGGGCCAGGCCCTGGAAGGGATGTCACCCTTGTTCCTTTGGAACAAGGGCCTTGGGGGTCAGAGACTCCTGGGCTTGCATTTCAACTCTGTCTCACACTTGGGCAAGTCATCTTATCTCTTGGGCCTGCTTTCACTTCTCTGAAATAAGGATATTAATTCTTTTGACATAGCATCATCATTTGGGAGTTGAATGAGACCCCAGGCATGGGATGTTGCCAACACAGTCCCTGGCACATCAGAGCGCTCTGCAGAATTCTCTTTCTACTTGTGTGTGGGGTTTTTTTTTCTTTCAACATGGAACTTTCTGTTCCTCTTTGCCTCCTGTTGAGTGTTTATGAGAGCAGACCATACTGTCTTCTGGGTGTGTCTCTCTGAATAGCCTCCCTCTCCTCCTGGTTCCGAATGTTGGGGGCTTCCCCTCTGGTAGGGGTCTCTAACTCTGGGCATGAGTCATTTTGTTCCTGGGATGAGGACTGCTTCTCTTTGGCCTTGTGTGTGTGGTGGGTCGATTGGCCTATGTGCGTGCTGCCATGCTGGGCGGAAGTTTCACTGTGGCCGGTACCCTCCCTACCACGGATGGGGTGATTTTCTTCCCCTCGGAGGGTTGCCTCCTGTGTCCCGCCTGTGCTGGGTGGATGCACAGTCATGGGCCCCTGTGGTGTGTATCTTGTCCTCAGGTTTGGTGCATTTGGGCACTGAGGCCTGTGGCCTGTCTCTGGGGGAGTGTGTGTTTCAATTCCTGTCATCTCCACACTGACGCTGGCTGCAGGGCTGTCTCTAGCTGCTGCAGCAGTTGGCCCGGTTTCCATCCTGGCTGTCTTTATACTGGCTCCTCCGGGGAAGGGGCACTGTTCTCCGAGGGCAGTGGAGGAAGGAGGCTCCTCTGGAGGTCACCCCTGGCAGAGGCCATCTGCTGGGGTCAAGAATCTGCTTCCTGGAGTTCTGCGTCTACTTGGCGTTGTCCCCAGTTGCAGGGTATGGGCAGAGCCCTGCTGCTCGGCACATCCTCTTTGCAGTTTTGAAGTGACAGGATGGGCTGTTCTCTTGCTGCTTCTGGCCTGAATTACAGTCTGTCCCGCAGCGTCAGGCATACGTGCTCTCACCTTTGCAGCTGGAGCGGCCTCGCCATCTCATTCTTTTCTGCCCTCCAAGCAGTCTTCTGCCTTAGGGGGTCTCCACTCTGGCCCTGCTCCTTCTTTTTTTATTTAAAAAAAATACATTTTTATTTTTTATAGAGATAGGGTTTTGCCATGTTGCCCAGGCTGGTCTCAAACTCCTGGGTTCAAGCGATCAGTGTGTCTTGGCCTCCCAAAGTTCTGGGATTACAGGCATGAGCCACCACGCCTAGCTCTGTCCCGCTTCTTGCTATCACGAGGGAGGCTGTTGGGTGGACCACCGGGCTGTGTGCTAGCAGGCTCTGGGACTAGGGTCCCAGCACACTCCCATTCTCTCACCTCTCTGGACCTTACTTTCTCCATCCTTAAGTAACAGGCAGTGCCATCCCATAAAACTCTCGGCAGTGGGGGAAGTGTTCTGTGTCCACGCTAATATAGTAGCCAGTAGCTACATGTGGCTGTTGAGCTCTTGAAATGTGGCTAGTGCAGCCAAAGCTAAAATTTTAATTTAACTGAATTTTAATTGATTAAGTTTAAATAGCCACATGTGGCTGCTGCGTTGGGTGGCACAACTCTAGGTCTCTCCTAGCTCTGAAGGCTTATGGCACTTGGCTGAATCGTGCAGAATTCCCCAAAGCTCCAAAGACCTTCTTTTGGCTAGCAACAGGGCAGAGCCCTCAGCCTCCAGGGAAAGCCTGACTTAACCTAACTTGTGTGGGAGGAGAAGAAAGGACCACTTGGGCTTGATACAGGCTCCAGAGGTGGAGGAGAGACTGAGGGCTGGGACCCAAATGCAGAGAATGGGAAACCTGGCTACACAGTATCCCACGCCCCTCCTTCAGTATTCCCTTCAGTATTTCCATGCCCTTCCGCGGAACTGAATGGCCCAGGTCAGATGAGAGGGGAGTCCTTCCAGGCTGTGCCAGGACAGCAGGGCCACAGCCAGAGCAGGCAGGGTGGTTGGCAGCCCCACCTGGCCGGGAAGCCACTGGGTGCCCTGCCAGGGCCAACCTGCAGCTTCGGGTCCAATGGCTCCCGTCCTCACGGGCTATTGGATCGGTGTCTACTTAGGATGGTTTCTCCCCTCCTCAGGAACCACGTAGGTTGCATCTGTCCTGGGCCTCAAAAGGGACTTCTGCCCTGGGACTCTGCCTGAGGCCCTGGCAGGGAAGCCAACTGCCTGTCTGCAGGGCAGCCCTGGTTCCTCTGGCACCTGGGGGTCTGGCCCAGGAGGCACTTTGTCCTTGGGGTTTTAGGCTCAACCCTTTGCAGGTCTGGAGCTGTTGCAGCCAGCTGCAGTGACTCACTGGGGCGGGAGGGTGGGGCCGAGGTGTGGGCGAGGGTGAGCTGGCCCAGCTAGCTCTTTCCCCCTCGCTGGCTGCTGGCACAGCACCAGGATGCTGGGGTGAGCAAAGGGGCCCTGCTCCAGGAGGAGGACAGGGGTGTCTGGGCGATCTGAAGGAGTGGCTTCAGTTCTGTCTGAGAGATGAAGTCTGGAATCTGTTTTCCTTCCCTGCCTCTGCCTGGCTGCTTTTCTGCAGGGCTGGCTCCTGAGCACTGGACAGTGGGAGAGAATGTGCCATTTAAGCCCCAGCTTTGCTGTTTCTTGCTGGGAAGGGTCAGAGTGATTTCCTGTCGCAGCCTTCTCTGCAGCCGGAAGGGAGGAGGTGTTTTCGCCAGTTTGCACCTGAGCCCAGAGGCTCAGAGTCTTTGCTCACCTTGTAGCCAGCACCTGTGTTGACAAGGAGACACATTGTCCACACCGCGTTGTCAAACAGGAGGATGGCTGTCGGGGGCTGGGGTCTGTGTTTCTCTTTCATCCGTGTTGTGATCTGCCTGAGATAGGAACTGCTAAGTGCCCACGAATTCCCAAGAGACATAGTCTCATCCTCAGAGGTCACCTGTAGCACCTTCAAGACCCCA
Source organism: Homo sapiens (assembly GCF_000001405.40). NCBI lineage: Eukaryota > Metazoa > Chordata > Mammalia > Primates > Hominidae > Homo > Homo sapiens. Next base: position 62,538,839 of record NC_000011.10, on the reverse strand, counting down.
TGTATATTTCATTTCCCCTAGAAGGCTCCCAAGCCTTCTGGAATATTCTGCGGCAAAATCGGTCACAGCTAGTGCACTTTGCTCATCATATGTATCTGTGACAGGAACTGAGTCTTAAATCTCCCTGTCTGGCACATGGGTGCGTGAGTGATGTGAGGTCACCGTCTAACGCAGCGTGTAATTAGGTGCTGGGCCCAGCTGTGTCCATCCCTGGCTGGTTCCGTCTGTAGTGCAAAGTATAGTGTTGGGCATATGGAGGCAGCCGGTATACATGCATTGATTGACTGTTGATACTTTCCGGATGTAAACGGCTGTAGGCGGGGCTTTGGCTTAGGTTCCCCATGACTTATAGTGTCCCCCACACCATTTCAATTGGTGGCTGCTGCCGCCATTTTGTGCTGTGGCTGTAGTCCGTGGCCCTATGCAGAGTCCTGCCTGGTGTCTTTCTAGGGCACCTGCAGATGACAGCTCACCTTGTGGCTGGAGGGCGAATTTATTACTAAATGCTTGCACCTATAAGGGCCTGGCTCAGGGCCTGGTGTGGCAGCCGGGAGGCCTGAACTCACTGTGGGCCAAGGTGGGCTCAGCTGGGCTCTAACCTCTGGGGCTTGGGCGGTGCCTGGTGGGGCCGGGGCCTCCTTTGTTCAGGCAGCTGCCTGTGGCAGGGCTCCCAGAGCTGCCAGCTGGTGAGGCACCCCCCTGGTCCTGGGTACTGGGTGAGACTGGGTGGCCCAAGTCTCTGTCTCTGAGGGAGGTGGAACACTGACATTCCTGCTTGGAGGCAGACTCTGAGGAGGCTCCCACCTGTTACAAGCAGCAGACCTGGGGTGGAGTAGGCAAAAGACTTACAGACTCGGTCGGCCGGGTGCGGTGGTCACGCCCGTAATCCCAGCACTTTGGGAGGCCAAGGCGGGTGGATCACAGGGTCAGGAGTTCAAGACAAGCCTGGCTAAGATGGTGAAACCCCATCTCTACTAAAAATACAAAAAATTAGCCGGGCATGGTGGCGGGCGCCTGTAATCCCAGCTACTCGGGAGGCTGAGGCAGGAGAATTGCTTGAACCTGGGAGGGGGAGGTTGCAGTGAGCTGAGATCGTGCCATTGCACACCAGCCTGGGCTACAAAGTGAGATTCCGTCTCAAAAAAAAAAAAAAGGAGTTACAGACTCGGGTCCAAGCCCAGCATAGTTGTGCTCTCATGTGTACCCCGGGTAAGCTGTTCTCTCAGAGACTCAGTCTCTGTCTGTGAAATTGGCACAGTAACATCTCCCTCTTGAAGCTGTGGTTGAGAATGTGGGTAGATGCTGGGCGTGGTGGCTCCTGCTTATAGTCCCAGCACTTTGGGATTGTTTGAGCCCAGGAGTTCCGGACCAGCCTGGGCAACATGGCAAAACCCCATCTCTCCAAAAATACAAAAATTAGCCAGTTGTGGAGGCACGTGGCTGTGGTCCGAGCTACTTGGGTGGGTGAGGCAGGAGGATCACTTGAGCCCAGGAGGTCGAGGCTGCAGTGAGTCGTGATTGCGCCCCTGCACTCCAGCCTGTGTGACAGAGCCAGACCCTGTCTCAAAAAAATAAAAAGAGGCCAGGTGCGGTGGCTCACGCCTGTAATCCCAGCACTTTGGGAGGCCGAGGCGGGCGGATCATGCGGTCAGGAGATCGAGATCATCCTGGCTAACACAGTGAAACCCCATCTCTACTAAAAATACAAAAAATTAGCCGGGTGTGGTGCATGGTGGCGGGCGCCTGTAGTCCCAGCTACTCGGGAGGCTGAGGCAGGAGACTGGCGTGAACCCGGGAGGTGGAGCTTGCAGCGAGCCGAGATCCGCTATTGCACTCCAGCCTGGGCAACAGAACGAGACTCTGTCTCAAAAAAAAAAAAATAAATAAAATAAATAAAATACATAAATAAAAAGAATGTGGCAAGAGTGTGCATGTGAAGCGGCTCCTGCCGGCCAGTGCTCTATTTTTTCTCCTTTATTGCCTCCATTTTCACAGATGAGGAAATGGAGGTTCAGAAAACTGAAGTGTCTTGGCCAGGGTCCCACAGCTAGAAGGAGGCAGAGCCAGGATCTGACTGCAAGTCTGGCTCCTCTGAAGCCCCTTTCTGCTATGCCGGGCTGGAGAGTCATGGACGAGTGGAATTGACGGCGGTGGTGGGGGTCGGGTTCTGAGCTGGCCTGGGTAGCAGAGGACCTGGCTATCCCTTGGGTAGAGACTTGGAGCAAGCAGACTGCCGACCGGAGTGCGAGCATCATCGTGAACTTTTCCCTAGGTTGTGACCGAGATTCCCGACGAGAGAGACTGAGGGGAAGAGAGGAAGGAGGGGCGGGCTCCTGGCAAGGCATTCGCTCCTGAGCGGAATCCTGCAAAGGTCAGTAGGTGGGAGAGGCAGAGAGAGGCGGAGGTGACGGGATGTGGGGAGGGTGGGCCCTGTGTGGATGGGAGGCTGGGGCCGTGGGGGACAGGGATGAAGGGCCAGCTACCTCCGGGTCCAGTTGCCTCTGCTGTCTCCTTTCCATCTTCTTTGCTGTGCCTTGGGAGAACTTCCACAGTGGAAGGACGTGAGACGAATTACCCCACCCCCAACACCTCACCTGGCAGGTGAGCCAGCTGCAGGGGCAGGTGCATTGCTGAGGGCCCCACTCCCTGGAGTTCACAGCGCCAGAGATTGCTAGCTTTCCCATGCCCTCATGTCCTCCCACCCCCACTGACCCCAGTTCCATTTCCTCACCTCATTCCAGATGGAGAAGGAGGAGACAACCCGGGAGCTGCTGCTGCCCAACTGGCAGGGTAGTGGCTCCCACGGGCTGACCATCGCCCAGAGGGACGACGGCGTCTTTGTGCAGGAGGTGACGCAGAACTCCCCTGCGGCCCGCACTGGGGTGGTCAAGGAGGGTGAGTCACCCCAGGGTGTGGACTGGGTGCTGGTGGTTGGGGGGTCGGTGGGGGTGTTGGAGGGAAGGGCAGGGAGCAGGCAGAAGTGGGTGAGTGGCTGTCGAGGGCCCATTCCCAGTGGCATCAGGGTGGTTGGTACCCAAGCCCTGCCCTCCCTTGGCCACTCTGTGTCTGTCACTTGTGGTCCTCAGGGGAGGCAGCTGTGTGGGGTAGTGGACACCTGGTCCTCAGATCTGACTCCACCACCCACTAGCTCTGCAGATTTGGGCAAATGAGTTGGCCTTTTTTTTTTTTTTTAGATGGAGTTTTGTTCTTGTTGCCCAGGCTGGAGTGCAATGGCGCTATCTCAGCTCACTGCAACCTCCGCCTCCTGGGTTCAAGCGATTCTTATGCCTCAGCTTCCAGGGTAGCTGGGATTACAGGCATGCACCACCACACCAGACTAATTTTGCATTTTTAGTAGAGACGGGGTTTTTCTATGTTGGTCAGGCTGGTCTCGAACTCCTGACCTCAGGCGATCCACCTGCCTCGGTCTCCCAAAGTGCTGAGATTACAGGTGTGAGCCACTGCACCTGGCCCCCACAAATTGGCCTTTCTAAGCCTCAGTTTCCGTGTCTGTACAATGGGTATTACCATGCCCACCTTGCAGGGTGGTCATGAGTTCAAGTCAGTTCAGTGCCCAGTGTGTGGTGGCTGTGTGCGGTTTCCCTGAGGCTCTTTGGGCCTTACCTGCTTCCTGCTCTTCCCTGCTCAGGGGACCAGATTGTGGGTGCCACCATCTACTTTGACAACCTGCAGTCGGGTGAGGTGACCCAGCTGCTGAACACCATGGGGCACCACACGGTGGGCCTGAAGCTGCACCGCAAGGGGGACCGCTCTCCCGAGCCTGGCCAGACCTGGACCCGTGAAGTCTTCAGCTCCTGCAGCTCTGAAGTGGTTCTGGTGAGTACCTCGCCGGCCCATCTGTGCCCTGAGCTCCCCCGGCCATGCCGGCCTGCTGACCCCACTCCTGAGCCTTCCATGTGCCTCCGGACCCTCTCTTTTTGCTCCTTCTTCTCCTCTCACCTGTCTTCACTCTCTTGAGCCCTTGGCCACCCTGTTTCTTTCCGCTTTCGTGTGACATGTGGCTGTGCTCCCTCTAAATGTCTTCAATCAGTCTCTTCAGAGCGGCCACAGTATGGGAACTGACTTGTGCAGCCCGGCCCTAGATGCTAGGAGGAAGGTCAGCTGCTTTGCAAGAATCTTTGAAATGACTTCACAGGTGCCCAGCTCCACCTCACAGACACCATTTTTCTCTCTGCAGAGGCCTGATACATTCTGTGGGTCAGACGCTGGGCAGCAAAGTGCCTGTGGGGACATTGGTCCTTCTGATGGCTTGTTTATTTAACAAATAATGGGTCCTCAAAGTGAGACTGTTAACCCAAGCACAACCAGTCTCTTAGGCTCAACGAGTGCTTTCAGGGTCCAAGGGCCTCTGAGAAGATTCCCCTCCTGATTAAACAAACAAGCCAGTGGCTTGAGAGTTGGGAGCTGAAGGGCCTGGTCTCTTGGGAGGTGTCCCTGGCACAGGCTGATTTGAATCTCTAACTGAATGGAAATCCTCCCAGTCCAAGAGTATACCTCCCACTCCCTCCCCACGGTTTTTGCTTAGCGGTATGACCTCCAGAGAATTTCTGATTTCCTCCTGTGATGTGGCTGTCAGCCCCTTTCTTCACTCCCCTGTGCTGTGCCCCAGGAGGCTCCATGGACCTCTGTTTTGGTCCCAGCTTCTCTGGGAAACAGGCAACGTGTTGTCGGCTGGGCTGTGGCCGGGCATCTGCTAACTCAGGCAGACTCTGCTGCAACCTCTGCCCGGCGTGTCTTTCTGCAGAGCGGGGATGATGAGGAGTACCAGCGCATCTACACCACGAAGATCAAGCCACGGCTGAAGTCGGAAGATGGAGTGGAAGGAGACCTCGGGGAGACCCAGAGCCGTACCATCACAGTGACCAGAAGGGTCACGGCCTACACTGTGGATGTGACTGGCCGGGAAGGAGCCAAGGACATAGACATCAGTAGCCCTGAATTCAAGATCAAGATTCCAAGACATGAACTGACTGAAATCTCCAATGTGGATGTGGAGACCCAGTCTGGGAAGACCGTGATCAGACTGCCCTCGGGCTCGGGGGCAGCCTCTCCGACAGGCTCTGCTGTGGATATCCGAGCAGGGGCCATTTCTGCTTCAGGACCAGAGCTCCAAGGTGCTGGCCACTCGAAGCTCCAGGTCACCATGCCTGGGATAAAGGTGGGAGGCTCAGGTGTCAATGTCAATGCAAAGGGCTTGGACTTGGGTGGCAGAGGAGGGGTCCAAGTTCCAGCAGTGGACATTTCATCTTCTCTTGGGGGTAGGGCAGTAGAGGTACAGGGCCCATCTCTGGAGAGTGGTGATCATGGCAAAATTAAATTTCCCACCATGAAAGTGCCGAAATTTGGTGTCTCAACAGGGCGTGAGGGCCAGACACCAAAGGCAGGGCTGAGGGTTTCTGCACCTGAAGTCTCTGTGGGGCACAAGGGCGGCAAGCCAGGCTTGACTATCCAAGCCCCTCAGCTGGAAGTCAGTGTGCCCTCTGCCAATATTGAGGGCCTTGAGGGGAAGCTGAAGGGCCCCCAAATCACTGGGCCATCACTTGAGGGTGACCTAGGCCTGAAAGGTGCCAAGCCACAGGGGCACATTGGGGTGGATGCCTCTGCTCCCCAAATTGGGGGTAGCATCACTGGCCCCAGTGTGGAAGTTCAGGCCCCTGACATTGATGTTCAGGGGCCTGGGAGCAAACTGAATGTGCCCAAGATGAAAGTCCCCAAGTTCTCTGTATCAGGTGCAAAGGGAGAGGAAACTGGGATTGATGTGACACTGCCTACAGGTGAAGTGACTGTTCCTGGGGTCTCTGGGGATGTCAGCCTGCCTGAGATTGCTACTGGTGGGCTGGAAGGAAAGATGAAAGGTACTAAAGTGAAGACTCCTGAAATGATTATTCAGAAACCTAAAATCTCCATGCAGGATGTGGATCTGAGCCTTGGGTCTCCTAAACTGAAAGGAGATATTAAGGTTTCTGCTCCTGGGGTGCAAGGTGATGTTAAAGGCCCTCAAGTGGCACTTAAAGGCTCCAGAGTGGACATAGAGACACCAAACCTAGAGGGAACCTTGACAGGCCCTAGGCTTGGCAGTCCTTCCGGGAAAACCGGAACCTGTAGGATCTCTATGTCAGAAGTAGACTTAAATGTGGCCGCACCTAAAGTGAAAGGGGGTGTAGATGTCACACTCCCCAGAGTAGAAGGGAAAGTCAAAGTCCCTGAAGTTGATGTCAGAGGCCCCAAAGTGGATGTCAGTGCCCCAGATGTCGAAGCGCATGGCCCAGAATGGAACCTGAAAATGCCCAAGATGAAAATGCCCACGTTCAGCACTCCAGGAGCCAAAGGGGAAGGTCCAGATGTTCATATGACTCTACCCAAAGGAGATATCAGTATTTCAGGGCCCAAGGTCAATGTGGAAGCCCCAGATGTCAACTTGGAGGGTCTGGGGGGAAAACTTAAAGGCCCCGATGTTAAGCTGCCTGATATGAGTGTCAAGACACCAAAGATCTCCATGCCTGATGTAGATTTGCACGTGAAAGGTACAAAGGTGAAGGGAGAGTATGATGTAACTGTACCAAAGCTGGAAGGAGAACTCAAAGGCCCAAAAGTGGACATTGATGCCCCAGATGTGGATGTTCATGGCCCAGACTGGCACTTGAAGATGCCCAAGATGAAAATGCCCAAATTCAGTGTGCCAGGGTTCAAAGCAGAGGGCCCAGAAGTGGATGTGAACCTGCCCAAGGCTGATGTGGACATTTCCGGGCCCAAGATAGATGTTACTGCTCCTGATGTGAGCATTGAGGAACCAGAAGGGAAATTGAAAGGGCCCAAGTTTAAGATGCCTGAGATGAACATCAAAGTCCCCAAGATCTCCATGCCTGATGTGGACTTACATCTGAAAGGCCCTAACGTAAAGGGAGAATATGATGTCACAATGCCAAAGGTTGAAAGTGAGATTAAAGTTCCTGATGTTGAACTTAAAAGTGCCAAAATGGACATTGATGTCCCAGATGTGGAGGTTCAAGGCCCAGACTGGCACCTGAAGATGCCCAAGATGAAAATGCCCAAGTTCAGCATGCCTGGCTTCAAAGCAGAGGGCCCAGAAGTGGATGTGAACCTGCCCAAGGCTGATGTGGACATCTCAGGACCCAAGGTGGGTGTTGAAGTTCCAGATGTGAATATTGAAGGACCTGAAGGAAAGCTGAAGGGCCCCAAGTTCAAGATGCCAGAGATGAATATCAAGGCCCCCAAGATCTCCATGCCTGATGTGGACTTGCATATGAAAGGTCCTAAAGTAAAGGGAGAATATGATATGACAGTGCCAAAGCTGGAAGGGGACCTGAAAGGCCCAAAAGTAGATGTCAGTGCCCCAGATGTTGAAATGCAGGGTCCTGACTGGAACTTGAAGATGCCAAAGATTAAAATGCCCAAATTTAGCATGCCCAGCCTCAAAGGAGAGGGGCCAGAATTTGATGTGAACCTGTCCAAAGCGAATGTGGACATTTCTGCACCAAAAGTAGATACTAATGCTCCAGATCTGAGCCTTGAAGGACCTGAAGGGAAGTTGAAAGGCCCGAAGTTTAAGATGCCTGAGATGCACTTCAGAGCTCCTAAGATGTCTTTGCCAGATGTTGACCTGGATCTTAAAGGACCCAAAATGAAAGGAAATGTAGATATCTCTGCACCAAAGATAGAGGGTGAAATGCAGGTTCCAGATGTGGACATCAGAGGTCCCAAGGTAGATATTAAAGCACCAGATGTGGAAGGCCAAGGCCTGGACTGGAGCCTGAAAATACCCAAGATGAAAATGCCCAAGTTCAGCATGCCCAGCCTCAAAGGCGAGGGCCCAGAAGTGGATGTGAACTTGCCTAAGGCTGACGTTGTTGTCTCAGGACCCAAGGTGGACATCGAAGCCCCAGATGTGAGCCTCGAAGGTCCAGAAGGGAAGCTGAAGGGTCCCAAGTTTAAGATGCCTGAGATGCATTTCAAGACCCCCAAGATCTCCATGCCTGATGTGGACTTACACTTGAAAGGCCCCAAAGTCAAAGGGGATGTGGATGTGTCTGTGCCCAAGGTAGAAGGTGAAATGAAAGTGCCAGATGTTGAAATCAAAGGACCCAAAATGGACATTGATGCCCCAGATGTGGAGGTTCAAGGCCCAGACTGGCACCTGAAGATGCCCAAGATGAAAATGCCCAAGTTTAGCATGCCTGGCTTCAAAGGAGAGGGCCGAGAAGTGGATGTGAACCTGCCCAAGGCTGACATTGATGTCTCAGGACCCAAGGTGGATGTTGAAGTCCCAGATGTGAGCCTTGAGGGCCCGGAAGGAAAGCTGAAGGGCCCCAAGTTTAAGATGCCTGAGATGCACTTCAAGGCCCCCAAGATCTCCATGCCTGATGTGGACCTGAATCTTAAGGGGCCAAAATTGAAGGGAGATGTGGATGTGTCCTTGCCTGAGGTAGAAGGTGAAATGAAAGTGCCAGATGTTGACATTAAAGGGCCCAAAGTTGACATTAGTGCTCCAGATGTGGATGTTCATGGCCCAGATTGGCACCTGAAGATGCCCAAGGTGAAAATGCCCAAGTTCAGCATGCCCGGCTTCAAAGGAGAGGGCCCTGAAGTGGATGTGAAGCTGCCCAAAGCTGACGTTGATGTCTCAGGACCCAAAATGGATGCTGAAGTTCCAGATGTGAATATTGAAGGTCCAGACGCAAAACTAAAAGGTCCCAAATTCAAGATGCCAGAAATGAGTATAAAGCCTCAGAAGATATCCATACCAGATGTTGGTTTGCATTTGAAAGGTCCTAAAATGAAAGGAGATTATGATGTAACAGTTCCAAAAGTAGAAGGAGAGATAAAAGCTCCTGATGTTGACATCAAAGGCCCCAAAGTTGATATTAATGCACCAGATGTGGAGGTTCATGGCCCAGACTGGCACCTGAAGATGCCCAAGGTAAAAATGCCCAAGTTCAGCATGCCTGGCTTTAAAGGAGAGGGCCCAGAGGTGGATATGAACCTGCCCAAGGCTGACCTTGGTGTTTCAGGACCCAAGGTGGACATTGATGTTCCAGATGTGAATCTTGAAGCTCCAGAGGGGAAACTAAAAGGCCCTAAGTTCAAGATGCCAAGCATGAATATACAGACGCACAAAATCTCTATGCCTGATGTTGGACTTAATTTGAAAGCCCCTAAACTGAAAACTGATGTAGATGTTTCCCTTCCCAAAGTGGAAGGAGACTTGAAGGGTCCTGAAATTGATGTGAAAGCCCCTAAGATGGATGTGAATGTTGGTGATATTGATATTGAAGGTCCAGAAGGGAAGTTGAAGGGCCCCAAGTTTAAGATGCCTGAGATGCATTTCAAGGCCCCCAAGATCTCCATGCCCGATGTGGACTTACACTTGAAAGGCCCCAAAGTCAAAGGGGATATGGATGTGTCTGTGCCCAAGGTAGAAGGTGAAATGAAAGTGCCAGATGTTGACATTAAAGGGCCCAAAGTGGACATTGATGCCCCAGATGTGGAGGTTCACGACCCAGATTGGCACCTGAAAATGCCCAAGATGAAAATGCCCAAGTTCAGTATGCCTGGCTTCAAAGCAGAGGGCCCTGAAGTGGATGTGAATCTGCCAAAGGCTGACATTGATGTGTCTGGACCCAGTGTGGACACTGATGCTCCTGATTTGGATATTGAGGGACCAGAAGGAAAGTTGAAAGGCTCCAAATTTAAGATGCCCAAGTTGAATATAAAAGCTCCCAAGGTCTCCATGCCAGATGTGGACTTGAATTTGAAGGGACCCAAACTGAAGGGAGAGATAGATGCTTCTGTGCCAGAACTGGAAGGTGATCTCAGAGGGCCGCAAGTTGATGTCAAAGGTCCTTTTGTGGAAGCGGAGGTGCCCGATGTTGATCTGGAGTGTCCTGATGCAAAGTTGAAAGGGCCCAAGTTTAAGATGCCTGAGATGCACTTCAAGGCCCCCAAGATCTCCATGCCTGATGTGGACTTACACCTGAAAGGCCCCAAAGTCAAAGGGGATGCGGATGTGTCGGTGCCAAAATTGGAGGGAGATTTAACAGGCCCCAGTGTGGGTGTGGAGGTGCCTGATGTTGAGCTGGAGTGTCCTGATGCAAAGTTGAAAGGCCCTAAATTTAAGATGCCAGACATGCACTTCAAGGCCCCCAAGATCTCCATGCCTGATGTGGACTTACACTTGAAAGGCCCCAAAGTCAAAGGGGATGTGGATGTGTCGGTGCCAAAATTGGAGGGAGATTTAACAGGTCCCAGTGTGGGTGTGGAGGTGCCTGATGTTGAGCTGGAGTGTCCTGATGCAAAGTTGAAAGGGCCCAAGTTTAAGATGCCTGAGATGCACTTCAAGACCCCCAAGATCTCCATGCCTGATGTGGACTTACACCTGAAAGGCCCCAAAGTCAAAGGGGATATGGATGTGTCTGTGCCCAAGGTAGAAGGTGAAATGAAAGTGCCAGATGTTGACATCAAAGGACCCAAAATGGACATTGATGCCCCAGATGTGGATGTTCATGGCCCAGACTGGCACCTGAAGATGCCCAAGATGAAAATGCCCAAGTTCAGCATGCCTGGCTTCAAAGCAGAGGGCCCAGAAGTGGATGTGAACTTGCCCAAGGCTGATGTTGTTGTCTCAGGACCCAAGGTGGATGTTGAAGTCCCAGATGTGAGCCTTGAAGGTCCAGAAGGGAAGCTGAAGGGCCCCAAGCTTAAGATGCCTGAGATGCACTTCAAGGCCCCCAAGATCTCCATGCCTGATGTGGACTTACACTTGAAAGGCCCCAAAGTCAAAGGGGATGTGGATGTGTCTTTGCCAAAATTGGAGGGAGATTTAACAGGCCCCAGTGTGGATGTGGAGGTGCCTGATGTTGAGCTGGAGTGTCCTGATGCAAAGTTGAAAGGGCCCAAGTTTAAGATGCCTGAGATGCACTTCAAGACCCCCAAGATCTCCATGCCTGATGTGAACTTAAACTTGAAAGGCCCCAAAGTCAAAGGGGATATGGATGTGTCTGTTCCCAAGGTAGAAGGTGAAATGAAAGTGCCAGATGTTGACATCAGAGGGCCCAAAGTGGACATTGATGCCCCAGATGTGGATGTTCATGGCCCAGACTGGCACCTGAAGATGCCTAAGATGAAAATGCCCAAGTTCAGCATGCCTGGCTTCAAAGGAGAGGGCCCAGAAGTGGATGTGAACTTGCCCAAGGCTGACGTTGATGTCTCAGGACCCAAGGTGGATGTTGAAGTCCCAGATGTGAGCCTTGAAGGTCCAGAAGGGAAGCTGAAGGGCCCCAAGTTTAAGATGCCTGAGATGCACTTCAAGACCCCCAAGATCTCCATGCCTGATGTTGATTTCAATTTAAAGGGACCCAAAATCAAAGGAGATGTTGATGTTTCTGCCCCAAAGCTGGAGGGAGAGTTAAAAGGTCCAGAATTGGATGTCAAAGGTCCCAAATTAGATGCTGACATGCCAGAAGTAGCTGTGGAAGGCCCAAATGGCAAGTGGAAAACTCCTAAGTTCAAGATGCCAGATATGCACTTTAAAGCTCCCAAAATCTCTATGCCAGACCTCGATCTACACTTGAAGAGCCCCAAGGCAAAAGGAGAGGTGGATGTAGATGTTCCCAAATTGGAAGGGGACCTTAAAGGGCCACATGTGGATGTCAGTGGGCCAGACATTGACATTGAGGGACCAGAGGGCAAATTGAAAGGCCCTAAGTTCAAGATGCCTGATATGCATTTCAAAGCCCCCAATATTTCTATGCCTGATGTTGATCTAAATCTCAAAGGACCCAAAATCAAGGGGGATGTGGATGTGTCTGTGCCTGAGGTAGAAGGTAAACTTGAAGTACCAGATATGAACATCAGGGGCCCCAAAGTTGATGTAAATGCCCCCGATGTCCAAGCTCCAGACTGGCACCTGAAGATGCCCAAGATGAAAATGCCCAAGTTCAGCATGCCTGGCTTCAAAGCAGAGGGCCCTGAAGTAGACGTCAACTTGCCTAAGGCTGACGTTGACATCTCAGGACCCAAGGTGGACATTGAAGGCCCTGATGTTAATATTGAAGGACCAGAGGGAAAGTTGAAAGGGCCTAAGTTAAAGATGCCAGAGATGAACATCAAAGCCCCCAAGATCTCCATGCCTGACTTTGATTTGCATCTGAAAGGTCCCAAGGTGAAGGGCGATGTGGATGTTTCTCTGCCCAAAGTGGAAGGTGACCTCAAGGGCCCCGAAGTTGACATCAAGGGGCCCAAAGTGGATATTAATGCCCCAGATGTGGGTGTTCAAGGCCCAGACTGGCACCTGAAGATGCCCAAGGTGAAAATGCCAAAGTTCAGCATGCCTGGCTTCAAAGGAGAGGGCCCAGATGGGGATGTGAAGCTGCCCAAGGCTGACATTGATGTCTCAGGACCCAAAGTGGACATTGAAGGCCCTGATGTTAACATTGAAGGACCAGAGGGAAAGTTGAAAGGGCCTAAGTTCAAGATGCCAGAGATGAATATCAAAGCCCCCAAGATCTCCATGCCTGATATTGACTTAAACCTGAAAGGACCCAAAGTGAAGGGTGATGTGGATGTTTCCCTTCCTAAAGTGGAAGGTGACCTCAAGGGCCCAGAAGTTGACATCAAGGGCCCAAAAGTGGACATTGACGCACCTGATGTTGATGTTCATGGCCCAGACTGGCACCTAAAGATGCCCAAGATAAAAATGCCCAAGATCAGCATGCCTGGCTTCAAAGGAGAAGGTCCAGATGTGGACGTGAACCTGCCCAAGGCTGACATTGATGTCTCAGGACCGAAAGTGGATGTTGAATGTCCCGATGTGAATATCGAAGGACCTGAAGGAAAGTGGAAAAGTCCAAAGTTTAAGATGCCAGAGATGCATTTTAAGACTCCAAAGATATCCATGCCAGATATTGACCTGAATCTCACAGGTCCAAAAATAAAAGGAGATGTGGATGTTACAGGCCCTAAGGTAGAGGGAGATCTGAAAGGTCCTGAAGTTGACCTCAAAGGCCCCAAAGTGGACATTGATGTCCCAGATGTTAATGTTCAGGGTCCAGACTGGCACCTGAAGATGCCCAAGATGAAAATGCCCAAGTTCAGCATGCCTGGCTTCAAAGCAGAGGGCCCTGAAGTGGATGTGAACCTGCCCAAGGCTGACGTTGATGTCTCAGGCCCCAAAGTGGACGTTGAAGGCCCTGATGTTAACATTGAAGGACCAGAGGGAAAGTTGAAAGGGCCCAAGTTCAAGATGCCAGAGATGAATATCAAAGCCCCCAAGATCCCCATGCCTGACTTTGATTTGCATCTGAAAGGTCCCAAGGTGAAGGGCGATGTGGATATTTCTCTGCCCAAAGTGGAAGGTGACCTCAAGGGCCCTGAAGTTGACATCAGGGGTCCCCAAGTGGACATTGATGTCCCGGATGTGGGCGTTCAAGGCCCAGACTGGCACCTAAAAATGCCCAAAGTGAAAATGCCCAAATTCAGCATGCCTGGCTTCAAAGGAGAGGGCCCAGATGTGGATGTGAACCTGCCCAAGGCTGACCTTGATGTCTCAGGACCCAAGGTGGACATTGATGTTCCAGATGTGAATATCGAAGGCCCAGAGGGAAAGTTGAAAGGTCCCAAATTCAAAATGCCTGAGATGAACATCAAAGCCCCCAAGATCTCCATGCCTGACATTGATCTTAACCTGAAAGGTCCCAAAGTGAAGGGTGACATGGATGTGTCTCTGCCAAAAGTGGAAGGTGACATGAAAGTTCCTGACGTGGATATTAAAGGCCCCAAAGTGGATATTAATGCCCCAGATGTGGATGTTCAAGGCCCAGACTGGCACCTGAAGATGCCTAAAATAAAAATGCCCAAGATCAGCATGCCTGGCTTCAAAGGAGAAGGTCCAGAAGTGGACGTGAACCTGCCCAAGGCTGACCTTGACGTCTCAGGACCCAAGGTGGACGTTGATGTTCCAGATGTGAATATTGAAGGTCCAGATGCGAAACTGAAGGGCCCTAAATTCAAGATGCCAGAGATGAACATCAAAGCTCCTAAAATATCAATGCCTGATTTGGACCTCAATCTTAAAGGCCCTAAAATGAAAGGAGAGGTGGATGTTTCACTTGCAAATGTAGAAGGTGATTTGAAAGGACCTGCTCTTGACATAAAAGGCCCAAAGATAGATGTAGATGCTCCAGATATTGACATTCATGGCCCAGATGCCAAATTAAAAGGTCCAAAACTGAAGATGCCTGACATGCATGTAAACATGCCCAAGATCTCCATGCCAGAAATTGACTTGAATTTGAAAGGCTCAAAGCTTAAGGGAGATGTTGATGTCTCTGGGCCCAAGTTGGAAGGTGACATTAAAGCTCCCAGTTTGGATATAAAGGGCCCAGAAGTGGACGTTTCCGGTCCTAAGCTTAATATCGAAGGCAAGTCAAAGAAATCTCGTTTTAAGCTTCCCAAATTTAATTTTTCGGGCTCTAAAGTTCAGACACCTGAAGTGGATGTCAAAGGTAAAAAGCCAGATATTGACATAACAGGTCCAAAAGTTGATATTAATGCTCCTGATGTCGAGGTCCAAGGAAAAGTGAAAGGATCCAAGTTTAAAATGCCTTTCCTGAGTATTTCATCTCCCAAAGTTTCTATGCCTGACGTGGAGCTAAATTTGAAAAGTCCCAAAGTCAAAGGAGACTTAGATATTGCAGGTCCCAATTTAGAAGGTGACTTTAAAGGCCCCAAAGTGGATATTAAGGCACCAGAAGTCAATCTTAATGCACCTGATGTGGATGTTCATGGTCCAGACTGGAATCTGAAAATGCCCAAGATGAAAATGCCCAAATTCAGTGTGTCTGGCTTAAAAGCAGAAGGGCCAGATGTAGCTGTGGATCTACCAAAAGGAGACATCAACATAGAGGGCCCAAGTATGAACATTGAGGGCCCAGATCTCAATGTGGAAGGTCCGGAGGGAGGCTTGAAAGGTCCCAAATTCAAGATGCCTGACATGAATATCAAAGCTCCCAAGATCTCCATGCCTGACATTGACTTAAACTTGAAAGGCCCCAAGGTGAAAGGTGATGTGGATATTTCTCTTCCCAAACTTGAAGGGGATCTGAAAGGGCCAGAGGTTGATATCAAAGGCCCTAAAGTGGACATCAATGCCCCAGATGTGGATGTTCATGGTCCAGACTGGCATCTGAAGATGCCCAAAGTGAAAATGCCCAAGTTCAGCATGCCTGGCTTCAAAGGAGAAGGCCCTGAAGTCGATGTTACCCTCCCTAAAGCTGACATTGACATTTCTGGTCCCAATGTAGACGTTGATGTTCCAGACGTGAATATTGAAGGTCCAGATGCAAAGCTGAAGGGCCCCAAGTTCAAGATGCCTGAGATGAACATCAAAGCCCCCAAGATCTCCATGCCTGACTTTGACCTGAACTTGAAGGGACCCAAAATGAAGGGTGATGTGGTTGTGTCTTTGCCCAAAGTGGAAGGTGATCTAAAAGGCCCTGAGGTGGACATCAAGGGCCCCAAAGTGGACATTGACACTCCTGACATTAACATCGAAGGCTCAGAGGGTAAATTCAAGGGACCCAAATTTAAGATACCAGAGATGCACCTGAAGGCTCCCAAAATATCGATGCCTGACATTGATTTAAACCTGAAGGGCCCCAAAGTCAAGGGCGATGTGGATGTTTCTCTGCCCAAAATGGAAGGTGACCTCAAGGGTCCTGAAGTTGACATCAAGGGCCCCAAAGTGGACATTAATGCTCCAGATGTTGATGTTCAAGGCCCAGACTGGCACCTGAAGATGCCCAAGGTGAAAATGCCCAAGTTCAGCATGCCTGGCTTCAAAGGAGAGGGCCCAGATGTGGATGTGAACCTGCCCAAGGCTGACCTTGATGTCTCAGGACCCAAGGTGGACATTGATGTTCCAGATGTGAATATCGAAGGCCCAGAGGGAAAGTTGAAAGGTCCCAAATTCAAGATGCCTGAGATGAACATCAAAGCCCCCAAGATCTCCATGCCTGACATTGATCTTAACCTGAAAGGACCCAAAGTGAAGGGTGATATGGATGTGTCTCTGCCAAAAGTGGAAGGTGACATGCAAGTTCCTGACTTGGATATTAAAGGCCCCAAAGTGGATATTAATGCCCCAGATGTGGATGTTCGAGGCCCAGACTGGCACCTGAAGATGCCTAAGATAAAAATGCCCAAGATCAGCATGCCTGGCTTCAAAGGAGAAGGTCCAGAAGTGGATGTGAACCTGCCCAAGGCTGACCTTGACGTCTCAGGACCCAAGGTGGACGTTGATGTTCCAGATGTGAATATTGAAGGTCCAGATGCGAAACTGAAGGGCCCTAAATTCAAGATGCCAGAGATGAACATCAAAGCCCCCAAGATCTCCATGCCTGACTTTGATTTGCATCTGAAAGGCCCTAAGGTGAAAGGAGATGTGGATGTTTCTCTGCCTAAGATGGAAGGTGATCTAAAGGCCCCTGAAGTTGACATCAAGGGCCCCAAAGTGGACATTGATGCCCCAGATGTGGATGTTCATGGCCCAGACTGGCACCTGAAGATGCCCAAGGTGAAAATGCCCAAATTCAGCATGCCAGGATTTAAAGGAGAGGGCCCAGAAGTGGATGTTAATTTGCCCAAAGCTGACATTGATGTCTCAGGACCCAAAGTGGACATTGACACTCCTGATATTGATATTCATGGTCCAGAAGGGAAACTGAAGGGCCCCAAATTTAAAATGCCTGACCTGCACCTCAAGGCACCGAAGATCTCTATGCCTGAAGTTGACCTGAATCTGAAAGGTCCAAAGATGAAGGGCGACGTGGACGTTTCTCTGCCCAAAGTGGAAGGCGACCTCAAGGGCCCTGAAGTTGACATCAAGGGCCCCAAAGTGGACATTGATGTCCCAGATGTGGACGTTCAAGGCCCAGACTGGCACTTAAAAATGCCCAAAGTGAAAATGCCCAAGTTCAGCATGCCTGGCTTCAAAGGAGAGGGCCCAGATGTGGATGTGAACCTGCCCAAGGCTGACCTTGACGTCTCAGGACCCAAGGTGGACATTGATGTTCCTGATGTGAATATCGAAGGTCCAGATGCGAAACTAAAGGGCCCTAAATTCAAGATGCCTGAGATGAACATCAAAGCCCCCAAGATCTCCATGCCTGACTTTGATTTGCATCTGAAAGGTCCCAAGGTGAAGGGTGATGTGGATGTTTCCCTTCCTAAAGTGGAAGGTGACCTCAAGGGCCCAGAAGTTGACATCAAGGGCCCCAAAGTGGACATCGATGCCCCTGATGTAGATGTTCATGGCCCAGACTGGCACCTGAAGATGCCCAAGGTGAAAATGCCCAAATTCAGCATGCCAGGATTCAAAGGAGAGGGCCCAGATGTGGATGTTACCCTTCCTAAGGCTGACATTGAGATTTCTGGCCCCAAAGTGGACATTGATGCCCCTGATGTCAGTATCGAAGGTCCAGATGCAAAACTCAAGGGTCCAAAGTTCAAGATGCCAGAGATGAACATCAAGGCCCCCAAAATCTCCATGCCTGACATTGACTTTAACTTGAAGGGTCCCAAAGTGAAAGGTGATGTGGATGTCTCTCTGCCCAAAGTGGAAGGTGATCTCAAGGGCCCTGAAATTGACATAAAAGGCCCCAGTTTGGACATTGACACACCTGATGTCAATATTGAAGGTCCGGAAGGAAAATTGAAGGGGCCCAAATTTAAGATGCCTGAGATGAACATCAAAGCTCCCAAAATCTCTATGCCTGACTTTGATTTGCACCTGAAAGGTCCCAAGGTGAAGGGTGATGTGGATGTTTCACTACCTAAGGTGGAAAGTGATCTGAAAGGGCCAGAGGTAGACATTGAAGGTCCTGAAGGGAAGCTCAAAGGTCCCAAGTTTAAGATGCCTGATGTACATTTCAAAAGCCCACAAATCTCCATGAGTGACATTGATTTGAATTTGAAAGGACCTAAGATAAAAGGAGATATGGACATTTCCGTTCCTAAACTGGAGGGAGATCTGAAAGGTCCCAAAGTGGATGTCAAAGGCCCTAAAGTGGGCATTGACACTCCTGATATTGACATTCATGGTCCAGAAGGGAAACTGAAGGGCCCCAAATTTAAAATGCCTGACTTACACCTCAAGGCACCGAAGATCTCTATGCCTGAAGTTGACCTGAATCTGAAAGGTCCAAAGGTGAAGGGCGACATGGACATTTCTCTGCCCAAAGTGGAAGGCGACCTCAAGGGCCCCGAAGTTGACATCAGGGACCCCAAAGTGGACATTGATGTCCCAGATGTGGACGTTCAAGGCCCAGACTGGCACCTAAAAATGCCCAAAGTGAAAATGCCCAAGTTCAGCATGCCTGGCTTCAAAGGAGAGGGCCCAGATGTGGATGTGAACCTGCCCAAGGCTGACATTGATGTCTCAGGACCCAAAGTGGACGTTGATGTTCCTGATGTGAATATCGAAGGTCCAGATGCGAAACTAAAGGGCCCCAAGTTCAAGATGCCTGAGATGAGCATCAAAGCCCCCAAGATCTCCATGCCTGATATTGACTTAAACCTGAAAGGACCCAAAGTGAAGGGCGATGTGGATGTTACCCTTCCTAAAGTGGAAGGTGACCTCAAGGGCCCAGAAGCTGACATCAAGGGCCCAAAAGTGGACATCAACACCCCTGATGTGGATGTTCATGGCCCAGACTGGCACCTGAAGATGCCCAAGGTGAAAATGCCCAAATTCAGCATGCCTGGCTTCAAAGGAGAAGGTCCAGATGTGGATGTGAGCCTGCCCAAGGCCGACATCGATGTCTCGGGACCCAAGGTGGACGTTGATATTCCAGATGTGAATATCGAAGGTCCAGACGCAAAACTGAAGGGCCCCAAGTTCAAGATGCCTGAAATAAATATCAAAGCTCCCAAGATCTCCATACCTGATGTTGACCTGGATTTGAAAGGACCCAAAGTAAAAGGAGATTTTGATGTGTCTGTCCCTAAGGTTGAAGGGACTTTGAAAGGCCCAGAAGTAGATCTTAAAGGTCCACGTCTGGATTTCGAAGGCCCTGATGCCAAACTCAGTGGCCCATCTTTGAAGATGCCATCGCTGGAGATATCTGCTCCTAAAGTAACTGCTCCTGATGTTGATTTGCATCTCAAGGCACCAAAAATTGGATTTTCAGGTCCGAAGTTAGAAGGTGGTGAAGTGGACCTCAAGGGACCCAAAGTTGAAGCTCCAAGCTTAGATGTACACATGGACAGCCCAGATATTAACATCGAAGGGCCAGATGTTAAAATCCCCAAATTTAAGAAACCCAAGTTTGGATTTGGGGCAAAAAGCCCCAAAGCTGACATCAAGTCACCTTCACTGGATGTCACTGTTCCTGAGGCAGAGCTGAACCTTGAGACTCCTGAAATTAGTGTTGGTGGCAAGGGCAAGAAAAGTAAGTTTAAAATGCCTAAAATTCATATGAGTGGTCCTAAGATTAAGGCCAAAAAACAGGGATTTGACCTGAATGTTCCTGGGGGTGAAATTGATGCCAGCCTCAAGGCTCCGGATGTAGATGTCAACATCGCAGGGCCGGATGCTGCACTCAAAGTCGACGTGAAATCGCCCAAAACCAAGAAAACGATGTTTGGAAAAATGTACTTCCCAGATGTAGAGTTTGACATTAAATCACCTAAATTTAAAGCTGAGGCCCCTCTCCCTAGCCCCAAACTGGAGGGTGAACTCCAGGCACCTGATCTGGAACTTTCTTTGCCAGCGATTCACGTCGAAGGTCTTGACATCAAGGCGAAGGCTCCCAAGGTCAAGATGCCAGATGTGGACATCTCAGTGCCAAAAATAGAGGGTGACCTGAAAGGCCCCAAAGTGCAGGCAAACTTGGGTGCACCTGACATCAACATCGAAGGCCTAGATGCTAAAGTCAAAACACCGTCCTTCGGCATTTCTGCCCCTCAAGTCTCCATCCCTGATGTGAATGTAAACTTGAAAGGACCAAAGATAAAGGGTGATGTCCCCAGCGTGGGACTGGAAGGACCAGATGTAGATCTGCAAGGTCCAGAAGCAAAAATTAAGTTCCCCAAGTTTTCCATGCCCAAGATCGGCATCCCAGGTGTGAAAATGGAGGGTGGGGGAGCCGAGGTCCATGCCCAGCTACCCTCTCTTGAAGGAGACTTGAGAGGACCAGATGTTAAGCTCGAAGGGCCCGATGTTTCTCTAAAGGGGCCAGGAGTAGACTTGCCTTCAGTGAACCTCTCTATGCCAAAAGTCTCTGGGCCTGACCTTGATCTGAACTTGAAAGGACCAAGTTTGAAGGGAGACCTGGATGCATCTGTTCCCAGCATGAAGGTGCATGCTCCAGGGCTCAACCTCAGTGGTGTCGGTGGCAAAATGCAGGTGGGAGGAGACGGTGTGAAAGTGCCAGGGATCGATGCCACAACAAAGCTTAACGTTGGGGCACCAGATGTGACACTGAGGGGACCAAGCCTGCAGGGAGATCTGGCTGTCTCTGGTGACATCAAATGCCCTAAAGTATCCGTAGGAGCTCCTGATCTAAGCTTGGAGGCATCCGAAGGCAGCATTAAACTTCCCAAAATGAAGCTGCCCCAATTTGGCATCTCTACTCCGGGGTCCGACTTGCACGTCAATGCCAAGGGGCCACAGGTTTCTGGCGAACTGAAGGGGCCAGGTGTGGATGTGAACCTGAAAGGGCCTCGGATTTCAGCACCGAATGTGGACTTTAACTTGGAAGGACCAAAAGTGAAAGGGAGCCTTGGGGCCACTGGTGAGATCAAAGGCCCCACTGTCGGAGGAGGTCTTCCAGGCATTGGTGTTCAAGGCCTAGAAGGAAACCTCCAGATGCCTGGAATTAAGTCCTCTGGATGTGATGTGAACCTGCCAGGCGTGAATGTGAAACTCCCAACTGGGCAGATTTCTGGGCCTGAAATCAAAGGTGGTCTGAAAGGTTCAGAAGTAGGTTTCCATGGGGCTGCTCCTGATATCAGTGTGAAGGGGCCTGCCTTTAATATGGCATCTCCTGAGTCAGATTTTGGCATCAACTTGAAGGGCCCAAAAATCAAAGGAGGTGCGGATGTTTCAGGGGGTGTCAGTGCCCCAGACATCAGCCTTGGTGAAGGGCATTTGAGTGTTAAAGGTTCCGGGGGTGAGTGGAAGGGACCCCAAGTCTCCTCTGCTCTCAACTTGGACACATCTAAGTTTGCTGGGGGCCTTCATTTCTCAGGACCAAAGGTGGAAGGAGGTGTGAAAGGAGGTCAGATTGGACTCCAGGCTCCTGGGCTGAGTGTGTCTGGGCCTCAAGGTCACTTGGAAAGTGGATCTGGAAAAGTAACATTCCCTAAAATGAAGATCCCCAAATTTACCTTCTCTGGCCGTGAGCTGGTTGGCAGAGAAATGGGGGTGGATGTTCACTTCCCTAAAGCAGAGGCCAGCATCCAAGCTGGTGCTGGAGACGGCGAGTGGGAAGAGTCTGAAGTCAAACTGAAAAAGTCCAAGATCAAAATGCCCAAGTTTAATTTTTCCAAACCTAAAGGGAAAGGTGGTGTCACTGGCTCACCAGAAGCATCAATTTCTGGGTCCAAAGGTGACCTGAAAAGTTCAAAGGCCAGCCTGGGCTCTCTGGAAGGAGAGGCAGAGGCCGAAGCCTCTTCACCGAAAGGCAAATTCTCCTTATTTAAAAGTAAGAAGCCACGGCACCGCTCAAATTCATTCAGTGATGAAAGAGAGTTCTCTGGACCTTCCACCCCGACGGGGACGCTGGAGTTTGAAGGTGGGGAAGTGTCTCTGGAAGGTGGGAAAGTTAAAGGGAAACACGGGAAGCTGAAATTCGGTACCTTTGGTGGATTGGGGTCAAAGAGCAAAGGTCATTATGAGGTGACTGGGAGCGATGATGAGACAGGCAAGTTACAGGGGAGTGGGGTGTCCCTGGCCTCTAAGAAGTCCCGACTGTCCTCCTCTTCTAGCAATGACAGTGGGAATAAGGTTGGCATCCAGCTTCCCGAGGTGGAGCTGTCAGTTTCCACAAAGAAAGAGTAGCAGGCCTTTGTATGTGTGTACATATATATATATATAACAAAACATCAGCCTTGGGTGGTGTGTTCCTATATAAACTCCAAAGGGAAACACACCGACTGCCTCAGCAATCATGCAAAGACCTTGCCTGGCCCGGTGGCAAGCGCTGAAAAACCGACCGCCTGTAGGCTCCTGGAACTATACAGATAGGTAAAGAGTTCCAAGTTCGTCCAGCCCATGTGCAAAGTCAACAGTATTTGCCTTAAGATTTCATATATATATATTTTTTTGCATTGACTGCTGAGAGCTCCTGTTTACTAAGCAAGCTTTTGTGTTTATTATCCTCATTTTTACTGAACATTGTTAGTTTTGGGGTAATGGAAACCCACTTTTTCATTGTAATGACTTTGGGGGCTTTTGTTAGTAAGGGTGGGTGGGGTGATGGGTTGCAGACGGAGGTCAGGTCTTCCTCTTTCCTGAGACTGGATCTGTTCAAACAGCAAACGCCCACAGATGGCCCAGAGGTGGTGGTAGTCAGGGTGTGTGGGTGTTTTTAGGGTTCTTTAGTGTTGTTTCTTTCACCCAGGGGTGGTGGTCCCAGCCAGTTTGGTGCTGACGGTGAGAGGAAATTAGAATCTGTTTGCAAATTGTCCAACCCACCCCCTCAACATGAGGGGCTTCCATTTTCTGTGTTTTGTAAGGGAACTGTTTCCTTCATGCCGCCATGTTCCTGATATTAGTTCTGATTTCTTTTTAACAAATGTTATCATGATTAAGAAAATTTCCAGCACTTTAATGGCCAATTAACTGAGAATGTAAGAAAATTGATGCTGTACAAGGCAAATAAAGCTGTTTATTAACCTTGATGTCTTGTGCCTTTGCATTCTGTGTTGCGGGGGCGTGAAACCTGGGGAAGCTGCACAGCCAGCTGTGAGTGTTCAGACCGGATCCATCTGGTGGCATTGCTAGTTTCATCAGTGACTTTAAGACAGTGACCTTCGGGAGGTAGTGGGAGAAAATCTTTGCTTCTTGATTCTCATGGTGAGGCTGGTTGTGCCATTGCTGAGAAATCAAGAAGAGGCTTGGCCTCGGGACCCACTCACCTACTTTGCATCCTCACATATGAATATACAATTCAGAATTGGTTCTAAATGGGTTACAGATGTGAACAGTTAAAAGGCCTCCTGGAATTACCGAAAGGGCTCTGCTTGTGAATCACCGCTCTGCCATTTATTCCTGACATGGCTGCAGGTTTGCTGAGTAACCGCTGTTGCCCAGGCTGGAGTGCAGTGGCACAATCTTGGCTCACTGCAACCTCCTCCTCCTGGGTTCAAGCGATTTTCCTGCCTCAGCCTCCCGAGTAGCTGGGATTACAGGCCCTTGCCTCTACGCCTGGCTAATTTTTATATTTAGTAGAGACGAAGTTTCACCATGTTGGCCAGGCTGGTCTCAAACTCCTGACCTCCAGTGATCCACCCGCCTTGGCCTCCCAAAGTACTGGGATTACAGGCATGAGCCACTGCGCCCGGCCAGGGTGCTGATCTTGTGTAAGTTATCTCTGTGGTTCTTTCTAGTCCATTTTAGGGCTAAACATTATGGAAAAGTCTTCTGACCAAAGTCCCCTTTTGATTTCCAGCTCTGTTGACAGTATGTGGGGGTGGGGGAGGAGTGGTTCTAGTCACTGGCTCCTAATGTTGGTCATTGCTGGGCAGAGGGTGATGCTTTCTTATACTTGGACCAAGCTTGTCCCCCTCGCCATTCCTTAGAGATGCCCCATTTCTGCCAGTGGAGGCAGCTCTGCACCTCTCTGGATCCCCCCAGAACAGAGATAAAATAGCTCCCACCCCATCCTTCCCTGTTTAGTACCAGCTTGTCAGTGGGATCTCATGCCTTCCCTAGCTTCATCTGTCCTCACCGTGGCCAGCAGAGCCAGTGTTCTGGGGGTTTTGGAGCTCAAGGGTGGCCCATGGATTTGGAAAGAGATAGGTTGGGAGGGAGGCCCTTGATACCCGGCTGCGTTTTAGATGACCGACCTACAGCTTCTTTCGTGAGTTGGACAGGATGCTTAACCTGCTTGAGGCTCAGTTTCATCACCCTTAAAATTGGGATAGCAGCATTCATAGGGCCAGAGTTCGTCCAGGTATTGGGGTTATGCATTGCATGATGGCACCACACTGAAGTGTGCAGCATCCATGTGACAGCCAGATACATACTTATGGAGAGCACAAGAGTTGGCATGAAATCCTAGAGAGACAGGCATGAGCCCATCTTCTACAGAAACCCCCTGCTGCACTGGGCTACACGCACACTCCAGCCGTGAGCATGCTCAGGTTCAATGATGCACACAACTGCACACATCACCGTCTGTCCTAACTGGGCCTGGGGCTGTCCCCGGGGTGCTGCTTTCACTCAACCAACCACAGCTCAAAACCCATCTCCTGTTCCTTCCTCAACTCTGAAGCCAAGAGTGTGGGGCAGGTCAGAGTGTGCATGCCGCTTGAGATAAGTAGCCCTGGTGTCTGGAGGGTGGGGTAAGTGGGTGACGGTGGGGTGAGTGTGCGACAGTGGGGTGCACTTGTGTACACAGCTAGGGAGGAATGCCCATTAGGATGCTGGAAAGTCCTCTGAGGAGAACTACCCAGGCTGTCCAATAATATATCAATTAAATTTTTTTTTAACTTTAGGAAGAAGTGATGAAGGCTAGTGGTGGCCCCCAGTGTCCATTCAATAAATGTTTTCTGAGTCCCACGTGGCTAGATGTGTCCCAGTCCCACTGATCTCAGATTCCTCTTCTGAGGATCTCCACAGAGTGAATGATGTGATGGGTGTGAAAAACTGGAATGCCTTGAGCCCTGGCAATAAACCCGTGGAAATCATGCATGTACCAGGGATGGCGAGGCCAGTGATCTCATTGGGTGGGACAGTCAGTGGGTGGTGGGTAGGATGGAGAAGGGACAAGGCAACTAGCTGTACAAACTTGAGAGTCTTCTAGCCACCTTCTTCTCAATGTCAGGTCTGGGCTGGAGGCAGTGGCCACAGAACATGAACGCTGCTTCCCGCAGTGATGGTTACCACAGCAGCGACGGCATGGGAGGAGACACGGGCTTATGTGGTGTGTGGAGGGCGCACCCCAGCTCCCTCGCCCTGCCCATGCACCTTACCCCTGCCCTCCCTCAGTTCCTGATGGGGTGGTCCAAGTTATCCCCTAAAGTCTTTTTTTTTTTTTATTTTTGAGACAGAGTCTCGCTCTTGTTGCCCAGGCTGGAGTGCAATGGTGTGAATTTGGCTCACTGCAAACTCCGCCTCCCGGGTTCAAGAGATTCTTCTGCCTCAGCCTCCTGAGTAGCTGGGATTAAAGGCGCCTGCCACCATACCTGGCTAATTTTTGTATTTTTAGTAGAGATGGGGTTTTGCCATGTTGGCCATGCTGGTCTCGAACTCCTGACCTCGTGATCTGCCTACCTTGGTCTCCCAAAGTGTTGGGATTACAGGCGTGAGCCATGGCGCCCGGCCTATCCCCTAAAGTCTTGCAGGAACCAGCCTTGCAAGGTCTGACACTCTAAGGTCCTGGTTCCTGCACTCGAGGGTGAGAGCAGCGTCAGGAGACTGGGAAGGGGCTGGACTCTGTGATGTTCTTTCCCAGAGTTCAGCAAGGAGCAATTGCAAGGACTGCAGTCTCAAGGTCAGCCTCGCTTTAGGCAGTGTGACTGTGTGTGGACAGTGGTGTAGTTAAGGGGGCATCTGGGAAAACAGAATTATTTTGAATTACACCATGGGCTCACAAATGGCAGGGAATAGTGAACAGTTCCTCCTTTCCTTCCTTCCTCCCTCCCTCCCTTCCTTCCTTCCTCCCTTGCCTTCTTCCTTCCCTTCCTCCCTCCCTCCCTCCCTCCCTCCCTTCCTTCCTTCTTCCTAACAGGATCTTGCTCTGTCACCCAGGCTGGAGTGCAGTGGCACGTTCTCAGCTCATTGCAACCTCCACCTCTCAAGCTCAACCACCACACCGGGCTAATTTTTGTATTTTTTGTAGAGACGGGGTTTCACCATGTTGCCCAGGCTAGTCTCAAACTCCTGAGCTCAATCAATCACTCCCTCCTTGGCCTCCCAAAGTGCTGGGATTACAAGCATGAGCCACCGCGCTTAGCCCAGGGAATAATTTTCATAAACTCACACTCATTTCTCTATCTGTCAGGTTCCCTCTCGCAAACTTAGTTCCATTTGAAGATAGTTCAATCAGAGAGACCTAATAAAGAGACAGTTTATGGAGTAGTGGGCAGGGGCAAAGGAGGCCACAAGGGGTGGTGAGACCCCCAGGGGCAGTAGGAAGCTGGTACTATCCCTGGCCCTGAAGGATATGAGGAAGAAGTGGTGTTCCTGAAGTCCAGCGTGCACTGGAGGTAGAGGAGGAATCCTCAGTGGGGACTATAGCCATAGAGGACCAGCATCTGCCAGAACTGCCTGCCGTGTGAAGCAGGGAGGAACACCCTGACCCCTCTCTCCACTGGAGGGCACGGGAGCCCAGGTGTTGCAGCTGATCCACCTCCTGGGGCACAGAGTCGGGCAGAGAAGCAGGAGCAGGGGTCTGAAGGTGGAGGGAACAGATAGAGAATAACCAGGACAAGGCCAGGTGCAGTGGCTCACGCCTGTAATCCTAACACGTTGGGAGGCCGAGGCAGGTGGATTGCCTGGGCTCGGGAGTTTGAGACCAGCCTGGGCAACATGGTGAAATCCCATCTCTACTAAAATACAAAATTAGCTGGGCGTGGTGGTGCGCACCTGTAATCCCAGTTACTTGGGAGGCTGAGGCAGGAGAATTGCTTGAACCCGGGAGGTGGAGGTTGCAGTGAACCAAGATTGTGCCACGGCACTCCAGCCTGGGTGACAGAGCAAGACTCCATCTCAGAAAAGAAACAAACTAGCCCGGTGTGGCACTCGCCTGTAGTCCCAGCTACTCAGGAGGCTGAGGCAGGAGAATCACTTAAGCCTGCATTCCAGCCTGGCAGACAAAGCAAGACTCTGTCTCTCGTTTTTTCTGTTTGATAAGTTTGAATTTTTATACATCGAGGTTTCTTAAACTAGAATTTAAGGTATGATCATAAAGTAATGCTACAGTTTTTTCTTAAAGAAGCACACATATGTCCCAATGGCAATTCTGCTTTCAGTGGTCACCTCGGGAAGCTCTACACTTACTTCTGTAAAAAATCTACTGCTGGGCCGGACGCGGTGGCTCATGCCTATAATCCCAGCACTTTGGGAGGTCGAGGTGGGTGGATCACTTGAGGTCAGGAGTTTGAGACCAGCCTGGCCAACATGGCGATACCCCGTCTCTACTAAAAAATATATAAAAATTAGCTGGACGTGGTGGCACATGCCTGTAATTCCAGCTACTCTGGTGGCTGAGGCAGGAGAATCATTTGAACCTGGGAGACAGAGGCTGCAGTGAGCTGAGATCATGCTACTGCAGTCCAGCCTGGGGGACAGAGCGAGACTCGTCTCAAAACAAACAAACAAGCAAAAAAAAAAAAACAAAAAACAAGCCTGGTTAATTAGGTGGGTGGGTTGTTTGGGGTCAAAAGCAAGGCGTGATTATGTGTGTGACTAACTTTCCTGTGTGGTTGGGAAGTTGTCTCAAATGTTTTGAGCAAAGGCTGCACTGTTGAAATATTGCTATGTCTCCAGCACCCCAAAGCAAAAGTGCATCACCCATGAGGACTTTGCATGTTGCTTATATACATGTCCTGCTTCAGAGTGCCACCTTAGCTCTTTGGTATTTTGCATTAGCTGTGACATTAAAAAACATTATGTGGGAGATGCAGCTAATTGTGTACCTGAAATTTCTTTTTTTTTAAAGTGTATTTATTTTGAATGCAAATCTACCGAGAAGTTGCAAGAATAATACAATGAATATTCATATAGCTTTCAGTTGGATTCACCAATTGCTAACATTTACTTTGTTTGCTTTAATCTCTCTCTGTCTCTCTACATATACATATATATATATATGGTTTTTTTGTTTGTTTGTTTGGGACAGAATCTCATTCTGTTGCCCAGGCTGGAGTGAAGTGGCATACTCTTGGCTCACCACAACCTCCACCTCCTGGGCTCAAGCAATTCTCCTGTCTCAGCCTCCCAAGTAGCTGGGATTACAGGTTTGTGCCATCATGCCTGCCTAATTTTTGTATTTTTAGTAGAGACAGGGTTTCACCATGTTAGCCAGGCTGGACTCGAACTCCTGACCTCAGGTAATCCACCTGCCTTGGCCTCCCAAAGTGCTGGGATTACAGGCATGAGCCACCGCACCTGGCTCATATAGGTGTTATCATTACTTTTGCTGAATCATTTGAGAGTAAATTACAGACATCATGATCCTTTACCCATAAATACTTCAGCATGTATGGGCATTCTTTTATATAACTCCAATAGAGGGCGGGCGCAGTGGCTCACGCCTGTAATTCCAGCACTTTGGGAGGCTGAGGCGGGTGGATCTTGAGGTCAGGAAGTTCCAGACCAGCCTGGCCAACATAGTGAAACCCCATCTCTACTAAAAATACAAAAAATTAGCCGGGTGTGGTGGCAGCTACTCAGGAGGCTGAGGCAGGAGAATCTCTTGAACCCGGGGGAGGTGGAGGTTGCAGTGAGCTGAGACTGTGCCATTGCACTCCAGCCTGGGCGACAGAGTGAGACTCCGTCTCAAACAAACAAACAAACAAACAAACAAACAAAACTCCAATACAATAATTAAATTCAGGAAACAAAACATTGACATATTATCTAATATGTAGTATATCTTTAAATTTCACCAGTTGCCCCAGTAACTGTCTTTACAGTAATGTCTTTTTTTGTTTGTTTTGAGTCAGAGTCTTGCTCTGTCTGCCAGGTTGGAGTGTAGTGGTGCGATCTTAGCTCACTGCAACCTCCACCTCCTAGGTTCAGGCGATTCTCCTGTCTTAGCCTCCTGAGTGGCTGGGATTACTAGCGCCCGCCACCACACCTGGCTAATTTTTGTATTTTTTAGTAGAGACGGGGTTTCGCCATGTTGGCCAGGCTGGTCTTGAGCTCCTGGCCTCAAGGGACCTGCCTGCCTCAGCCTCCCAAAGTGCTGGGATTTGCGACCATGCCCGGCGACAATGTCTTTTTTTCCTCTTTGGGGTTCAATTGTTGATGACCTCACATGATGTTTAGTTGTCTTGGTCTCTTTCTTTCTTTCTTTTTTTTTTGAGACGGAGTTTCACTCTTGTCACCCAGGCTGGAGTGCAATGGTGTGATCTCGACTCACTGCAACCTCTGCCTCCCGAGTTCAAGTGATTCTCCTGCCTCAGCCTCCTGAATAGCTGGGATTACAGGCACCTGCCACCACACCCAGCTAATTTTTTGTATTTTTAGTAGAGACAGGGCTGGTCTCGAACTCCTGACCTCAAGTGATCCACCCACCTTGGCCTCCCAAAGTGCTGGAATTACAGGCGTGAGCCACCGTGCCCGGCTGTTTATTTCTTTAATCTGTAATAGTTTCTCAGTTTTTTTTTTGTCATGCATGGCACTGATATTTTTGAAGTGTGTGGGACCAGTTTTCTAGAAATGTCCCTCAATCTGGGTTTGTCTGATGATATTTCCTCATGATTGGGTTCAGGTTATACATTTTGGGGCAGGAATTCCACAGAAGTGATATTGGGTCCTTTTTGGTGCCTCGTGTCAGGAGGCACATGATGGGTATGTTAATTTCAATTCCTTGGTTAAGTAGGAGATTGCTAAGTTTCTCCATTGTAACGTTGCCATGACTCCTCATTGGAATTAACAAGGAAACCCAAGTTTTCAAGATAAAAGTCCAAGTTTGGGCAAGTTTATCTCACAAGCACACTTTAAGGGGTTGGTGGCATGCTTAGCCTTGGCGTGATCTCGGGCTGGGAGTTTTGAAAGTGGAGTTCTGGCTTTGAGCTTTGCAGCACAGAGCAGCTCTCTGTCTTTCCTCACGAGGACAAAGAATTCCATGCATGAATGCCTGCCACGGGCCGGGAATGCCATGTGCTGTTTACCAGCCTCTGAATTGCCCCGTGGCGTCAGGCAGCCGCTGGTGCTTCCTAAGGCTGAAGGCGCCCAGCAGAGGCGCTGCCATGGGCCACAGCAAATGTGTAGGGAACATTCTGCTGAGGAGGGCAGTTTCATTTCCCTTTAAATGCCTCTGTTATTTTCCACCACACGCTTGAGGCTTGGCCCTAATGGAAAAACTTCCCAGTAGTGGGGCCAAGGATGGGAAAGGGTTACGAATGAAAAGGCCTTCTCTTTGGACAGGGCGTTCTAGTCCACAGAGTGCTTTATCTCTTGAGATCTCACACTGCGTTCTCAGCTCCGCCCAGGCAAGCAGGCAGCTCTGGCATTTGCTGACCCTATCTTACAAACCAGAAAGGTGAGGCTCGGAAAAGCGAAGCGATTGGTCTCAACTCATAGAGTTGGGAAGAGGTGACTTGGCCAAAATCGATCCAAGCTTTCTGATTAAAAAAAGAATTTTTTTTTTCTTCCCTGTGATGTCACTGCCGTTTCCCTGAAGAAGCTGGGAATTTCTTTTCTGGGGGAATTTTAGGAAATAGAGGATGCCTCTTGAAATTTGCAGGGACTTGAACTCGGACTTTTTAACATTGTCGAAAGTAGTTATTAAAGTTATTATGGCCCAGCACAATAGCTCACTCCTGTAATCCCAATGCTTTGGGAGGCCGAGGCAGGAGGATCACTTGAGGCCAGGAATTCAAGGCTGCAGTGAGCTGTGATTGTGCCATTGCACTCCAGTCAGAATGACAGAGCGAGACCCAGTCTCAAAAAACAAATTAAAAAACCCCCATTATTATGTGCAAAGCCCCTTTCTTCAATGAGCCTACCATCCAGTAGGGGAATAATAATAATATCAGTTATCAGTTCTGCTATTTCCTAGCTGCGTGACCTTGGGCAAGTTATCAAACCTCATTGTGCCTCAGTTTTTTGTTTTTTGTTTTTTATTTTTTTGAGACGGAGTCTCTGTCGCCCAGTCTGGAGTGCAGTGGTGCCATCTCAGCTTACTGCAACCTCTGCCTCCTGGATTCTCCTGCCTCGGCTTCCTGAGTAGCTGGGACTACAGGCGTGCCCACCACGCCCAGCTAATTTTTGTATTTTTAGTAGAGACGGGGTTTTGCCATGTTGGTCAGGCTGGTCTCAAACTCCTGACCTCAAGTGATCTGCCCGCCTTGGCCTCCCAAAGTGCTGGGATTACAGGTGTGAGCCCGCATCCCCAGCCCTGTTTTTTAAATCTATAAAACAGGGATGATATGGTTCTTCTCTCACAGCTTTGTTGGGAGGATGATTTAAATTAACATAATGTGGTCAGCATATAGTAAATACTGTGTTAGCTATTCTTATATACTCTTAGTTTGTGTGAGGCATTGTGTATGTATTTTACATGCTTTCTCTCTTTTCATTTCCACAACAACCACATGAGGTGGGTATTATTTTTTTCATTTAACAGACAAAGAAACTGAGGCTCAGAGAAGTTAAGCAGGATGTCCAAGGTCACACAGCTAGCAAACAGCAGAGTCAGGATTCACACGGGGGTCTGTGCTGACTGAAAAGCCCATGCTTTTAATAGCATTCTGCTTGCTCTGGTACCAGGAAGACTGTTAATAACAGTGTATAACTATTTCAAGGTTTGGAGAGGAGTGGGGGGAGGGAATTCCAGGCAGAAGGACCGGGGAATAAAAGTGTGGAAGTGGAGATGTGTGCGTGGGAGGTTTAGCAGGGTCAGGCCAGGGAGCAAGAGAAGGGGGACGAACTCAGAATGAAACCTGAAAGCCAGGCAGCTTGGCTGGTTTCAGGTCCAGCCATGAAAGGAAAAAACTGGGACATACACCCATTTGCCCATTTTGGGGAGGAGGGAGTAGGGTTTAGGGTTCAGGCTCAGCCTCCTGGCTGCTGTCAGTCCCTCCCGAGGCTCTCCTGCCCCGGGCCACCCTGGGTCCTTCCTCTCCTGAGTCTTCACTCTTCCACTATAATAATAAACAAGGGAGAAACTATGATCAAATCATCTGAATTGTAACGAGCCCCACCCACTGGTCCCAGACCACCCGGCCCACACAGCCTGGAAGGCCCCCAGCCCTGGCTAAGCCCATGGCGTCCTGCTGCCCTGCAGCTAGGAAAATGCAGGCCAGGCACAACCCTCTGGCCAGCTGGGGCCCTGAGGGGCTGAGCCTCCTGTCTGGGGGGAGAACCTGAAAATGCAAGGGGGCTGCAGGGAGGAATTTTGGGTGGAACAAAGTTGCTCCTGCCCCTGACAGTTTCCCCTGTATCTCCTCACCTGCCGGCCCTGCTTGGCTGCAGGGCGAGGCTGATTTTAGCCCGAAGTGAGAACCTGCCAACAATCTGTGGTGTGAGTAGAAGGATCTCAGTCTTCCTGGCCTCCTGGGTGGGATGCAGCAGCTCCCCCGACCCCACAAACCCCGACACCCTTCCAAGGGGAAGGAACTCGGGCGTCCTCAAGCTCAGACCACTGGCTCTTTTTTTTTTAATATTTATTTATTTACTTATTATTATTTATTTATTTTTAGACAGGGTCTCGCTCTGTTGCCCAGGCTGGAGTGCTGTGGCGTGATCATGGCTCACCACAGCCTGGACATCCTGGGCTCAAGCCATCCTCCCACCTCAGCCTACCGAGTAGCTGGAACTACCGGCGTGCGCCACCATGCCCAGCTTGTTAACCATCCCCCCACCCCCGCCTTTTTTTTTTTTTTTTTTTTTTTGGTAGAGACAGGGGGTCTTGCTATTTTGCCCAGGCTGGGCTCCAGCGATCCTCCTGCCTTGGCCTGCGGAAGTGCCGGGATTACAGACATGAGCCACCGCACCCGGCCCGGACCGCTTGCTCTTCATTCCGGAGATTATGGGGAGCTGGAGAAGAAGAAAGCAAGCAGAAAACTAAGGGGGGAAACGAGAGAAAGAGCCCGGGATGGGCAGAGGCTGACAGTGTGGCCAGGGGTCCTGCTGGGGGCGGGTGGAGAGTAGGGGGAGGTGTGTCGGGGGAGGCAGCAGGGGAGGAGCAAAGCCCTAGGTCGAGGGGGAGGGAAGGGCGGCGGCTTGCAATGAGCGGCAGGGAGCGTTGAAGGGCGTGGAGCGGGAAGGAAAGAAAAAGAGGGAGAGGACTCACAGGGAGAAAGGACAGTGCCAAAGGGTGACTTCGAGGGGACTTTAGCCCCGCTCCCTGTCTCCATAAATCCCTCCTGGCACTCCAAACAAACCTACAATCGAAGTAAAGCAGCGCGCTTTCAATAGCGAGGCAAGGTCCCTTGCTCCAACCAGAAACGGGATGATACCTGGTGAACCCCCATCCAGCAAGCCCGGGGCCCTCAGAATCAAGGGCATGAGACCCTGGTCTCTAGAGAGCATCTGTGGCCACACCCCATTGGCCGAACTGTCAATCGCCAGGCCATATTTGGGCCTCATGACCCGTTGCTAGGCAGATTTTTATCCCCTGGGGTTGCTGTGAGCCATGTGCCCGCAGACTGGGTTGGAGGCGTGGGACACAGAGGGGAGCAAAGACGGGGCGAGCAAGTGGGAAAGAAGACCCTGGGGGGCTGTCGGGAAGCTGCTGAGACCAGGTATACACCTCCCAAGGGGTGGCCACGGGACCTCACCCCTTACCCTAGTGGGTCCCCAATGCCCAAACACTGGCCTTTCATTGCGCGCTTTCCCCTTTATCCAGACTTCCTTCAAATGACAGCTTTGTACCCTGAGAAACTAAGGTCCTGGAGAGTGTCAGCGTCATATATGTTATTGCTTTTGAAACTTTACATTTAAAAAGAGAGCTTTTAGACCCTGAGGGATGGGTCTCTCACGTGGTTATTTCAGGCCCATCAGCAGGCCAGCTTAGGGCATTTTGAAACGGCAGAGCCTTTTAGCCCATCCTCACAAACAGCGTGGTACCGCCTTGCTTTCTCCTCTGGGAGCTCCTGACATCCTCTGGATGCTGGGCTGCAGGGGGCAGGGTAGGGGGTGGGGCAGGGGCGCTTGACCCCTATGTGGAGGAGTTTTGGCCTTAAGGTTCCCCAGCCCCAGCCAGGTGAAAGGGGAGGCTTTTGACAACCTTGGGTCTTTCCAGCCAGTGTTTACCTAGGTGTGTGGTCTCCTCAAGGGCGCGTGGCTGCCAACCACGCCTCTGTCCTCTGTCTTCGGTGGCCAGGCGGTGGGGAGGGCTGGAATGTGAGCAGGCAGGCAAGAATAACGCCAGGGCATTTTCTATTTGTAAGATTGCAAGTTCGGCTCACAACTTGAATTTCAAGTGGGCCCTTCAGCCAGATAGGGAAGTCAGATGAGAGAGTGGAGGCAGCCAGTGCGGATTGTCTAAATTCCTAGAAAAATTCCTAGAAAATAAATTCTAGGAATTTAGCTGCAGGAGGGAGGAGCCCCAGGTGGGATAAGCTCTGGGTAAATTTGCTGGGGGGCCTGGCAGGGATGCTAGGCTTTTTGTCCTTCACGCTATTTAAACATCATGTTTTTCCAAAAATTGCGTGTCTCTTGAATCATATCTAAGACTCTCTTTCTTTCTCTCTCTCTCTTTCTTTCTTTCTTTTTCTTTCTCTCTCTCTCTCTTTCTGTTTTTGAGATAGAGTCTTGTTCTGTTGCCTAGGTTGGAGTGCAGTGGTGTGATCTTGGCTCACTGCAACCTCCACCTCCTGAGTTCAAGCAATTCTCCTGCCTCAACCTCCCTAGTAGCTGGGATTACAGGTGCGCACCACCATGCCTGGCTAATTTTTGTATTTTTAGTAGAGATGGGGTTTCACCATGTTGGCCAGGCTGGTCTGGAACTCCTGACCTCAGGTGATCCACCCGCCTCGGCCTCCCAAAGTGCAGGCATTACAGGCATAAGCCACCACGCCCGGCCTGGAGGCAGGGACTTTAAAAGAAGTTATTTTTTAAACTGAGCTGCTGCCCTCTTATGAAGGAAAACCACTCCCTCTAAGTACTGATTTTGGTGACTGCTCTTAGTTTGAAGTAATTATTGTGTCTAAAAATGGAAAATCACATGTTACTGTTTATCAAAAGGAAATAAACACCTTGGATTAATCGGGTTCTTGCCACTGGATGGTGAGTCCAGACCTTGCCGGCAACCCAGGTAAAAAGGCCACTCTGCATGTTCTGCAAACACTCACTTTTTTTTTCTTTTTCTTTTTTTTTTTTGAGATGGAGTCTTGCTTTGTTGTCCAGGCTGGAGTGCAATGACACGGTCTTGGCTCACTGCAACCTCTGCCTCCTGGGTTCAGGTGATTCTCCTGCCTCAGCCTCTTGAATAGCTGAGATTACAGGCGCCCGCCACCATGCCCGGCTAATTTTTCTTTTAGTAGAGACAGGGTTTCACCATGTTGGCCAGGCTGGTCTCGAACTCCTTACCCAGGATCCCCCCGCCTTGGCCTCCCAAAGTGCTGGGATTACAGGCGTGAGCCACCGTGCCCAGCCCACTTTCGTTGTTTTACAGTTTCCGAAGGGGAAGTGGTCAGATCCTGTGTGTCCGCTGAGGCTTACTTGCCATGCCTGGTTATGTAATCGTGGACAACCTTTGATTGGGCTTTGCTGGTGGCAGAAATAAGGACAGGAAAAAACATGGGAGTCAGGGCGTGTCCCCCACTCACTCTACTCTGACATGGATTGGACTGTTGATTGTTTTGTATTTATGAGCATTTGCTGAACTCTCACGGAATATGGAGAATTAAAAGTTGGACAGAAATGCTTCAGTAAGCCAGCGTGAACTGTACATAGGTTCACACAGGGAAAAAAAGGTCTTGGAGGTGGCTCCGAACACTACATGTCTCAGCCTTTTCATACTCCAGCCAATGCCCAGGGAGCACTTGGTGGTCTCTGCTTTTGACTTAGCTACTGTCAGCCTCTGCAGTCTCAAGCCGGCCTCTGCAGCCACACTCAGCTCTTCCCAGTACTCTTTTAACATACTCTTCTCTTTCCAGCACCTGGCTTTCATGCAGGCTTTTCTTCCTCATCCTTTGGGTTTCAGCTCAGAGGTCATTTCCTCCTGGAAGCCTTCCTGGATACTCCCCATCTTCCCCAGCTATCTCACGCATTCATGTTGCTCTGTACTTTTTTGTTCTTAGCACTATTCATATTAAAATATTAGTGGCCAATGGCTTGTCTGTCTGCCTCTTGCTCCGGACTGTCAGCTCTGTGAGTGAGAAGTAGTATGCTTGTCCATCATTATGTCTCCAGCACACGGCCAGGCACATGGCACGTGGCAGAAACTTGATAAGCCATCTTATCACTAACCGATCACTTCATACACTTCCCCTCAGCGACTGGTGCTCCAATTTTCCTTCTGTCAATTACTGTTTAGTTTCTTGATCTCTCAGGTTTTAGCCTGTACTTAGGGTAAAAACAAACAAAAGTTAAAGAACAAAACAAAATAAACATTCTCTAATAAACGGTTGCTGAAGTTTTGCACTTTGGCTGCTTTCCTTGAGCTGCTGAGTGTGAATTCAGCTAAATTCTGTGCCCTGTTGGCTGGCAAACTTCTCAAATTGACACCATTCCAGCCCCCAGGACTGCCCTGCTGGGGTGGGAAAGGAGGCAGAGGAAAAGCTTGGAGACTCTGAAGTCGAGGACCTGAAGCCCAAGAAAGGTGGGGTGGCAAGAACGGCAAAAAGGGTGTTGCTTGGGGCAGGAAGTTGAGGAAGAGGGAGTGAAGGAGTGCTCGGGTGTGGAAGAGGAGAAGACACCCCAAATCTGCCCAGTTTGGTCCGAAATGGGTGGCTGGCATCTGAAACGTCTCTCACTGCTTAAGTCTAGGAAGTGTGGCTTTTGATTATTCTTTTGTTCTCCTTCCCTTCCTTCCTAGAGAATTTTTTGACCTGGAAAGCCTGGCTGGGATGTGGAGGGTTGTGTTTCCCACCTGCAGCAATGCGGGGCTGGCTTTGTCTTTGCAGCGAACTGCCCCATGCCCCCTGCCTGCCCCACCGCTCTCTTTGAGCCTGACAGACACAGCAACAGTGGCTCCGTGGCCAGCGTCCAGCGCTGCAGAATGAGACAAAGCCCTGTGTATTTGCTGGGCAGCACTTGGCTGTGATATATTGACATGTGAGCGCAGTAGAGTATTTGTGGCATCTGGAGAGCAAAGTGCTCACATCATGCTGGGGTTTGGCAAGTGCATTTATTTCTCTCAGGGTTTGACAAAGTTCTTTTATTTTATTTTTTTGAGATGGAGTTTTGCTTTGTCATCAGGCTGAAGTGCAGTGGCGCGATCTCGGCTCACTGCAACCTCCACCTCCCGGGTTCAAGCAATTCCCCTGCCTCAGCCTCCTGAGTAGCTGGGACTACAAGTATGCACTACCCTGCCTGGCTAATTTTTTGTATTTTAGTAGAGATGGAATTTCATCACGTTGGCCAGGATGGTCTCAATCTCCTGACCTCATGATCCACCCACTTTGGCCTCCCCAAGTGTTGGGATTACAGGCGTGAGCCACCGTGCCTGGCAGGCAAAGTTCTTCTAGAATGTAGAATTTGAGGCATTGAGACTGGAAATCCCTTTGAAAGGCAGGGATAAAATTGTTTTTTTTTTTTGGATGGGGTCTCACTCTGACCCCCAGGCTGGAAAGCAGTGGTGCCATCTGCCACTCCACCTTCTGGGCTCAAGAAATCCTCCCACCTCAACCTCCCAAGTGCCACCACGCCTGACTAATTTGTTTTGTGTTTTTGATTTTTTTTTGTAGAGATGGTGTTTCACTATGTTGCCCAGGCTGGTCTCGAACTCTTGGGTTCAAGCAATTCTCCCATCTCAGCCTCCCAAAGTGTTAGGATTACAGATGTGAGCCACTGTGCCTGGCCAGAATTGTATGTTTTAATGTGATACAGTATGTCTGAGCAATGTCCACATCCAGTTGTCAAGGGGGAAAAAACTTGATAGTGAGCATTCCCAGCTCAACGCTGCCTTGTTCAAAACTCAGCTGACATAGAGGCTTCTGCTGGTTCCCTGTCCACACAGAGTAAGCTCTTCCCAGCCAAAGGGGAGATGAAAGGATTATTTACTATGTAAAGTGGTGAGGCAGAAATCTCCCAGTTTGTTCACTTAGCTCAAAGTGGGAGAAAAAAAATGATGTTGAGGCGGTTCTATAGCTCGATTTCTGGTATGATCAACTGGGAGCAGCAATTTAAAACCCACTTGGATTTTTTAAGTCACTGGGGAGGTTCGGAGCCACATACCACGCCCTGTGTGTCATCATCGGGCTCTCTGAGGGACAGCACGTAGGTTTGGGAGGAACAGGTTCAAACCTGACTCTGATCGTTAACGAAGGTAGTGTTCTGTAGCACACATGACTCTCTGGGCCAATCAGATTACCCCAGCCTTCTAGCACCTGTGTGAACTGACATAGCTGGGAAGCTGGCTAGGCTGGGCTCAGGTGGGGCAGCCAGGTACCTTTATAGTATGATTTGAAGGCCTCAGGTGAGGCTGCCCTAGCCTGAAATATCTCCCCTACTGGCTTGTCAAGGATGTCTGAATTTCGCTACTATTGAGTCATTCCTTTGCGTTTACTACGGTCCTCGTTTTGTGAGTGCAGATTGATCTGGAATACAGGATCCTTAACCTTCCCATCTTAATTGCGTGGATACAACTAGACTATGTTTAATCTCTTGGGTAAGCCACAAACTAAGTTCCACTTTTTCATGCCAGGCCTGTCTTGAGGCATTTCACCTGCCCTCTTCTCTATTCTGTTCAGCTTAGACAAGAAGCAAGCTGGAGCCAGGTAGTCTGGTGTGGGGGACAGAGGAGCAGAGGACTGGAAAGTGAGGGCACCCAGGAGCAGCAGGCTCTCCTTCCTGGCTTCTGGCTTTCCAGCACAGAAAAGCTTGGCTGAGCCTTGGTCTGGTGTCAGATGACGCCTGAAGGGAGATGTGATCTCCCCATTTTGGCCCAGATGGAGCACAGTTAGCTCTTACATGGACTTCCTTCCACTTACTCACTTTCCCTTTACCAGCTATCCTCTGTCCTCCTACTGCTGCACTCTCAGCCATCATCATTCTACGTGGCCTCATGCCAGAAGGGAAGTCTCATTGGCATCCCAGAGGAGCCAGGAGCTCCTAAGCCCCACCAGCACTCGGCCACACCCCTTTCCCCTTTGTGGCTTGGTTCACAGTCTCCAGGAGATGGAGGAGTGGCTAGGAGCTGCGCAGCTGCCGACAGCTCAACTTGTGCGGCTGGTTTTTTGTTTTTTTGAGATGGAGTCTTGCTCTGTTGCCCAGGCTGGAGTGCTGTGGTGCGATCTTGGCTCACTACAACCTCCGCCTCCCGGGTTCAAGCGATTCTCTTGCCTCAGTCTCCCGAATAGCTGAGATTACAGGCACACGATACCATGCCCAGTTAATTTTTTTGTATTTTTAGTAGAGACTGGGTTTCGCCATGTTGGTCAGGCTGGTCTCGAACTCCCGACCTCAGGTGATCCACCCGCCTCGGCCTCCCAAAGTGCTGGGATTACAGGCATAAGCCACTGCGCCTGGCAGGTTTGAACAGATACAGAGGATGTTTAGTGAGAGGCCAGTCGGATGCTATGGGTCTGCACTAAAGCCTTAAACCCTTTCTATCTTTTCCTCTTTCCCAGGCCTAGAAGACATGGTCAGAGTTCATCTACGTCATGCCCCTGCCTCCGGGCATATTTTATCTCCCCATGCCCATGCCTGTCTTCCAGAGACCACTCCCACCAAAGGAAGTGGGAGAAGCGAGGCGGAAGAGAGGCCATAAAGTCCGCTGGAATATAGGCTCCATGAAGGCAGGGATTTTTAATATATCCCCAGAGTCTAGAACAGTGCCTGGCCCACAGTAGATGCTCAATAAATATTTGTTGAATAATGAACCTCCCCTTGTTGAAGTAATCACAGCTGGTAAAGTACTTTCAATCCTAATGAATATTCTGTTGGACAGGTGGAAATTTTTAGAGCCAACATTTCCAAAGATCTATTTATTTTGTTTTTTGTTTTTATTTTATTTTTTTTAGAGAAGGGCCTTGCTCTGTCACTCAGGCTGGAGTGCACTGGCATGATCACAGCTCACTGCAACCTTGAACTCCTGGACTCAAGAGATCCTCCCACCTCAGCTTTCTGAGTAGCTCTTACTAAAGGCACAGCTTCCATGCCCAGCTAATAAAAAAAAATTTCTTTTTTTTTTTTTTTTAGAGTGAGTCTGGGTTCACTATGTTGCTCACGTGCTGCTCTCAAACTTCTGGCCTCAAGCGATCCTCCCACCTTGGCCTTCTAAAGCACTGGGATTATAGGCATGAGCCACTATGTCTGGCCCCAAAGATTCAATTTTTAATTACACCATATAGTGTAATTATAATTACACTATATAGTGTAATTATAATTACATTTAGTGTAATCTTAGTATGCCATTCATTTTGTAAAAAATTAAAACAATACAAGAGAAATTCCCCTTGTTCCAAACACACTTGCGTGCTCCTTCTTAGTGATAACCATTAGCTTCATCTTGGCATGTGCCCTGTAGACTTTGCTCAATGCATTTGGACAAGTCTGTATGTTAACATAGAAGCCTAGAGTTTTGTGGGTTAGCAACGACACAACAACCACAACAACAAAACCCATAAAACCATAAATAAGATTGGACTGTGCTGTTTTGCAGTTTCCTTTTTCCCCTCTTAACGTTTTGGAGATGTTCCATGTAGGTGAAAACAGACCTACCTCGTTCTTTTCATTGTGAAATATTGTGCAGCATAGATATATTGCATATTTGACAATTCCTCTATTGATGGACTTTTAAGTCATTTCCAGTGTTTACTTTTTTTTTTTTTGAGATGAAGTCTCCCCTCTGTCACCCAGGCTGGAGTGCAGTGGCTCAGTCTCGGCTCACTGCAACCTCTGCTTCCCAGGTTCAAGCGATTCTCCTGCCTCAGCCTCCTGAGTAGCTGGGATTACAGGGGCGTGCCACCACGCCTGGCAAAATTGTTTTGTATTTTTACTAGAGATGGAGTTTCGTCATTTTGGCCCAGCTGGTCTTGAACTCCTCACCTCAGGTTATCTGCCTGCCTCAGCCTCCCGAAGTGCTGGGATTACAGGTGTGAACCACCGCGCCTGGCCTATTACCAGTTTCTATGATCTTGTTAGAATAAAAATTTCAGCTCTCTCTTGGACAGGAAATTGTGAGTGATTCACACTAGTAACATAATCAGATATGTCGTAATGATGCTATTTAATGCTATGTCTTCTGTTACTTAGTAACTGTTTTACATAAAGGGCGTAATCATGTCTCCACCTTTTTTGATAGGAATGGTTGTGTATCACTTTTCTCCACCCATTTCACCATGACTTTTAGATATGAAATGGGAGAGTCTGGGGCCTTGGAGGGCCTCAGGGGAGTGACCTCCCCCTTCCCTTCCTTATCCTCTGTTTTCTTGAGTGGCTTCAAGGAGTTGTTTGGTGCCATAGCCTGCCCTTCTGCCACATCCTTTCCTGCCACATAGTGGTCATGTCCTGGAATGACGAGATGACAATGCCAATCATTCAGTCCCAGGCTGCATGGTGCACTGGCCTTTGGATTCCTCCTTTGATCAGCTCAGAACACTTTAGCAGTTGTTGGTTTTGACCTGTGCTTGGCTTTGATGATATCAGGCCCATCTTCAAACCTTTTCCTTGTACCTCAGGAATGATACCGCAGTCTGGATCCAGCCTTAATCTTTTCAAGGCCCACGCATCACTCAGTATAATATTTTCCACAGATAAGTACATTTTAAAAGGAAAAGCTTTAAGAACACTTTATATTTTATACCATTTAATTCCTTGGCAATTTTCTTCTCCCACCCACACCTTAATGTCATTTGCTCTTCTATTTTTCTCAACCTCTGTTTTCTTTTCTTTCTTTCTTTCCTTCCTTCCTTCCCTCCCTCCCTTCTTCCTTCCTTTTCCTTCCTTTCTTCCTTCCTTCCTTTCTTTCTTCTTTTTCTTTCTTTCTTTCTTTCTTGAGATGGAGTCTCCCTCCCTCTGCTGCTCAGGCTGGAGTGCAGTGATGCGATCTCGGCTCACTGCAACTGCCGCCTCCCGGGTTCAAGCAATTCTCCTGCCTCAGCCTACCGAGTAGCTGGGACTACAGGCACGCGCCACCACGCCCGGCTAACTTTTGTACTTTTAGTAGAGACAGGGTTTCACTATGTTGATCAGGCTGGTCTCGAACTCCTGACCTTGTGATCTGCCCGCCTCGGCCTCCCAAAGTGCTGGGATTACAGGTGTGAGCCACCGCTCCCGGCCAACCTGCTTTCAAGATTACATCAGAGTGGTGGCTGTGGAAGAATTTTTCTCCCTGAGAATTTTCTCTAGGCATAGTTCTTTGTTACTAACAAGATTTTCCTTCTCCCTGCTTGATGATTTCCGTACAGTTTAGACTCATAGAGTATCTTAATATTAATCTCTAGTGATTGAATTGCAACAGCACCTAGGATGGCTAGATTTCATAATGGCTTTTTCCTGAAGTTCACTTTTCAGAGGGAGCCTAGGACTTTTAAGGCAGTGTGACTTGTTTTAATGGTTTCAGATTAATTTTGTATTTGTATCAGAAAACCATTTACTTAATGATTTGATTGTTTCATTTTCTAAAGTGAATAGTAACTGAACTCGTTTCCTACTCCTTTATTTAGTCCAGCTACTATAGAATCTTTGTTTTGCTTGCTTTTAGTAATATTAACGTTATTTCTTTCTTTCTTCTTTTTTTTTTTTTGAGACAGGATCTGGCTCTGTCACCCATGCTGGAGTGCAGTGGCGCAATCTTGGCTCACTGCAGCCTCCGCCTCCTGGGATCAAGTGATCCTCCTGCTACAGCCTCCTGAGTAGCTGGGATTACAGGCATATACCACCATGCCTGGCTAATTTTTCTATTTTTAGTAGAGACGAGGTTTCATCATGTTGGCCAGGCTGGTCTCGAACTTCTGGCCTCAAATAATTCAACCGCCTTGGCTTCCCAAAGTTCTGGGATTACAGGCATGAGCCACTGCGCCTGGCATATTACTGCTATTTTTTTTTTTTTTTTTTGAGACGGAGTCTCGCTCTGTC
Source organism: Homo sapiens (assembly GCF_000001405.40). NCBI lineage: Eukaryota > Metazoa > Chordata > Mammalia > Primates > Hominidae > Homo > Homo sapiens. The sequence goes on along the minus strand of NC_000011.10, from coordinate 62,495,716 downwards.
CCCATGCTGGAGTGCAGTGGCGTGATCTCGGCTCACTGCAACCTCTGCCTCCCAGGTTCAAGTGATTCTCCTACCTCAGCTTCCCAAGTAGCTGGGACTACAGGTGCATGCCTTCATGCCCAGCTAATGTTTTTTTTTTTGTATTTTTAGAAGAGACTGGGTTTCACCACGTTGGCCAGGCTGGTCTCGATCTCCTGACCTCGTAATCTGCCTGCCTCGGCCTCCCAAAGTGCTGGGATTATAGGCATGAGTCACTGTCCCCGGCCTATTACTGTTATTTCTAAAGCACTCTAGTTTTGGCAATGAATTACAACAGGACACTGTGAGGTAATCTACATGTTTAGGTGAAAGCCATGCTTTCTATAGGATAACTTCTTATCTTGAATATACTGGCAACTTTGGCTTGGATTTTTTTTCCTTCTTTCATATTTCCTAATATATGCTATGAAACATGAATGGATGGTTTAGTGTTTAGAGTGTGGGTTTATGAACCAGGTAGTTTGGATTCAAATCTCAGCTCTGCCACTTTCTTTTTTTTTGCCCGGGTTGGGGGAGGTGGTCTCACTCTGTCACCTAGGCTAGAGTGCAGTGGTGTGATCACAGCTCACTGTAGCCTTGACTTCCCTGAGATCAGGTGATTGTCCCACCTCAGCCTCCTGAGTAGCTGGGACCACAGGCGTGTACCACCATGCCTGGCTACTTTTTTTTTTTTTTTTGAGATGGAGTTTCATTCTTGTTGCCCAGATTGGAGTGCAATGGCTCAATCTTGGCTCACTGCAACCTCCGCCTTCTGGGTTCAAGCGATTCTCGTGCCTCAGCCTCCTGAGTAGCTGAGATTACAGGCGCCCGCCATCACGCCATGCTAATTTTTGTATTTTAGTAGAGACCATGTTGGTCAGGCTGGTCTTGAACTCCTGACTTCAGGTGATCCACCTGCTTTGGCCTCCTAAAGTGCTGGGATTATAGGCGTGAGCCACTGCGCCCGGCGGTCCTGGCTAATTTTTGAATTCTTTGTGGAGACAAGGTTTCGCCATGTTGCCCAGGCTGATTTTGAACTCCTGGGCTCAAGCCATTTGCCTACCTTGGCCTCTCGAAGTGCTGGGATTACAGGTGTGAGCCATTGTGCCTGACCAGCTCTGGCTCTTTCTAGCTGTACCATCTAGGGCAAGTTATTTAAGCTCTCTGTACTTCAGTTTCTTCTTGTGTAAAACGGGGTAGTAGTAGTACTTGTCTCCAGAGTTGATGTAAGGAGTTGACATAAGGGTAAAAATCGTTTGGCATGTGGTAAGCGCCAATGTGTTTGCCATTATTATTCAATCTTTGTTTCTAAATTAAAAAAAAATTCCTTCCTTCTGTGGTTATTTGGACTTATTCTGAGTTTCATTTTATAACTAGAAACTGAACAATTGAAATAAAAAGAAGAGTCATCACATGCTGAATTTCTCAACCAAACTTTTTCTGGGAAAGACAGGATTGTTTTTGTAAAATAATTTATATCTGATTATTATTAGAATTTTAAAAATTTGTGAAGAAAGAAGAATCAGTGAGATGGGATTAATCTATGTGCAGTTTTTAAGAACCTTGGAAATTTTCATGCCATCGATTGTTAGAGAAATGCAAATATCATTCAGTTGAAAGACTCTTACACCATTCATTCATTTATTCACCACTCATTCATTCATTTATTCACCACTCATTCATTCTTTCATCACTCATCATTCATCTATCCAAGCCACAAACATTTCCAGAATGCCTGGGACACTGCTAAGCTCTCGGAGACAAAGACAAATAATTTATTGTCTCAGCATCTAGAAAACTCTAATGAAGAATTTGCTTCATTATGGGGAGGAAAAATTTAAGTGGCCCCAACAGTCCTCCTGAAAGCTCGGAACAGGGAAGATAGTTCACCTGTAAGAAGGAAGGATGAATAAGAAATTTCACCATTTGGCCCGGCCAGGTGGGTCACACCTGTAATCCTAACACTTTGGGAGGTGGAGATGGGAGGATCACTTGAGCCCAGGAGTTCAAGACCAGCCTGGTCAACATAGTGGGACCCCCCCCATCTCTTAAAAAATAAAAAAAAGGCTGGGCACGGTGGCTCACGCCTGTAATCCTAGCACTTTGGGAGGCCGAGGTGAGTGGATAACCTGAGGTCAGGAGTTTGAGACCAGCTTGGCCAAGATAGTGAAACCCCGTCTCTACTAAAAATAAGCTTAGCCACACACTTAGCTGGTGTGGTGGCACATGCCTATAATCCCAGCTACTTGGGAGGCTGAGGCAGGAGAATTGCTTGAACCCGGGAGGCAGAGGTTGCAGTGAGATTGTGCCACTGCACTCCAGCCTGGGCAACAGAGCGAGAGTCTGTCAAAAAAAAAAAAAAAAAAGAAAGAAAGAAAGAAAACAGGCCGAGCATGATGTCTTACACTTGTAATCCCAGCACTTTGTGAGGCTGAGGTGGGTGGATCATCTGAGGTCAGGAGTTCGAGACCAGCCTGGCCAACATGGTGAAACCCTGTCTCTACTAAAAATACTAAAAATTAGCTGGGCATGGTGACACACGCCTGTAATCCCAGCTACTTGGGAGGCTGAGGCAGGAGAATCCCTTGAACCTGGGAGGCTGGAGGTTGTGGTGAGCTGAGATCTGGCCACTGCCCTCCAGCCTGGGACACACAGTGAGACTCTGTCTCAAAAAAAAAAAAAAAAAAGAAAAGAAAAGAAAACAGTAGAAAGAAAATAAAAAAGAAATTTAATCTGTTTGAAACTGAAGGTCCCGATTCAATCCTTTCATGTAACCTTTGGGTTACTATCCCCTGGGGAAGAGCAATCTCCCTTTTTTTTTGAGACAGGGTCTCACTCTGTCGCCCCGGCTGGAGTGCAGTGGTGTGATCATGGCTCACTGTAGCCTTGACCTCCTGGACTCAGGCAGTCCTCCTGCCTCAGCCTCCTGAGTAGCTGGGACTACGGTTGTGTGCCACCACACCTGGCTAATTTTGTTTATTTTTTATTTTTTGTAGAGGTGGGGGTCTCACTATATTGCCCAGGCTGGTGTGGGACTCCTAGGCTCAGGTGATCCTCTTGCCTCAGCCTCTGAAAGTGCTAGGATTACAGGTGTGAGCCACTGCATCCTGCTGGGAAGAGTAATTTCCTGGGATGGTGTTAGACTTGGGCAAACACATGAAAAGAGTAACCCGTTGAAAACACTGATGGCAACCATAGTTCTCCACGAACTGGTTTCAGTGTTGCTGCCAGACGGAATCCTGCTATTGGTCAGGGAATCCCATGGCCAGGTGGGCTCTCCTTCTTGATGGGAACACTCCCCTTCCCCACAGATGGTAGCGACCTCTGATTGGAGATCTACTGTGTAAGGCATCAGGAACTCTGAGTGGAGCTGAATCTAGTGATCGGAACCCCTGCCCCGCAGTATCCAGCTTAATGCTGTTGGAGAAAAGATACCCAGAGGGCAGTAACCGATGAGTGCTGTGGTCCCACAATAAAACCCTCCTTTCTTACACATTGTTCCTCAGTGTTCAGTTGTACCTTATCTCTCTCCTTCTGTCCTTGCAAAGCCCTTGAGGAGAATGACTGGGTCTGGTGGGTGGATGAACCGGAGATAGCATTGTCCCCTTTGTGTGAGATTCCCCGGGCTTTCACAAAGGGCTGTCCTTCAGCTTAGGCCAGTTGTCTTCTAAAGATTCTCTGTTATCTTCTCTACAGCTAGAGATTCCAGGCAATGGTGGAGCTTGGGCTGGGTTGGGGTGTGTTGGGGGGTGGTAGTGGTAAACGTGGGGTCTCTGGTATTTTATACACCCATAGTAGGCATTTGAAAAGTGCTCATTGATTGGATGATTTGATGAGTGACCTGGTGATAATCTTTATCCTTGTTAGAACACACCACAGCCATCAGCACTGGAATGCAAAGACCAGAACAAACAGAAGGAAGCCAGCAGCCAAGCCGGGGCAGTTTCAGTCTCCACCCCAAATGCAGGTGAGAGAAGTGATGGGGACTGAAAGACGGATGACCTTGATTATGATAATGATACCCTTTATCACAGATGGGCATGCCTGCCTGGGCTGTGGAAGCCACACGTGGAAGGATATGGCTCAGGACCCCAGGAGCCCAGCCCCTCTTTCTCCTGGGCCTGGAAATTCAAACCCTACTCTTCTTTCAGCTTTGTGAGAAGCCCATAGGAAATGCACTTACTACAGAAGGATTACGTACTCCTTCAGAAGGAGTCTCAAGCGTTTCTTCATAGGGAGGGCTGCCGTGGAATATCCACATTCTTTTAAGACAGTACCTATTAAACCCAGAAGCCAGGGTGGGGCAGAAACCAAAGACTCAGAATTAAAGGGTTGGAATCTACTCCTAGTGGAAGATCTACCAGAGTGTAGAAAAAGTCTTTTTGATCCTCTAAAGGAAAGTCTTTTTCAGGCCTCCTAGGAGGGAGATGCCCACATGGAGGGTGAGCTGGAGGGGAAGAAGTGAGTGACTGTGGGCTATGGAAATCCTGGGTCATAGGGAGCTACGTGGAGGGGTCATTGGCTCAGTGTGGGCCGTAGCCATGTTTCTGGCCTGTACCAAAATGAAACTGTTTTTTGGAGGTAATTGCAAACATTTAAGAATCAGGAGACTGGCTGGGCATGGTGGCTCATGGTTGTAATCCAACACTTTGGGAGGCCGAGGCAGGCGGATCACTTGAGGTCAGGAGTTCAAGACCAGCCTAGCCAACATAGTGAAACCCTGTCTCTACTAGAAATATAAAAATTAGCCGGGTATGGTGGCAGGCACCTGTAATCCCAGCTACTCGGGAGGCTGAGACAGGAGAATTGCTTGAACCCAGGAGGCAGAGGTTGCCGTGAGTTGAGATTGCACCACTGCACTCCAGCCTGGGCGACGACAGAGTGATATTCCGTCCCAAAAAAACAAAACAAAACAATAAACAAAAATATGGAATGTATGGCCTCTCAACATTTTGTCATGTTCACTGAGCCCACATTCCCACATGGCAATGTCAGCTGGAGAGGACTGACTGCCGTGTCACTGGGCAAAGGGAGCTCCGCTTCCTTCTATCCGCTCCTGTGGACCCTCCTTCCTCCATCTGAGCCCCATTTTCTCCTCTCACCTCTTCCTTGCCCAGCGCTCCACCCATAGCCTGGGGTGAATGTCCGTTCAGCATATAAACAGGGACATACTCCACCTCCTTTAAAGAAAGCCTCCCAGCCTGGTGCGGTGGCTGACGCCTGTAATCCCAGCATTTTGGAAGGCGGAGGAGCAGGAGGATCACGAGGTCAGGAGTTCGAGACCAGCCTGGCCAAAACGGTGAAACCCTGTCTCTACCAAAAATACAAAATTAGCCGGGCGTGGTGGCGCACGCCTGTAATCCCAGCTACTCAGGAGGCTGAGGCAGAAGAATCGCTTAAACCCGGGAGGCGGAGGTTGCAGTGAGCTGAGATCAGGCCACTGCACTCTAGCCTGGGTGACAGAGCAAGACTCTGTCTCAAAAAAAAAAAAAAAAAAAAAAGAAAAAGAAAAGAAAGAAAGCCTCCCTCAAGCCCGAACCCCTCTTGCTGTGGTGCTATTCTTTGAGAGCCAACTGGAAAGCATTGCCTGTTCCATTCCTGTCGCCTCTTCCTCATCTTCCCTTCACTCCAGTCCCCCCACTTCCCGTTCCCAGGCTTCCACCCTGCCACTCAATACTGCTCTTGCTGATTCCACTTCATTGATATGAGTGCCCAGGGAAATCTCTGGGCACTTGGTGCTGTGCCCTCTCCTTCCATGAAACACCCTGCCCCCTCTGATTGGTGATATCGCCTTCATGTTGACGTCTGTTTGGTTAGGATGACTTTGCCCTCCCTTCCTAGGCCCTTTATGGGCTCCCCTCTTCCCACAACCTCGAAAGTGGCAGAATTTCCCAAGGACCTGTCATGGGTTTTTGTTTTTCTCACTCGGGACTCTCTCTCCGGGCAACCTCTTGGGGCTCTGTGGCTCTCAGGCCTGCTTCTCTTCCGAGCTCCAGGGCTGCACATCTGGGCTCCCCTCCACTCCCCCTCTCCCTGTCTCTCCATCCCCGTCCTTACCGTCTCTGGTCAGCTCTGCTAACCATCTGGCTACCACACCAGTCACCCACCTTCTTAACATTTCCAATGTTTTTGGTTTGTATTATTTGCTACAATCGCCTCCTAACTGTCTGCCTGTCTTAGCTCTTTTCCTCCATGGATAGACTGAGCTTAAATAGTGGTTAGTTTAAAATAAAAGAATCAAATCATGTTACTCCCCTCCTTGAAATTCTTCAGTGGCTGCTCATGGCTCTCGGGGTGAAGTTCACATCCTTGGCTCAGCACCCAAAGATGCCATGGCTCAGCTCTTGGCTCAGCCCGCACCACTTCCCATGTGGGCTTTTCACTCCAGCAACACCCTAGTGCTGGTCCCCACATCCATGATGCCGGTCTATGCTCCTATGTCTTTTTTTTTTTTTTTTGAGATGGAGTCTCACTCTGTGACCCAGGCTGGAATGCAGTGGCGTGATATCAACTCACTGCAACCTCCACCTCCCGCGTTCAAGCAATCCTCCTGCCTCAGCCTCCTGAGTAATTGGGATTACAGGCATGCACCACAATGTCCAGCTAATTTTTTTGTATTTTTAGTAGAGATGAGGTTTCACCATATTGGCCAGGCTGGTCTTGAACTCCTGACCTTGTGATCCACCCGCCTGGGCCTCCCAAAGTGCTGGGATTACAGGTGTGAGCCACCGCGCTGGGCCGCTCCTGTGTCTTTATTGTGCTCTTCCAAACCCCTCTGCCCCCTGTCTTCCTGGGCCTTTGAACCACCACTCCAGGCCCACCTGAGCCTCCAAGTCTGGGCTCAGGGCCCCTTCTCTGTGCTCTCCCATGCTGCCCAGGCATCCCTGTTTTGGCTCCCCTGGTGCTGGGCCTCCACTAGACTTCACACTCAGTAGGGCCCAGGAGGATCTACAGCACAGTCTGCATGGAATATAAACTAGACAGATGGGCTGGGCACTGTGGCTCATACCTGTAATCCCAGCACTTTGGGAGGCCGAGGTGGGTGGATCACCTGAGGCCAGGAGGTTGAGAGCAGCCTGGCCAACACAGCAAAATCCTGTCTCTACTGAAAATACAAAAAAAAAAAAAAAAAATTAGCTGGGCATGGTGGGCGCCTGTAATCCCAGCTAATCAGGAGGCTGAGGCAGGAGAATTGCTTGAACCCAGGGGGCGGAGGCTGCAGTGAACTGGGATCGCGCCATTGCACTCCAGCCTGGGCAACAGGAGCGAAACTCCGTCTTGGAAAAAAAAAAAAAAGCTAGACAGATGATGGCAAGCTCCGCTGGCTGGCTTCCCAGTGCTTACATGGTGGCCATTTCTCTATTGCTCTTTGGGGACTGGGTTCTAGTGTTTGTGTTGCCAAATGCAGCACTTTTTGTTGTACACTTTACTTCAACATTGATTAAATTAAATGTCTCGGGATTTCAAGGGAATTGGGATTTGACCCCTTTTCTCAAAGGACTTGTACACTGGGTGCATAATGTCTGTTCATTCAATGAACGTTTATTTACTGAGCACCTTTGCAGAGCCAGGCACGGAAGGTGGCAGAATTAAAGCAGCCAGTCACAGGGATTCAGAGAAAGTCTGTGGAGCTTAGAGGAACTTCCGTGGCTTTTCATCTTCTCATGCCTTGGTTTAAAGTACAGGAGAAAGATTATAGTTCTCCTTGCCAGAGACGCCTCTTTCCCCTGATCATGGATGTTTCCTTAGAAACCAACTTGCGTGTCCCCCACTTTCATGGGCTTTGAAGCTGGAGTCTTGTGTAAACATCACTTCACGGGCATGTGAGAAACAAGCCTTTCCTGTCCCCGCCGTGAGCCTCCAGCTTTCTCTAAGTCGACTTCTCAAGGGGGTACTGCTGTTTCTTTTAATATCAAAAAACCCGTTTGAACATTACATGGTTTTCTCACGGTAACACTTCAGTCAGCTGCATACAGGGTCATTTTGGTAAATAAGTGGAAAATCAGAGAAGTATTGCTGGACTTGAAGACAAGTCTGTGCAGTTGAGAGCAGCAGAGCTTTTGAATCAAGACATCATGGGAGGTTGAGGCAGGTGAATCGCTTGAACCCGGGAGGGGGAGGTTGCAGTGAGCCGAGACTGCGCCACCGGCGACAGTGCGAGACTCCGTCTCAAAAAAAAAAGACACTTACGCTGTGTCCTAAATGTTGAAGGCGGTTTTGAGGGGTGAGGTGCTGGAGAGTTGAAGCTACAAACAGAAACCTATAAACTCATTGTGTTGGATGTCATACTGTCCTGCCTTACGCCACATACCCTCATGGTTAGGAGCTCTGCTCAGAAACTGGACTGCCTGGGTTCAAATCCTGTCTTTGCTACTCTACGTTGGGGCATGTTCCAGTTTTTCTTTCATCTGTGAGATCAGGATGATAACATCCCTTAGATGGTGGTTGTGAAGATAAAGCGAACTATTGCCTGGGCAGCGTTTATAGTGGTGCCTGACATACAGTAAGTGCTTAATAAACGTTAGCTGTTGTAATTATACCCCTTTATCAGCTTCACACTGGACTGGTCACCTAAGCTGTCACCAGACGTCCCGCACCACTGGTGGTCCACAATGTTTCTGTTCTGTTGTTTCAAACCCCTTAGCTCATTTTGCTTCTCTGACCATCTTATTCCAGTCCTCTCCTCTTTCACGATGTTCTCTGGTCTGGAATAGGCGTCTATTTGGAGTCTGCCGCTCCTTACTCAGTGAACCCTCTCTCTCTATTCTGAAGCCCTCTTGGTGGGATGGGGGCAGATATTCCTGTACTCACAGCTAACCATGGGAAAACTCTAGGGTAATTTTTCATTTGAGCTTGTGTTTATAAACCTCTAAAACCTCATAGGACCCTTGCCAGTGGGCCAATCTGTGAGTTCTCCATCTATGTAAAGAAAAAAAAAAACTGGTGGTAAAATAGACATAACATAAAATTGACCATTTTAACCATTTTTAGGTGTACAGCTCAGTGGTATACAGTACATCTACATTACGGTGGAACCATCTCCACTGTGCAGCTCCAGAACTTTCTCATCTTCCCCAATTGAAACGCTGTAGCCATTCAACACTAATTCTCCAGCCCCCGGCAACCACCATGCTCCCTCCCTCCCTCCCTCCCTCCCTTCCTTCCTTCCTTCTTTCCTTTCTTCCTTCCTTCCTTTCTTCTTTTCTTTCTTTTTTTTGAGACAGAGTTTCGGAGTTTAGCTCTTGTTGCCCAGGCTGGAGTAAAATGGCACAATCTTGGCTCACCGCAACGTCCGCCTCCTGGGTTCAAGCGATTCTCCTGCCTCAGCCTCCCAAGTAGCTGGGATTACAGGCATGTGCTACCCCGCCTGCTAATTTTGTATTTTTAGTAGAGATGGGGTTTCTCCATGTTGGTCAGGCTGGTCTCGAACTCCTGACCGCAGGTGATCCACCCACCTCGGCCTCCCAAAGTGCTGGGATTACAGGCGTGAGCCACCATGCCTGGCTGCTACTTTCTGACTGTATGAATTTGACTACTCTAGGTACCTCATATAAGTGGAATGACACAGTATTTGTCCTCTTCTGTCTAGCTTACTTCACTTTCAGGGTTCATCTATGTTATATTTTGTGTTAGAATTTCATTTCATTTCTCTCTCTCTCTTTTTTTTTTTTTTTTTTTGAGACAAAGTCTTGCTTTGTCACCCAGGCTGGAGTGCAGTGGTGCAATCTCGGCTCACTGCAACCTCCGCCTCCCAGGTTCAAGTGATTCCCCTGCCTCAGCCTCCTGAGTAGTTGGGACTACAGGTATATGTCACAATGTCTGGCTAATTTTTTGTTATTTTTTAGCAGAGATGAGGATTTCACTATGTTGGCCAGGCTGGTCTTGAATTCCTGACCTCAGGTGTCACCACCTGCCTTGGCCTCCCAAAATGCTGAGATTACAGGCATGAGCCACCACTCCCGGCCTTCTGTTATTCTTTTTTTTTTTTTTTTTTTTTGAGATGGAGTCTTGCTGTATTGCCCAGGCTGGAGTGCAGTGGTGCAATCTCGGCTCACTGTAACCTCTGCCTCCCAGGTTTGAGCGATTCTCCTGCCTCAGCCTCCTGAGTAGCTGGGACTACAGGCTCCTGCCACCATGCCCAGCTAATTTTTTGTATTTTTAGTAGAGACGGGGTTTCACCGTGTTAGCCAGGATGGTCTCGATCTCCTGACCTTGTGATCCGCCCGCCTCGGACTCCCAAAGTGCTGGGATTATAGGTGTGAGCCACCGCGCCCAGCAAGATTGATCCTTTTTGTTTTGTTTTGTTTTTGACAGGGTCTCACTCTGTGACCCAAGCTGGAGTATACTGTTGGGATTACGTCTCACTGTAGCCTCAAACTCCTGGGCTCAAGCACTCCTCCCACCTCAGCCGCCCCAGTACAGGCATGCATCACCATGCCTGACTAATTTTTAAAATTATTTGTAAATAGGCAGGGTCTCACTATGGTGCCCAGACTGGTCTTGAATTCCTAGGCTCAAACGATCCTCCCGCTTTGGCCTCTCAAAGTGCTGGGGTTACAGATGTGAGCCACTGCTCCCGGCCAATTAATCTTTTTGAAACCTAAGTCAAAGGCCAGGCACGGTGGCTCACGCCTGTAATCCCAGCACTTTGGGAGGCCGAGGCAGGCAGATCACCTGAGGTCAGGAGTTCGAGACCAGCCTGGCCAACATGGAGAAACCCCGTCTCTACTAAAAATACAAAATTAGCCGGGTGTGGTGGCGCGTGCCTGTAATCCCAGCTACCCTGGAGGCTGAGGCAAGAGAATCGCCTGAACCCGGGAGGCGGAGGTTGTGGTGAGCTGAGATCACGCAATTGCACTCCAGCCTGGGCAACAAGAGCGAAACTCTGTCTCAAAAACAAAACAAAACAAAACAGAACAAAACAAAACAAAACCTAAGTCAAGTATTGCCATGCCTCACTCATGACCTTCCGTGGCTCCCCATCTCACTCGGAAGCATGCTTAAGTGCTCGTGGTAGCGTAGAGGCTTCCATACCACCTGGCCCTCACTGCTCTTCAGACCCCATCTTTTCCTCCCTCATGGAGCTCTGGCCACAGGGGCTCCTTGCTGTTCCTTGATCTGGCAGCCAAGCTTCCATCCCAGGGTTTTTGTATTTGCTGTGAACTATGCTTGGAATGTTCTTCCCCTTGACAAAGTCTTCCCCTTATAATGTCACCTCGCAAGAGATCTTCTCTGACACCTTACATAAAGTAGCAAGCCCTCCTTCCCCTGACCTATGGCGTCTCTCTTGTTATTTATTTATTTATTTATTCAGAGACAGGGTCTCACTCTGTCACCCAGGCTGTAGTGTGGTGGCATGATCATAGCTCACTGCAGCCTCCAACTCTTGGGCTCAAGTGATCCTCCTGCCTCAGCCTCCAGAGTAGCTAAGACTACCTACCGGTGTGTGCTACCATGCCCAGCTAATTAAAAAAAAATTTTTTTTGTAGAAATGGGGTTTCACTACGTTTTTCAGACTGGTCTTGAGCTCTTGGTCTCAAGTGATCCTCCTGCCTCAGCCTCCCAAAGCATTGGGATTATGGGTGTGAGCCATTGCACCCAGCCATCCCTTCTTTTGAACACTGCTCTATGCATGCCCTTTCTTTTTTTTTTTTTTTTTTTTGAGATGGAGTCTCGCTCTGTTGCCCAGGCTGGAGTGCAGTGGTGCGATCTCGGCTCACTGCAAGCTCCACCTCCTGGGTTCACACCATTCTCCTGCCTCAGCCTCCGGAGTAGCTGGGACTACAGGCGCCCGCCACCGCGCCTGGCTAATTTTTTGTAGTTTGTTTTTTTTTTTTTTTGAGATGGAGTCTTGCTCTGTCGCCCAGGCTGGAGTGCAGTGGCACAATCTTGGCTCACTGCAAGCTCTGCCTCCCAGGTTCACGCCATTCTCCTGCCTCAGCCTCTGGAGTAGCTGGGACTACAGGTGCCAGCCACCACGCCTGGCTATTTTTTTTGTATTTTTAGTAGAGACAGGGTTTCACCGTGTTAGCCAGGATGGTCTCGATCTCCTGACCTCATGATCCGCCTGCCTCGGCCTCCCAAAGCGCTGGGATTACAGGCGTGAGCCACCGCGCCTGGCTGTAGTTTTTTTTTTAGTAGAGACGGGGTTTCACCGTGTTAGCCAGGATGGTCTCGATCTCCTGACCTCGTGATCCGCCCGCCTCGGCCTCCCAGAGTGCTGGGATTACAGGCGCGAGCCACCGCGCCCGGCCCGCCCTTTCTTGATCTATGTAGAGAGTGTTGTGTAGATCATTTTGGCACAGGACAGAATTTCAGAACTGGATGATTTGTTAGTGATCCTCTGTTTCCACCAGTTCTCTTCAAATTAAAGCTGAAGGAATGGAGGCCAGAAAAGGCTGAGTGGCCCCCGACTCCCGTATCATCCTGAGCTCTGAACTGATTGATTCATGAGCCTGCAGCATTCTTCTGGTAAAGCAGAAGGCCTGCAGCCCACCCTACCCCGATGCTGTTGCCACGTAGCGTCCCTTGGGCCCTGGGCCTTCGGGGTCTTCTGTCACTCGGCTGCTGTTCACTTTCAGGAGGAACAGATGCTGGTGGAGTTTCCCACCTCTGACCAGGTCACTCTCCAGGCAGTGCTTCTTGGTGTGAAACCATGTCGTTCAAATGATTGTCCTTTTGGTGTTCAAATGACCATCCTGTGGACGTTTTTGTGTGTCTTTGTGTTCCTGATAGTTTGCCCTGTCTTTTTCCTCCTAGGCCTCTTAAGGGTTAAATTATACCAGGAGGAAGCAGGGCCAGTTCTCCTGCTTATTCTGCACATTACGAATGAGGAATATTTTACATTCATGAATAAGCTATTGCTTATCGATGCTACGATTACAGATAAAATGTTCCTGTTCCTCTTTGCTACACATGAAATTGCAGTGAGCAGTACAAGATGAATTTGACAGGTGTGGTCTCTACCATGCTAGATGGAGACATTCTGGGGAAAAGAGTATGAGGGAGGGATGGCATGCTCAGGTAACAGTAAGCACTCACCCTCTGAGGTGCTTTCTATGTGTCGGGCATGGCGTAAATGCTTTATGTGATGTCATTTATTTCATCCTCACGGTAGCTCTCGTGAGTAGGTGCAATTATATCCCGATTTGGCAGTGGAGGAATCTGAGGCACAGAAGGATTAGGTAATTTGCCCAAAGTCATTGAGAGAACGGAAGGGCAAAGCCAGTATTTGAACCCAGGGGGGCTCCAGAGTCCTTTCTGTTAAATACTACATTTTTTTTTTTGAGACAGTCTCGCTCTGTCACTTAGGCTGGAGTGCAGTGGCGCGATCTCAGCTCACTGCAACCTTTGCCTCCTGGGCTCAAATGATTCTCCTGCCTCAGCTTCCTGAGTAGCTGGAACTACAGGCACGCACCACCACGCCCGGATAAATTTTGTATTTTTAGTAGAGATGGGGTTTCCCCATGTTGGCCAGGATGGTCTCGAACTCCGGGCCTCAAGTGAGCAGTCCGCCTTGGGCTCCCAAAGTGCTGGGATTACAGATGTGAGCCACTGCACCCGGCCTAAATACATCTTGATGAAGGTTTCATGGAGGAAGAGAGATATGAGCTGGGCCTTGAAGGAGAGCTCCACATGTAGACAACATGAGTGACGGGCCAGGGATGGAGTGAGCATGGCTGACCCAGCAGGGAAGAGAGACTGACCTCACCCGACACAGGGCATGCATTGGGGAATGGTGGGGGAGATGGGGCAAGAGGGCGGAGATGGATCGTAAAAGGTCTTAACATCAAGGCAGAGGGTTGAAGAACTCAGACTTTAAAGAGTATTGAAGGGCCAGGCGCGGTGGTTCACGCCTGTAATCCCAGCACTTTGGGAGGCCGAGGTGGGTCGATCACGAGGTCAGGAGATCGAGACCACGGTGAAACCCCGTCTCTACTAAAAATACAAAAAATTAGCCAGGCATGGTGGTGGGCACTTGTAGTCCCAGCTACTCAAGAGGCTGAGGCAGGAGAATGGCATAAACCCGGGAGGCGGAGCTTGCAGTGAGCCAAGATCGTGTCACTGCACTCCAGCCTAGGAGAAAGAGCGAGACTCAGTCTCTAAATAAATAAATAAATAAATAAATAAAAAATAAAGAGTATTGAAGGGTGACTTGCTAGAAGCTGAGGTCTAGGGAGGTTTTTGGGTAGCAATGGTAGGTTTGAGGGTGGGAGGTGTGGAGGCAGGGACGAGACCCTGAGGGTCCAGACAAAGATGGTGCAAGGGAAATGGAAGAAAGGGGAAGCCCAAGGCCAGGTACAGTGGCTCACTCCTGTAGTCCCAGCACTCTGGGAGGCCGAGGTGGGTGGATTACCTGAGATCAGGAGTTCAGGACCAGCCTGGCCAAAATGGTGAAACTCTGTCTCTACTAAAAAATACAAAAATTAGCTGGGTGCAGTGGTGGGCACCTGTAATCCCAGCTACTCGGGAGGTTGAGACAGGAGAACTGCTTGAACTCGGGAGGCAGAGGTTGCAGTGAGCCGTGACTGCGCCACTGCACTCCAGTCTGGGCAACAAGTGCGAAACTCTGTCTCAAAAAAACAAAAAAAAAACCAAAAAAAAAAAAACCAAAAAAAGAAAAGAGAAGCCCATAGCACCTTCCTTCTCATCCAAGTCATCTCCTGGAGAGGGATCAGCCCAGGAGCTACAGGAGCGCCTCGGGTTTCATCGGTTACTCACAGGAGGCAGCCTCTGGGCTTTTGGGGGAAGGTCGAGGACATTATTTACTGAGGTCTGTTTTCCTGTGGATGGCTGTTCCTGCCTAGGCAACGAGCATTTCTTCACGCTGCGCATTCCAACTTGGTCAGACCAGAAGGCAGCAAATCCAGGTTTTTTTTTTTTTTTTTTTTTTTTAACTGCACGCAGAATTCCTTGCATAGCAGAGAGCTCAGGAAGGAAGGCCCTGTTTGGGGACAGAGGTCAGGGTTTCAGAGTCCAGGACCACTGAGAAAGAGTCAGGCCTTTCTTTTTTTTCTTTTCTTTTCTTTTCTTTTTTTGAGATAGAGTCTTGCTCTGTCACCCAGGCTGGAGTGCAATGGCGCAATCTCGGCTCACTGCAACCTCCACCTCCCGGGTTCAAGCGATTCTCCTGCTTCAACCTCCCACGTAGCTGGGATTACAGGCACCCGCCACCGTGCCCGGCTAATTTTTGTATTTTTTAGTAGAGACGGGGTTTCACCATCTTGGCCAGGCGGATCTTGAACTCCCGACCTTGTGATCCACCCACCTCGGCCTCCCAAAGTGCTGGGATTACAGGCGTGAGTCACTGTGCCTGGCAAAGTCAGGCCTTTCTCTGTTAATCTCAGGTTTGCCTGATTAGCCTCTGAATGGATGTACCTGGAGTGAACTCTGTCACAAGCAGAAATTTAATTTAACCCTTGAGATTTATTTCCTCCCACCCCTAAAGTATCAACTGCTAAAGGGATTTAGAAAGGATCCGAGGCAAGATTGGCAGGGCTGAGGGTTCTGTGGCTGTCACTGTCCAGGACAGCTGGCCACTGGGTCCAGCCTGCTCCCAGCAGTGGGCACAGGCAGGGGAGCAGGGCCCTGACCTTCCTGGCAGGTGGCAGGGTCCGGGTGAGGCTTCCCAAGCTCTGCCTGCTACCCTCCTGCTTGAAATCAGGGGTGAGGGGTGTGAGGCCCTCCTATAAATCCGGCAGAACCCAGCCAGAAGGAGCACTGGGACCTCATCTCCCTCCCCTCTGGATTCCAGCTCCCCGGAATGGGCCAAGTTTGCCTTAACTTTTTATTGAAGTGAAAAACAGTCAAGATATGAATATTCCCTAAAGCCACTTTGGAATACTTTCAAGAATAGTTTCACAGTTAAACAGGCAAAAGGACAAGATTGCATGCAGGAATGGATCACCCACTTGGAGAGCCGGTTCTGGAAAGAGAGCTTTGATTTCATGCCTTATCTGTTTCGTGCGTCGTGGAAGAAGGGAATGGAAGGCATTTGGTTGGGGAGATGGAGACCTGCTGCTTGTATGGGGTATTCCCCTCTGCATGGTGACAGGTTCTTAGGGAAACATCTTAATAGAAGGCTTATGAGCAGTCTGGCAAACTTCCCACCCTCCTTGTACCCAAGACAAAAATGTTGGCCTGACAAAAATATTCAGGTAATTTTCTAGTATTTTTAGCACTTCGCAGACCCCAAACTACCCAAGTAATGGCTCTCTTAAAAAAAAAAAAGGGGCTGGGCAGGGTAGCTCACGCCCGTAATCCCAGTACTTTGGGAGGCTGAGGTAGACGGATCACCTGAGGTCAGGAGTTCGAGATCAGCCTGACCAACGTGGAGAAACCCTGTCTCCATTAAAAATACAAAATTAGCCAGACGTGGTGGTGCATGCCTGTAATCCCAGCTACTCGGGAGGCCGAGGCAGGAAAATCACTTGAACCTGGGAGGCAGAGGTTGCAGTGAGCCGAGATCGTGCCATTGTACCCCAACCTGGGTAACAAGAGGGAAACTCCGTATCAAAAAAAAAAAAAAAAAGAAAAAAGAAAAAAAAAGAAAAGAAAGCAAAGCTCTTAGAAAAGTTGTCCTACTATCTTATTACAATAAGTGCTGAAGTAGACAGACTCTGTCATCTTAACTGTGTCAACATTAATGAAAAGAAATTAGCCGAGCGCAGTGGCATGTGTCTGTAGTTCCAGCTACTCAGGAGGCTGAGGCAGGAGAATCACTTGAATCCAGGAGGCGGAGGTTGTAGTGAGCTGAGATTGCGCCACTGTACTCCAGCCTGGGAGACAGAGCAAGACTCTGTTTTAGAAACAAACAAACAAACAAAAAAAATTAGTGAAACAGTGTCATCAAAGGCCTAGGAGGGATTTTTTTAATGGTGTATTAATGGTGTACATTTTCCTCTTTTGCTCTTTTCTTTTCTCTCTCTTTTTTTTTTTTTTTTTTTTTGAGGCAGGGTCTCATTCTGTCACCCAGGCTGGAGTGCAGTGGTATGATCACGGCTCACTGCAGGAGGATCGATCTCCTGGGTTCAAGCGATCCTCGCACCTCAGTCTCCTGAGTAGCTAGGACCACAGGCGTGTGCCACCATGCCCAGCTAATTTTTGTCGTTGTTGTTGTAGAGATGAGGTCTTGCCGTGTTGCCTAGGTTGGTCAGGAACTCCTGGGCTCAAGCAATCTCCATCTCCAAGCCCCAACCTTGGCCTCCCAAACTGCTGGGATTGCAGGAGTGAGCCACCGGCACCCGGCACCCTGTCCTGTTTTCTAGGCATTGCTAGGGGCAATAATTTGGGAGAAGTAAAGGACAAGAACAAAATCAAAGAAGAGGCATTCTTGTATCATTGCTCTCCTGAATTTGTTGGGGAGCCCTGGGGTGAGCCCTGTCAGGGGCTGGAGGGTCCAGTCTTAGTGTGAAAAGACCTCAGGGGCTCAGCCCCAGCTCCTGCTTAGCCCCTGGGCCCTAGCTGAGAAGAAGAGCGAATGTGTGTGCTGACCAGACCTGACCAGATCTGCTGGGTGAGGCTGCGGGTGGTGGTGAGAGGCCATTCTAAGAAACCACCTGGAATAGTGGGGGAGGAGATGGGAGGCCAGGGGCTCTGCTCTTAAGATAGCACTGAGTCCTGCGGAGAGGAATTCCTGGGAGGATTTTGAGTCCACCTGACTTCCCTTTGCTCTTGGTGTACAGGTCCCGGGCTTCACCACCCTGGCCTTCTTTCGCTTCCTCAAATGTTCCAGAGGCCTCTGTACCTATACACATGTTACTCCTTGGCCAGGAAGGCCCCCCATCCCCTAAGCCAATTATCTTCCAGGTTTCTGCACAACCATCACCACCTCTGGAAAGCCTTGGCCCAGGGCTTGACTGGGATCCCCCTGCTTTTTATAACTTTTTTTTTTTTTTGAGATGGAGTTTCACTCTTTTGCCTAGGCTGGAGTGCAGTGGCGCGGTCTCAGCTCACTGCAACCTCCGCCTCCCGGGTTCAAGTGATTCTCCTGCCTCAGCCTCCCTAGTAGCTGGGACTACAGGCGCCGGCCACCATGCCTGGCTAATTTTTGTTATTTTTAGTACAGAGGGGTTTCACCATGTTGGCCAGGCTGGTCTCGAACTCCTGACCTGTGATCTGCCCGCCTTGGCCTCCCAAAGTGCTGGGATTACAGGCGTGAGCCACGGCACTTGCCCTATAACTTTTATTTTAGGTTCGGGGGTGCATGTGAATGTTTGCTACATAGGTACACTCATGACACGGGGCTTGTTGTACAGGTTATTTCATCACCCAGGAATTAAGTTCAGTACCCAATAGTTATCTTTTCTGCTTCTCTCTCTCCTCCTCCCACCCTCCACCCTCAAGTATTGGTGCAAAAATAATTGCGGCTTCAGACCATGTATTTGAAATCATTATAACTAGGCTCAAACACATCTTTATTAACCAAAATAGGAAGCGTTACAATCAACACATTTTTGCTAATGAGAAATAAGTTTTTTCATTCCTGTAGCATATAAATCCATGCTTCGGGATTCGACGAACTCTTAGAAAGCATTTTCTGCATCCTGCTGGTTGTGGAAGCGTTTTCCCTGCAAAAAGTTGTCGAGATGCCTGAAGAAGTGGTAGTCAGTTGGCGAGAGGTCAAGTGAATATGGCAGAGGAGGCAAAACTTCGTAGTACAATTCGTTCAACTTTTGAAGTGTTGTGTGACATGCGGTCGGGCATTGTCATGGAGAAGAATTGGGTGATTTCTGCAACCAATGCCGGCTGCAGGCATTGCAGTTTTTGGTGCATCTCATCAATTTGCTGAGCATATATCTTAAATGTAATGGTTTTGCCAGGATTCAGAAAGCTGTAGTGGATCAGACTGGCAGCAGACCACCAGTGACCATGACCTTCTTTTGGTACAAGCTTGGCTTTGGGAAGTGCTTTGGAGCTTCTTTCTCTTGGTCCAACCACCGGTCATCGACAGTTGTCGTTTAAAATCCACTTTTTGTCTCACGTCACAATCTGATCGAGAAATGGTTCATTGTTGTTGCGTAGAATAAGAGAAGACATTTCAAAATGATGTTTTTTTTTGTTTGTTTTGTTTTAATTTTTGCTCAGCTCATGAGGCACCCACTTATAAAGCTTTTTCACCTTTCCAATTTGCTTCAAATGCTGAACGACCGTCCAATGTCCATGTTGAGTTCTTCGGGAACTTCTCGTGTAGGTTTAAGAGGGTCTTTGATTATTTCTCTCAATTGGTCATTGTCAACTTCTAATGGCTGGCGCCACGACGCTCCTCATCTTCAAGGCTCTTGTCTCCTTTGCAAAACTTTTTTTTGAGACGGAGTCTTGCTCTGTCGCCCAGGCAGGGTGGAGAGCAGTGGTGCAATCTCGGCTCATTACAACCTCTGCCTGCCAGGTTCAAGTGATTCTCCTGCCTCAGCCTAGCAAGTAGCTGGAATTATAGCCATGCGCCACCATGCCCAGCTAATTTTTGTATTTTTAGTAGAGATGGGAGTTTCGCCATGTTGGCCAGGCTGATCTCGAACTCCTGACCTCAGGTGATCCGGCTGCCTCAGCCGTCCGGCCAGAACTTGTACCACCACTGCACTGTATGCTCATTAGCGGTTCCTGGGCCGAATGCATTGATGTTGCCAGTTGTCTCTGCTGCTTTACAACCCATTTTGAACTTGAATAAGAAAATAGCTTGAATTTGCTTTGGTCTAACATAATTTCCATAGTCTAAAATAAACATAAAATAAACAGCAAGTAATAAGTCATTAGCAAAAAAACTTAAGGCGAGAAATGCGCCTTCAAGTGATATATAGCCGGGGGCGGTGGCTCACACCTGTAATCCCAGCACTTTGGGAGACTGAGGCGGGCGGATCACCTGAGGTCAGGAGCTCGAGACGAGCCTGGCCAACATGGTGAAACCTCGTCTCTACTAAAAATACAAAAATTAGCTGGGTGTGATGGCGGGCGCCTGTAATCCCAGCTACTTGGGAGGCTGGGGCAGGAGAATCACCTGAGACCAGAAGGCAGAGGTTTCGGTGAGCTGAGATCGCGCCACTGCACTCTGGCCTGGGTGACAGAGTGAGACTCTGTCTAAAAAAAAAAAAAAAAAAAAAGTATAACATAACCACATTTATTTAAGAATATATTCCAATATCAAACGCAAATTTCAACAATGCAAAAGTGCAGTTACTTTTGCACCAACCCAATAGACCTCAGTGTCAGTTGCTCCCTTCTTTGTGTTTATGAGTGCTCATCATTTAGCTCCCACTTATAAGTGAGAACATGCCATATTTGGTTTTCTGTTCCTGTGTTAGTTTGCTGAGGATAATGGCCTCCACCTCCATCCACGTTCCCACAAAAGACAGGATCTTGTTCATTTTGATGGCTGCAGGGGTCCCCCCACCTTTTTTTTGAGACAAAGTCTCGCTCTATTGCCCCAGGTTGGAGTGCAATGGTGCGATCTCGGCTCACTGCAACCTCTGCCTCTTGGGTTTGAGCAATTCTCCTGTTTCAGCCTCCTGAGTAGCTGGGACTACAGGCACCTGCCACTATGCCTGGCTAATTTTTGTATTTTTAGTAGAGACAGGGTTTCACCTTGTTGGTCAGGTTGGTCTCGAACTCCTGACCTCAGGTGATCCGCCCACCTCTGCCTCCCAAAGTGTTGGGATTACGGGCGTGAGCCACCGTGCCCGGCCCAGGGTCCCCTTTTAAGTGCCCTGATGACCCTCTGCACCTCGCCTCTGTCACTGTCCCTGCCAGTGCAGCGGCTTCTCCTGGGTCCCTCTTCCTCACCAGCCTCTGAGGTCAGGATCCTCCCTACCTGTTGCCAGATGTTCCTTTCCAGCAGGTAGCTTTTCAGAGGCCTGAAGGTGGGAGAAGGAAGACACCCCACTGTCTTCAAGCACCAGGATGTTGGGACATTGTTTGCTCACTCTCCTATTTCCAGGACCCAGCACGGGGTGCTCAGTGTATGTCCGCAAACTGACTAAATGTCCAGCTCACTTTTGTCAACCAGCTGTCAGTCCCTGGCTCTTTATATTCCTTATCTCATGTGACTCTCACAAGATCCTTGTGAGGAAGGCCTCGTGTCCATTCGCAGGTGGGGAAATTGAGGCTGCAGAGTTTTGGCAACTTGGCCGAGCTTACGCAGCTAAGAAGCGGCAGCAATTCTCAGTTCTTCCACTTAAGGTGCATAAGAATCACTGGGGAGCTGGTTAAAGATGTAGGTTTCTGAGGGCCGGGTGTGGTGGCTGATGCCTGTAATCCCAGCACTTTGGGAGGCTGAGGGCAGATCACGAGGTCAGCAGTTCGAGGACCAGCCTGACTAACGTGGTGAAACCCCGTCTCTACTAAATATATAAAAATTAGCTGGGCGTGGTGGCATGCACCTGTAATCCCAGCTACTCAGGAGGCTGAGGCAGGAGAATCACTTGAACCTGGGAGGTGGAGGTTGCAGTGAGCCAAGATCGTGCCACTGCACTCCAGCCTGGGCAACAGAGCGAGACTCTGTTTCAAAAAAAAAAAAAAAGATGTAGGTTTCTGGGCCCCCTCCCAAGATTTCTGATTTGTCATTGCATTTCTAATTTTTAAATTATTTTATTTATAAATTATTACTATTATTTTTGATTGACATATTTGATATATGTATACAATGTACAGTGATTAAATCAAGCTCATTAACATGTCTGTCACCTCACTTACCTATTTTTTTTTTTTGAGACAGGGTATCACTCTGTCATCCAGGCTGGAGTGTAGTGGTTTGATCATGGCTCACTGCAGCCTCAACCTCCAAGCCTCCAGTGATCCTCCTACCTTAGCCTCCCGAGTAGCTGAGACTACAGGCACACATCACCATGTCCAGCTAATTTTGTTTATTTTTTTTGTAGAGGTGGGGGTCTCACCATGTTGTCCAGGCTGGTCTGGAACTCCTGGGCTCAAGCAATCCTCCAGCCTCAGCCTCCTAAAGTGCTGGGATTATAGCGTGACCTGAGCCTGGTTCCTATCATTGTTTTATACAGCTTTTTTTTTTTTGAGACGGAGTCTTGCTCTGTCGCCCAGGCTGGAGTGCAGTGACACAAACTTGGCTCACTGCAAGCTCTGCCTCCCAGGTTCACGCCAGTCTCCTGTCTCAGCCTCCTGAGTAACTGGGACTACAGGCGCCTGCCACCACGCCCGACTAATTGTTTTTGTATTTTTAGGAGAGACGGGGTTTCACCTTGGTCTCGATCTCCTGACCTTGTGGTCCACCCGCCTTGGCCTCCCAAAGTGCTGGGATTACAGGCGTGAGCCACCGCACCCAGCCTTTTTTTTTTTTTTTTTTTTTTTTTAGATGGAGTCTCGACCTTTTGCCCAAGCTGGAGTGCAATGGCATGATCTCGGCTCACTGCAACCTCTGAGTTCAAGCGATTCTCCTGCCTCAGCCCCTCAAGTAGCTGGGATTACAGGTGCCCGCCACCATGCCCGGCTAATTTTTTTGTGTCTTTAGTAGAGACAGGGTTTCACCATGTTGACCAGGCTGGTCTCGAACTCCTGACCTTGTGATCCACCCGCTTTGGCTTCCCAAACTGTTGGGATTACAGACATGAGCCACCGCACCTGGCCTTTTTTTTTTTTTTTTTTTTTTTTTTTTTTGAGATGGAGTCTTGCTCTGTTGCCCAGGGTGGAGTATAGTGGTGTGAACTTGGCTCACTGCAACCTCTGCCTCCTGGGTTCAAGTGATTCTTGTGCCTCAGCCTCCCGAGTAGCTGGGTTACAGGCATGCACCACTGTTTCGGCTAATTTTTGTATTTTTAGTAGAGACAAGTTTTCACTATGTTGGCCAGGCTGGTCTTGACCTCCTGACCTCAAGCGATCCACCCGCCTTGGCCTCTCAAATTGCTGGGATTACAGGCATGAGTCACTGCACCTAGCCCTACTTTGTTTCGTGAATTTTACTACTGCAGGTACCTCAGATAAGTGGAGTTATACAGCATTTGTCTTTTTGTGTCTGGCTTATTTCACTGTCACAGTATTTTAAGCAAAGGGCCCTGGTAGTTCTCATGTAGGAGTCTGGACCATTCTTTGAGAATTTATAGGAGAGGATGGTGGCAGGGGGTGGGGGCTGTGCTGTCCTGGCACAGGGTTTGAGGGTTGACTTCATAGGGATGGTGAGGGCTGGATGATGACTCATCAGTGAGTGTGGGCTGAGAGGCGGGAAGGAGGAGATTTGGGTAAGGGTGACAGTGGGGCCTTGGGATTGGGGTGGTTTCTGGCAGGCATTGCTGAGGGCTGGGGTGTTGACAAAAGCCTAAGAACTCAGAGTGGAAGGACAGTAGAAGAACAGTTGTGAGGACTGGCCCATGCAGGGAGGGTCAGTGAGCCATGGGTCAGAGGGGAAGGCAAGGAGCTGATAAAGGAAGGCCAGCAGTGGGGAGGGTCTGGGTCAGGTGGGTGTCTGGCTGTGCGGTCTACAGAGGGTGAGAGGAGTCGGGTGAGAGCCACAGAGGTCAATCCAAGTGGAGGCCGGGGCTGGGCCCACTCTAGGTCTAGAGGCAGGTGGTGTGACGGCATGGGAAGTCAGTGAAGGCAAGGAGGCCAGAGATGTGGGAAAGGGGGCCTGTGGGCACAGGGAAGGACTGATACGGAGCCAGCCCTCTGCCTCAACAAGGGGGCTGTGCGTGCTTCCTCCTGAGGAGGACCCGGGTCATGGGCAGCCTCCTGGCTCCAAGGGGAGATGACCCAGACCCTGGGGCGAGTGGTCGTAGCAGCCCTTAAGTCACCCAGGGATTGGGCAGATGGGCCTTCCTCTATCTCTCCACCCCTCTCCCTGTCCATCTCACCTCTCCCTTTCTTCATTTGTGCTCTTCTTGCTTTTCTCAGATCCCTTTCTCTCTGCCATTCTCTTTCTCCTAACTGCCAGTGTGCGGGGCTGAGGGGTGCCTGTGGGTACCCGCATCCCGGCCAGTCTCCCACACCCAGGCCTCAGGGCATGTCCGGCTTCACCTGCCATGGGCTGCCTGGCCCCCAAGCAGGCCTTTACTGGGCTCTGAACCTCACCTTCCCCATTTGCAACATGTACAGTGATAGTGCAGGTTGAGCATCCCTAATCCAAAAATCCGAAATCCAAAATGTCCCAAAACCCAAACTTTTTTGAGTGCTGACATGATGCCACAAATGGAAAATTCCACACCTGACCTCATGTGACAGGTCACAGTCAAAATTCTGTTTAATGCACAAAATTATTTAAAACATTGTATAAAATTGGTCAGGCATGGTGGCTTATGCCTGTAATCCCAGCACTTTGGGAGGCTGAGGTGGGCGGATCACCTGAGGTCAGGAGTTCAAGACCAGCCTGGCCAACATGGCGAAACTCCGTCTCTACTAAAAATACAAAAATTAGCCTGGCGTGCCTTCTGCCCACTGGATGCCAGTGGAAGCCCCCCCTAGTTGCGACAACCAAAGCCCCCCTAGTAGCCTCAACATCCTGCAACATACAGGACGGCCTCCCACAGCAAAGAATCCTTTGGCCCAAAATGTCAAAGGCGTCACTATTAAGAAACTCTGCTCCAGGGTAGCTTGGACTGTGTTTGCAGTCAGAAAAAGACTCCTCTGAGGTGTGCCACCTCCCCATGGGCCATCATCCCTGCAGCTGGATGCAGGAGGCTGAAGCTCTTGCCTGACAAAAGTTTCTCCCCAAAGCCTTCTTTCGTATTGGTATAAATAAAATCTGACGTTCTTTCAGCTTGCAGGGGTTGACCCCAGGTGGATGAGGCATCTGAGTTGTCCAGCAGGGACGGTCAGGTCTCGGGGGACTGGAACAGGCCCAGCATCTTGTATTATTTAGTTCTTCTATTGAAGTTCAGCAGCTGGGTAAGCACTGGATTATTGTGAACAATGTGGCTGTTTAGAAGTTTTGGTTTTTTTTTTTCCCTGAAAGAAAAAAGAGGTGACAGATGGAGGTTGGTGGGAGATGATGATCTGGTGGAAGTCATCATTGAAATTGATGTTGCCCACCTGGGATGATCACTGTCGGACTCTTTAATCAGCACCCAAGCCCCACTCTGTGGCTGCATTAATGAGCATCTGGATGATGGGTTTTAAACTCAGCTTTTTGTTTTTTGTTTTTTGTTTTTTGAGACAGTCTCTCACTGTCGCCCAGGCTGGAGTGCAGTGGCGCGATCTCGGCTCACTGCAATCTCCGCCTCCCGGGTTCAAGCGATTCTCCTGTCTCAGCCTCCCGAGTAGCTAGGACTATAGGCGTGTGTCACCACGCCCAGCTAATTTTTTTTTTTTTGAGACAGAGTCTTGCTGTCACCCAGGCTGGAGTGCAGTGGTACAATCTTAGCTCACTGCAACCTCCACCTCCCGGGTTCAAGCGATTCTCTTGCCTCAACCTCCTGAGTAGCTGGGATTACAGGCGCATGCCACCATGCCTGGCTAATTTTTGTATTTTTAGTAGAGACAGAGTTTCACCATGTTGGTCAGGCTGGTCTCAAACTCCTGACCTTGTGATCTGCCCACCTCAGCTTCCCAAAGTGCTGGGATTACAGGCGTGAGCCACTGCACCTGGCCACACACGGCTAATTTTTGTATTTTTAGTAGAGATGGGGTTTCACTATGTTGGCCAGGATGGTCTCGATCTCTTGACTTTGTGATCCGCCCACCTTGGCCTCCCAAAGTGCTGGGATTACGGGCGTGAGCACTGCACGTGGCCAACTTTTGTGGTTTTGATAGCTAGGGGCCAGAGCTCTAGTTATGAGAGTTATTCTCTAAACCCTATGAGGTTTTTCATGTGATTTTTGGTTTATGATTGAGTACACACATTGATGAACTGTGCTTTTTGTTTTTCCTATCTTGTCCACTTTGTGAACTCAATCAGTTTCACAGGTTACTTTCTCTGTTTCTGACACCTCTCCCCCTGGTGGAATTACCTATTGCTATATCTGGTCAAAAGACAAAAATTACACGTAGGCCCCACGTAGTGGCTCACACCTATAATCCCAGCACTTTGGGAGGTTGAGGTGGGCAGATCACGTGAGGCCAGGAGTTCAAGACCAGCCTGGCCAACACAGTGAAACCCCATCTCTACTAAAAATACAAAAAAATTTATCTGGGTGTAGTGGCAAATACCTGTAATTCCAGCTACTAGGGAGGCTGAGGCACGACAATTGCTTGAACCTGGGAGGCGGAGGTTACAGTGAGCTGACATTGCATAACTGCACTCCAGCCTGGGTGATGGAGTGAGACTCTGTCTCGAACAAACAAACAAACAAACAAAAATTACAACATGTTTAGTTAGTTAAAGATCCTAATTGGGGCTGGACGCAGTAGTTCACGCCTGTAATCCCAGCACTTTGGGAGGCTGAGGCAGGTGGATCACTTGAGGACAGGAATTCAAGACCAGCCTGGCCAACATGGTGAAACATCCTCTTTACTAAAAATATAAAAATTAGATGGGTGTGGTGGCATGCACCTGTAGTCCTAGGTACTCTGGAGGCTGAGGCAGTAGGATCTCTTGAATCCAGGAGGCAGAGTTTGCAGTAAGCCAAGACCACACCACTGCACTCCAGCCTGGGCAACAGAACAAGACTCCGACTCAAAAAAAGAAAAAGGAAATCAGGAGATCCCAATTGGGCCGGGCTAAGTGGCTCACACCAAGCTAGGAGGCAGAGGTGGGAGGATCGCTTGAGACCTGCCTGGGCAAAATAGTGAGACCTCGTTCTCCATATACACAAAAAAGAACAAACCAATTGGCTGTTATTTGCAGTTCTAGAATCATGCAGTGTCTTATTCTACAAAATGAAATGAATGTTCCAAGAAGCTGAGCAGAGGAGGTTAACTTTAAAGACAGAAAAGAGCTGAGGAAAGCAGAAACAGAGAACAAAAAGCAGATGGGTCGTCTCAGAGTTACTGTCCTTATAAAGGGTTTAATTTTTTTGTTTGTTTTAAGCTAGAGATGGGGTCTCACTATGTTGCCCAGGCTGGTGTGCAGTGACTCTTCACAGGCACAGTCCCACTACTGATCAGCATGGGAAGTTTGACCTCCTTGTAAAGGCTAAAGCAGAGGACACTTCCTTATCATGCTGGCTGAAACTGGCCTTTTTGAGGATTCGGCTGTTATCCCTCTTTCTCCTGATTTCTCAGAAGGTCAGATGAACAGTTTTGGCTTGGTGGTGTGGAACTTGAGCATGAATAATTCCATTTTGGTTTGATCTGTTGGGCCTAGGGCAGGAGCTCAGTCCAAACCAATGGCCTCCTATAATTTTATTTAGCAACCTGTACACACATGCCCATACATTATGCACCCCAACCCTAGCTCTTACTGTAGTCTGTCTCTGTGAATAAAATCCCCATATATATATATATTTTTTTTTTTTTTCTTTTTTTTGGGAGACAGAGTCTCGCTTTGTCACCCAGGCTGGAGTGCAATGGGGCCATCTCAGCTCACTGCAACCTCCACCTCCCAGGTTCAAGCGATTCTCCTGCCTCAACCTCCCAAGTAGCTAGGACTACAGGCGCGTGCCATCACACCTGGCTAAGTTTTTGTATTTTAGTAGAGACGGAGTCTTGCCATGTTGCCTAGGCAGTCTCAAACTCCTGACCTCAAGTGATAACGCCCATTTCGGCCTCCCAAAGTGCTAGGATTACAGGCATGAGCCACTGTGCCCAGCCAAATCACCATGTAATTAATATAACTAATATCATCATCCCTCAATGGAAGAAGATTCTAGAGGACAGGGACCTTGTGTTGTTTACTCATCTTTGAGCCCTTGACCCCGGCACTGTGTCTGACCTGAGATAAGGCTTCAGGAAGTACTTTGTGAGCTGAACTGAACTTCAAAGAAGTGAATGATATGCAGCCATTTGTCTGAGAAAATGACATTTTGGGCCACTGAATATATACTGAAGAGATGTGTTGCTGAAAGTTTTAGTAGGGTGTTGGGAGTTGCCTGAGAGTGTCCCTCTCTTTTTTCCAAACCAATCACAGCTAAGATGATTTCCTTGGTGTCAAAAGGCTTGACTGTTTCAAGAGGCATTTTGTTGTTGTTGTTTGAGACGGAGTCTCACTCTGTTGCCCAGGCTGGAGGGCAGTGGTGTGATCTTGGCTCACTGCAACCTCCGCCTCCCGGGTTCAAGCAATTCTCCTGCCTCAGTCTCCCGAGTAGCGGGAATTACAGGCGCGCGCTACCATGCCCGGCTAATGTTTGTATTTTCAGTAGAGATGAGATTTCCCCATGTTGACCAGGCTGGTCTCAAACTCCTGACCTCAGGTGATCCGTCTGCCTCGGCCTCCCAAAGTGCTGGGATTACAGGCGTGAGCCACTGCGCCAAGCCTCAAGAGGGATTTTTGGAATGCTAGGCGAGGTAGAGACTACAGACACCAAGAATTTAAGGCATTTATAGGGTATACTTTCTAATGTGATCACTGCAAAAGTTTGAATTGTAGAATTTGTTTTCTTTTAAAGAAGTACAATTATATTACTTTCAAGGATATACTATTTTTCTAAGTTTTTTTTTTTTTTTTTAAGACAGGATCTCACTTTGTCACCCACACTGGAGTGCAGCGTCATGAACATGGTTTACTATAGCCTTTGCCTCTCTGCCTCCTGGGCTCAAGTGATCCTCCCACCTCAGCCCCTCAAGTAGCTGGGACTACAGGCATGCGCCTCCAGGCCTGGCTAAGTTTTGGATATAATTTAAATGTATTGAAATAAGCTGCAAGGAATGATCTAGGCTTTGCATAACCAAGTAAACCAGGTCTTTTAAAAGAGATACTTAGGGATCATAATGAGTATACAAATAATTAACAGGTATGTTGTTTATAAACAGTTTATTATTCTACATAGTTAAAATGCTTCCTTATCTTAGTTATGTTGTTAATTTGCATTGTAGCCTATGTTTAAATGATCACAAATTCTCTATCAGGGGAATGTTTGCATTAATAAGGTTTTACTTCACTGATCTAACAAATATTTACTGGATATCTATCATATCCCAGGCCTGGGAGATAGCAGTGATTAAGTAAGTTCTTGTCTTCCTGAAATAAACTAGTGAGGCAAGATGCGATGATGGCTGGCAGAAGAAACAGCTTGAATGCACAGCTGATGGAAATTGCTGATAAATTAGATATGTAGGAGGCAGGGGTGAGAGACAAATCAAGGATGACTTCTAAGTTTTTGGACTTGACAGCTGGCTAAATGGCCTTGTCATTTACTGAGTTGGGAGAAATGAGAAGAGAGTCTGGTAAAAAAAAAAAAAAAAAAAAAATCAAAACTTTACTTTTGGATACGTTAAGTTTGGGATCCTTAACAGACAGCCAAGAAGAGAGGCCAGGTGTGTAGCTGGCTATATACAACTCTGGTGTTCAGGGGAGCAGTACAAGCTAGAGATATAATTAAAAACAAAAATTTTTTTTTTGAGACAGAGTCTTGCTCTGTTGCCCAGGCTGGAGTGCGGTGGCGTGATCTCGGCTCACTGCAACCTCCAACTCCCGGGTTCAAGTGATTCTCCTGCCTCAGCCTCCTGACTAGCTGGGACTACAGGTGTGTGCCACCATTCTTAGCTAATTTTTGTATTTTTAGTAGAGACGGGATTTCGCCATGTTGGCCAGGCTGATCTCGAACTCCTGGCCTTGAGTGATCCACTCGCCTCGGCCTCCCAAAGTGCTGGGATTACAGGTATGAGCCACCACACCCGGCCCAGGCTAGAGATATAAATTGAGGGTTGTATTAGTTTCTTTTGGTTGCTATAATTATCACAAACTGAGTGGCTTTGAACAACAGCCACTTATTGTTCTGGAGGCTATTGTCTTCCAGTTCTGGAGGACAGAAGCCCAAAATTACAGTGCTAGCAGGGTCATGTTCCCTCTGAAAGGTTCTAGGGAAGAATCCTCCTTTGCCTCTTTCTAGCTGCTGGTGCTCAGAATCCTTGGTGTTTCTTGGCTTAGAGCAGCATAACTCCAATTTCTGCCCCCATCTCCATGTGGCTGCCTTTATCTGTGTCTCTGTGTTTCCTCTTATAAGGACACCAGTCATTAGATCAGGGCTGACTCTAATTCAATATGACCTCATGGTAAAATTTTTTTAATTTTAATTTTAATTTTTATTTATTTATTTATTTATTTTGAGACGGAGTCTCACTCTGTTACCCAAGCTGGAGTGCAATGGCACGATCTTGGCTCACTGCAACCTCCGCCTCCTGGGTTCAAGTGATTCTCCTGCCTCAACCTCCTGAGTAGCTGGGATTACAGGCGCCTGCCACAACGCCCAGCTAATTTTTGTATTTTTAGTAGAGACGGGGTTTCACCATGTTGGTCAGGCTGGTCTCAAACTCCTGACCTCATGATCCACCCACCTCGGCCTCCCAAAGTGCTGGGATTACAGGCGTGAGCCACCATGCCCAGCGACCGCACGGTAAAATTTGATCACATCTGCAAAGACCGTGTTTCCAAATAAGATTCCATTCACAGGTACTGGGGGTTAGGAGTTCAACATATCTTTCGAGGGGGGGACAGAACTCTATCCACCGCAAGGGCCATCAGTGTGTAGGTGATATTTACAGCCAAGAGACTGCTTGGCACCAACTGGGAGAGGATGGAGTAAGAACAGAGAGGACCAAGGGCTGAGACTTGGGGCTCTCCAACATCTGGGATCTAGGAAAAGGAAAAGGAAGAGGATGCAGCAAAGGAAACGGGAGGAACAGCAAGTGTGAGAGGAGGAAAGCCAGGAGGATGTGGGATCTAGAGGAAAGCTCTTCAAAAGGGGTTCCCGACTGTGTCTGTCCAGGAGCTGTTTGTTACTGCTCCACAAGGAAACACCTTATAGAAACTGAGACCAGGTGTTCTGCAACTTTTACAGCAACCTGACGCTGCCAGATCACCCAAGCGTGTACTTCTTTTTCTTTTTTTGAGTCAAGGTCTCCCTCTGTCGCCCAGGCTGGAGTGCAGTGGCACCATCACAGCTCACTGTAGCCTCGACCTCCTGGGCTCAAGGGATCCACCTACCTCAGCCTCTCAAATAGCTGGGACTACAGGTACATGCCACCATACTTGGCTAATTTTTTTTTTTTTTGAGACGGAATCTTGGTCTGTTGCCCAGACTGGAGTACAGTGGCACGATCTCAACTCACTGCAACCTCCGCCTCCTGGGTTCAAGTGATTCTCCTGCCTCAGCCTCCTGAGTAGCTGGGACTACAGGTGCGTGGCACCACGCCCGGCTAATTTTTGTATTTTTAGTAGAGACAGGATTTCGCCATGTTGGTCAGGCTGGTCTCAAACTCCTGACCTCAGGTGATCCACCCGCTTCAGCCTCCCAAAGTGCTGGGATTACAGGCGTGAGCCAGGTGCCCAGCTGAAAATCCAATTTTAAAATAGCAAGTTCAGGCTGGGTGCGGTGGCTCCTGCCTGTAACCCCAGCACTTTGGGAGGCTGAGGCAGGAGGCTCACTCTAGCCCAGGAGTTTGAGACCAGCCGGATCAACATAGTAAGAGTCTGTCTCTACACCGCCCCGCCCCCAAAAAAGAAAAAGATTAGCAGATTAGCAGATTAGCAGGGTATGGTGGCCCGTTCCTGTGGTTTCTGCTACTTGGGAGGCTGAGGAGAGAGGATCACTTGGGCCAGGGTGGTTGAGGCTGCAATGATGACACAGGAAGATCCTATTAAAAAAAAAACTCATCGGGCACGGTAGCTCAAGCCTGTAATCCCAGCACTTTGGGAGGCTGAGGCGGGCGGATCACGAGATCAGGAGATTGAGACCATCCTGGCCAACATGGTGAAGCCCCATCTCTACTAAAAATACAAAAAAAAAAATTAGCCGGGCGTGGTGGCGGGCGCCTGTAATTCCAGCTACTTGGGAGACTGAGGCAGGAGAATTGTTTGAACCTGGGAGGCGGAGGTTGCAGTGAGCCGAGATCGTACCATTGCACTCCAGCCTGGGGGATAGAGCAAGACTCTGTCTCCCAAAAAAACAAAAACAAAAACAAAACCCAAAACAAACCAACCAACCAACCAAACAAACAAAAAAACAACCAAAACCAAAAACCCAGCAAGTTCCATACCCCAGGAACCCCCTCAGTTCCAGGCAAACCAGGACAGTCGGTCACCCTGTCAGCAGAACAGGCCTGACAGCACGCACAGTGGGATGTAGGGAAATGGAAGTGTTGATGGAGGGAAGATGAGCTAGCTCTTGATCATGGCTTAATTTTTCTTGGTGCACAAGGCAAAATCATGAACTGAAAGCAAGACGGGAGGGAGGCTGGAGGCTGGAGGCTGGAGGCTGGAGGATGGAGGAGAGGAGCGGAGCAGTCATCTTGAAAAAGGGACAGGCGAATTTGCTAAGAAATGCAGCAGCATTTCCGGGCAGTGCTGGGTGGCAACTTGAGATCTGTGGTCACAAATTTAAAGTGACGCCAGTTTGCGTGAGTGTGGGGTGTGTACTCTCTGCAAAGAGCCAAACTGCCAGCATCCTGTTATAATCAACTTATTGGAACAGAAGACACTGCTTGTTGTCCTGGAATATGGTTAAAATGGATACATTGTTAGAAACACATTCCTGGTCTGTAGGACTGGCAGATGGAGATAGCAGAAGCCAACTCTTTTTTTTTTTTTTTTTTTTTTGAGACTGAGTCTGGCTCTGTCGCCCAGGCTGGAGTGCAGGGGCACGATCTCGCCTCACTGCAACCTCTGCTTCCTGGGTTCAAGTGATTCTCCTGCCTCAGCCTCCCGAGTAGCTGGGATTACAGGCACCACGCCCGGCTAATTTTTGTATTTTTAGTAGAGACGGGGTTTCTCCATGTTGACCAGGCTGGTCTCAAACTCCTGACCTCAGGTGACTGGCCTGCCTCAGCCTCCCAAAGTGCTGGGATCATAGGCGTGAGCCACCGCACCCGGCCTGAAGCCAACTCTTCTGAAACTAAATTAACAAAGCTCCTCCATCCTCATCTATTTCTTCTACTAAGGGCTATTAACAATGACATCCAGACCAGTCACATTGTCGAAACCCTTTGTAACCAGATAATCAACTGTCACTCCTTCTGCCCATTTTCTGGGCGATTTTAGATAACTGATCCTTAAGATTAGGTGATTCAAGAAGTAGCAACGTGTGTGGATTTAGCGTTAGAAGATCTGGATTAAGTTATCTATCTACCGTTTATCAACCAGGTGCCCCTTCAAAGCTCATCTAACCTGTAAAACTTAGTTTCGTCATAAAAATGTGGCTAAAACCACCTGTGCTTGGCTGCTTTTGAGGGTGTAAGGACTTCATAAAATATGTAAATCAAGTGTCCTGTGGCAAAGGAACGTTGCCTGTTGCTGTAATTATCCACAGCCTGGTTCTGGGACAGTCTTCAGTAGTTTCCAGTTCTGTAGCTTTCACAAATAGAGACAGAAAACTGCTGATCCACTGGGTGTGGCCGCTGAGCTTTGAATAACTGTCAGTGCTAAAGAGGGCTGAGGCAGGACCAGAGAGTTGAGATGAGATGGGAGGGCGGAGGTCAGGTGGCGGAGGCCCAGCGGGTGGAGGGTGGGCGTTGGGGTGGGGGGACTGTGGTGAGAGAGGGAAAGTTGGGAAGGTAAGACGCTGACAAGAGGAGTTCCAGGTGCCAGCAGGCTCTAGGGTGCCACCTTAAAAATGAGATTGCTGAAATAATGTGCCTTGTGCTGTGTTTTAAAATGCAGGGGCCAAGAGGCCATTTTAGAAGGACTTCTATTTAAAAGTTTAAATGCCCATCTCATAAAGGTTTCACCTTCAGCTATTCAGGAAATTCTTCCCTATAAAATGACTCATTTATTCCCCAAGGATTCCACATGGCCATGGTATTTTTTTCCTGGGCCAACCACAAAGACATCAGTTCCTGGAAGATTGTTCCCATTTTGCCGTGAACTATCCTGTGGAAGGTTGTTTTTTTTTTTTTTTTTGAGATGTCGTTTCGCTCTGTTGCCCAGGCTGGAGTGCAATGGCGCCATCTCGGCTCACCGCAACCTCCGCCTCCCGGGTTCAAGTGATTCTCCTGCCTCAGCCTCCCGAGTAGCTGGGATTACAGGCATACACCACCATACACAGCTACTCTTCATATTTTTAGTAGAGATGGGGTTTCAGTATGCTGGCCAGGCTGGTTATGGAGGTAATATTTTTGAATTCTCAATTATGGAGAATTTAAAATCCTTTTTAGGAATTACTTCTAAAATCCTTAGGCTTGGCCCTTCTCTAACTATTGACTCTGACAAATGGAAATGTTTTATGATCTCTAGATTGATTAAATTTAGATTTCTTCTTAATTTACTTAAAAAGGCAACTTGGGCCGGGCGCAGTGGCTCACGCCTGTAATCCCAGCACTTTGGGAGGCCGAGGTGGGCAGATCACAAGGTCAAGAGATCGAGACCATCCTGGGCAACATGGTGAAACCCCATCTGTACTAAAAATACAAAAATTAGCTGGGTGTGGTGGCACATGCCTGTCATCCCAGCTACTTGGGAGGCTGGGGCAGGAGAATCACTTGAACCTGGGAGGTGGAGGTTGCAGTGAGCTGAGATGGTGCCATTGCATTCCAGCTTGGTGACAGGGTGAGACTCTGTCTCAAAAAAAAAAAAAAAAAAAAAGGGGAATTTGGCCGGGCGTGGTGGCCCACGCCTGTAATCCCAACACTTTGGGAGGCCGAGGCGGGCGGATCACGAGGTCAGGAGATTGAGACCATCCTGGCTAACACAGTGAAACCCTGTCTCTACTAAAATACAAAAAAAAAAAAAAAAAAAAAATTAGCCAGGCCTGGTGGCAGGCGCCTGTAGTCGCAGCTACTCGGGAGGCTGAGGCAGGAGAATGGCGTGAACCCGGGAGGCGGAGCTTGCAGTGAGCCGAGATCGGCCACTGCACTCCAGCCTGGGTGACAGAGCGAGACTCTGAGACGCCATCTCAAAAATAAAAAGGCTACTTGAAGTCCCACTCTACCACATGACAGCCACCTCGTCTCCAGGATACCTGAGACCACTTTATCTCTGGGTCCTAGGGGTCTTTTGTTCTTTTTCCTGGATCTCAGCAGTTGATTCCACCATCCTTATCTGTCTGCTTTCCAAAACTCACGGCTTGCTCTCCTTCTCTTCTGTCACAATCTGCTCAAGAAAGGTATTTTTCCCTCTTTAATCATTTTTGTAAAGATATCACAAAATTAAAAATTTTAATCAATTATTTCATACAACCCAAAAGCTGTTTGAAAGTGAAAAGTGAAGGTCACCCCAGCCGCCCCCTGCTACTATCAAGTCACGCCAACTGGGCCTGATGTCCACACTGCCTCTTGGGGAGCTCCCCCAGGCTGAAGGCTTCCAATTTTGTCTGTGGATCAGGGTCTCCAGTCCATCTCCTGGTGCTCTCATCCTCCCTTCCTGTGGACATGGTCATGAAAGTCTCTCATCTCAGATGCAGCGTGTCTCCGGATCTGGTTTTTGTTTGTTTGTTTATTTTTGAGACATGGTTTCACTCTGTCACCCAGGCTGGAGTGCAGTGGTGTGATCTTGGCTCACTGCAACCTCTGCCTCCCCAGTTCAAGCGAGTCTCGTGCCTCAGCCTCCCGAGTAGCTGGGATTACAGGCGTGTGCCACCACGCCCAGCTCTTTTTTTTTTTTTTTTCTTTGAGACGGAGTTTTGCTCTTGTTGCCCAGGCTGGAGTGCAATGGTGCGATCTCAGCTCACCACTACCTCCGCCTCCTGGGTTCAAGCGATTCTCCTGCCTCAGCCTCCCGAATAGCTATGCCCAGCTAATTTTTGTATTATTAGTAGAGATAAGGTTTCACCATGTAGACAAGGCTGGCCTTGAACTCCTGACCTCAGGTGATCCGCCCGCCTCCGCCTCCCAAAGTGCTGGGATTACAGGTGTGAGCCACCATGTCTGGCCAAGAGTTGTTGGTGGTACACACGTCTAAAGCCACTATGGACAGACCCTAAATGACCTGTAAGAGGGATTTCCTATATGTCGTCTTGGGAAAGATATTTGACCTCTGTGTGTCTCAGTTTCTTCATCTGTGACATGCAGGAGATTAGGGGACCATGATGCCTTAAGGCTCTTTTGTTTTGACTATTCTACGCATCTGGCCTCCTTCTCAATGAATATTTCTGGGCTTTTTCCTGCTCCTGTCATTTTCTGCCCAGCAGAGGGGCTTGTGTGGAGGTGTGGAGGTCAGGAGAGGGGCATTCATCTCTGGGCTGGCTGGCTGTGTGCCTCTCCATCACTGGGCCCTTCTGGACTTTAGTTTTCTCTTCTGAGAAATGAGGGGCCAGGGCTGTGTGAGCTCCAGGAGAGTGTCTGGTCCTGACATCCCATGATTTTCATGACTTCCTCGTCCCCAGGGATGACCCTCTGATGCTGAAGGAACAGTCAGCTTAGGGTAAGTGATGGCTGCTTTCAGTGTAGACTGAAGGTTTTGGGCAGGGGAGAGGCTGGAGAAGCAGGATCCATTTCCAGTGCCCTGAGTCAGTTCCCTGTGGTCTGATTTGATTTTTTCATGTGAAGTGTTGTGAAATCTCAAAATATCACCCATGTCCACATTCAACTGTGAGTACATTTGTGGTGCATTCCACTACCAAGTATGAGTGCTTTGGGGACCCTCTTACCTGTGAGCTTGGGAACCCCTGCTCCTTGCCCTTGTGTGGGGAGTTTGGAGAGGTGCTGGGGTGACCAGCCATCCCAGTTTGCCCTGTAAACTGTCCTGCTTTTAGCACCCCAAGAGGCTCATCCCAGGAAATCCCTCAGTCCAAACCAAGACAGGTGGCAATCCTACCTAGTTCCACACCAGGGCCTGGCCAGCTTTCTTAGTGGGACAGGCCACAGTTAAACATAGAATCCAGCAGAGCAGTGGACTTTGAAACAGCTGGGGTACTTGGGGCAAATTCCTAGGTCCCACCCTAGAGTGTCTGATTCAGTAAATCTGGAGCAGGGACCAGGAATTCACATTGAATAAGCCCTCCAGGTGAGTCTGGTGCAGGTGGTTCAGGATCTACACCTTGAGGAAACAGAACCAGCTCCTGTCCTTGGGAGCAGTGGAGGAAACAGAGCTAGCTCCTGTCCACAAGAGGTTTATAACACAGGCAGAAGAAGCCAGGTAGGGAACTAATGAACCCTGACACAGAGTGAAATGAAAGCTATAATGAGTACTGGCCAATTTTTCTGCCCTCCTCCCACCCTCCAAAGTAATTTAGTACTTACAAAGCTTGGCTTTGTTGATTATAAGGGGTGACTTGGCATTTTCCAGCAGAAGAGTTGTAGGGAGGGTGAGTTAGTTGCAGAAAGTGACTGTCCACTCCAGCTTACACCAGACTCTCCCGTCTCAGAACCGTGGTGCACTCTGTACTGTATCCTGTGGCCCCTCTGGTGAGGGGATCAAGTGGGACCGTCCCTAAGGCCCACTGAAGCTCTGACCTTCTGACGTGGGGATGAAGAAGTGGTCCTGTTCTTATTCTTGGTGGACAGCTATCAGTTCTGTTGCTTATGAACTAAGTATTTTCTTTCTCTCTTTTTAAAAAAATTTCAGCTTTTCAGGCCCAGTGCAGTGGCTCACGCCTATAATCCCAGCACTTTGGGAGGCCAAGGCGGGTGGATCATGAGGTCAGGAGTTTGAGACCAGCCTGGTCAACATGGTGAAACCCTGTCTCTACTAAAAATACAAAAAAAAAAATTAGACAGGCATGTTGCCGGGCACCTGTAATCCCAGCTACTCGGGAGGCTGAGGCAGGAGAATCGCTGGAAACCGGGAGGTGGAGGTTGCAGTGAGCTGAGATCGCGCCACTGCGCTCCAGCCTGCGCAACAAGAGTAAGACTCCATCTCAAAAAAAAAAAAAAAAAAAAAATTCAGCTTCTCTTTTAGATACAGAGGTACATGCGTAGGATTGTCACATGGGTATATTGGACCCAAGTGGTGAGCATAGTACCACCAGTAGGTAGTTTTCGGCCCATGTCCCCATTCCTCCCTCCTCTCTCTGGTGGTGACAGTATCTCTTGTTCCCATGTTTATGTCTATGTGTGCTCAGCATTTAGCTCCCACTTATAAGTGAGAAATGTGGTATTTGGCTTTCTGTTTTCATGTTAATTTGCTGAACTAAGCCTTTTCGTTCCTTTTTTTTTGTTTTTGAGATGGAGTCTTGCTCTGTCACCCAGACTGGAGTGTGGTGGCTTGATCTTGGCTCACTGCAACCTCCGCCTCTGGGTTCAAGCTATTCCCCTGCCTCAGCCTCCTGAGTAGCTGGGATTACAGGCTTGTGGCACCATGCCCAGCTAATTTTCATATTTTGTTTTGTCTTTTTTTTTTTTTGAAAAGGAGTCTCGGTCTGTCACCCAGGCTGGAGTGCAGTGGCAACATCTCGACTCACTTCAACCTCTGCCTCCCGGGTTCAAGCGATTCTCCTGCCTCAGCCTTCCGAGTAGCTGGGACTACAGGTGTGTGCCACCACGCCTGGCTAATTTTTTTGTACTTTTAGCAGAGATGGGGTTTTACCATGTTAGCCAGGATAGTCTTGATCTCCTGACCTCATGATCCACCTGCCTCAGCCTCCCAAAGTGCCGGGATTACACCGTGCCCGGCATACTTTTTGTATTTTTAGTAGAGGGTATTCTTTTGTATATTTAGTAGAAGATTTCGCCATGTTGGCTAGGCTAGTCTTGAACTCCTGACCTCAGGTGATCCTCCCGCCTCGGCCTCCCAAAGTGCTGGGATTACAGGCATAAGCCACCGTGCCCATCCTGAACTAAGACTTTTCTAAGGTGAATCAATGAGCTAGAGTCCTTAGGGCACTTCATTACTGAGATGATTTGAAGAGTTCCTGAGGTCAGGTGACTGCAGGTAAAGGGCTTGTTTGTTCCCTGGGCTCATTCCTGCTGACAAAGGACAAAGAGCTGGAGGCATCCCTAGGAGAAGAAAGGAAAGGAATGATGACTCTCTGAACCACCTGCTCCAGACTCAGCCGTAGGCGGTGGCAGGGGTGGGGCTTATAAGTGTGAAATCCTAGTCTCTGATCCAGATCTACTAAGTGATCTACAGGCCTTCAGAGGAGGCAGGGCTCTGCTGTGGGACATGAAGTTGATGGGCTCGTGGGGTGACATGCCACCACTGAGATTCTAGGGAGACCAGCCTTGAATGGCAGCCTGGAGCTATGGGGCCAAGCCTCACACCTGGCCAGGGAGTGTCCACCAGGGTCAAACTGGTCTGAGAGCCAACCCAGCCAACTGGGTTGAAATCTCAGTCATGTATCTGCTGGGTGCTCTTGGGCAAGTTATTAACCTCTCTGAGTGTCAGTTTCCCCCTTTGTAAAATGGGGTAATAATGTTCCCTATGTTGTCAGTAGATTGAATGAAATAAGCGTGCAAACTGCCTAAAGCATAAAGACCGCCTAGCACAGTGCTTGACCTGTACTAAGGTTAACCTTTATTATCATTATCAGCCACAGAAAGTGGCAAAGGCCAATGATGAGGGCTGTATTTTTTGCTCAGGCTGCTGTAACATAAATAATACAGTCTGAGTGGCTTCAACAACATATACTTATTTTGTCACCATTCTGGAGGCTGGAAGTCCAAGATCAAGGTGTCTGCAGGGTTAGCTTCCCGAGAGGCCTCTCTCGGCTTGCAGATGCTGTCTTTTCCCTGCGTCCTCACATGCTTTTGCCTCTGTGCTTGTGTACCCCTGGTGTCTCTTTGTGTGTCTGACTTTCCTCTTTTGTTTTTTTTGGAGACAGTTTCGCTCTTGTTGCCCAGCCTGGAGTGCAGTGGCGTGATCTTGGCTCACTGCAACTTACGCCTCCCAGGTTCAAGTGATTCTCCTGCCTCAGCCTCTCAAGTAGCTGGGATTACAGGCACCCGCCACCACAGCTAGTTAATTTTGTATAGTTTTTTTTTTTTTGGGGGGATGGAGATTTGCTCGTTACCCAGGCTGGAGTGCAATGGTGCGATCTTGGCTCACTGCAACCTCCGCCTCCCAGGTTCAAGCGATTCTCCTGCCTCAGCCTCCCTAGTAGCTGGGATTACAAGTGCCCGCCACCATGCCCAGCTAATTTTTCTTTTGAGATGGAGTTTCGCTCTTGTTGCCCAGGTTGGAGTGCAATGGCGCCATCTCAGCTCACCGCAACTTCCACCTCCCAGGTTCAAGTGATTCTCCTGCCTCAGCCTCCTGAGTAGCTGGGATTATAGGCATGCGCCACCACTCCTGGCTAATTTTGTATTTTTAGTAGAGACAGGGTTTCTCCATGTTGGCCAGGCTGGTCTCAAACTGCCGACCTCAGGAGATCCGCCCGCCTTGACCTCCCAATGTGCTGGGATTACAGGCGTGAGCCACCACGCCCGGCCACATTTCTTAAGGAATGTGGCTTGGGAGGAATAAAATGAAAGGCAAAATGGGGGAGCCAGCACTGCGCTGCCAGTCAGCCCAGCCTTCATGGGATCAGGAGACTCTCTTAAGGGGGCCAATTCCTTTAAGTGTCCTGAAGCCATTTCAGGCCTTCTAGCGGAGCTAGTTGGTGCATTTCCTTAAGAAATGTGGCCGGGTGCGGTGGCTCATGCCTGTAATCCCAGCACTTTGGGAGGCTGAGGCAGGTGGATCACCTGAGGTCAGGAGTTGGACACCAGCCTGACCAATGTGGCAAAACCCTGTCTCTACTAAAAATACAAAAATTAGTCAAGCATGGTGGCGTACGTCTGTAATCCCAACTACTGGGGAGGCTAAGGCAGGAGAATCGCTTGAACCCACGGGGCGGAGGTTGCAGTGAATGAGCTGAGATTATGCCACTTCACTCCAGCCTGGGCAAAAGAGCAAAACTCCATCTCAAAAAAAAAAAAAAAATAAATAAATAAAAAGAAATGCAAATCTGAGCCTTCAGTGGAGATCACTTAAGGAAGGTGTGGGTTCTCAACTTCTTGGAGCCGTTTGAGGAGGGGCTGGAGCAGACATGGGGGCAGGCATTTCAGTTCCCTGCATATCCCATGACGAGTGTGGGGAGATCACTCATTAAATGCCTCTCACTCCTTTCTCCCTCTTCTTCCTCTTCTCCTCCCCCTCCCACTCTTCTCCCCATCGCCCTGGCAGATCTATCCCTGTGAACCCTGAAAGGCTGGGGGTTTCTGGGCTTGACATCTCCTTACCCCATAATTTTGGCTAAAGGAGCGGGTCCCCAGGGTGGCATCCTGCGAAAATATTGCTGGAATGAGGGTCAGAAGTTCCAGCTCTCATTATGAAACATTTCAGTTCCTTCACCTTCTTATTCACATTTTGTGTTGTTATTTAGATTGGTTTTTCATAACTTCTTGAAGATGGGAGGGATTCTTAGTTCTTTTCTTTTCTTTTCTTTTTTTTTTTTTTTTGAGATGGAGTCTCGCTCTGTCGCCCAAGCTGGAGTTCAGTGGCAGGATCTCGGCTCACTGCAAGCTCCGCCTCCCGGGTTCACGCCATTCTCCTGCCTCGGCCTCCCGGGTAGCTGGGACTACAGGCGCCCGCCACCACGCCCGGCTAATTTTTTGTATTTTCAGTAGAGACCGGGTTTCACCATGTTAGCCAGGATGGTCTAGATCTCCTGACCTCGTGATCCGCCCGCCTCCGCCTCCCAAAGTGCTGGGATTATAGGCATGAGCCACCGTACCCAGCCAATTTTCTTTCTTTTTTTTTTTTTTGAGACAGAGATTCGCTCTGTTGCCCAGGCTGCAGTGCAGTGGCGCCATCTCGGCTCACTGCAACCTCCGCCTCCCGGGTTCAACAGATTCTCCTGCCTCAGCCTCCAGAGTAGCTGGGATTACAGGCACATGCCACCATGCCTGGCTAATTTTTGTATTTTTAGTAGAGACGGGGTTTCACCATGTTGGTCAGGCTGTTCCTTGTGATCCGCCTGCCTCGACCTCCCAAAGTGCTGGAATTACAGGCGTGAGCCACCGCGCCCGGCCAGATGGGAAGGATTCTTTTCAAATTCTTGGGCAGCTTTGGGAAGTAATTTAGAATTTCTGACTGTGCACACGGCAGCATGTGTTGACACAATCCTCTTGTTGAGATGTGTTCCTAGAACATAGCCCGCTAAATTCAGACCTAGAATTCAAACTCTACCTTTGACTTCCAGAGGCTCCTCAAGTCACCCACCCCTTTTGGTGGACTGAGACAGCCTTGAATGCTCTTGCAGCTCTTACAGACACCAGACTGGAGCCTTCTTGCAAGGCAGTGGTGCAGTGCCAAGTTCAGGTCCTGGGTTCGAATCCTGGTTCTGCTGTTGACTAGCTGGGTCTCCTGGGGTGTTTCTAAGCCTCAGTTTCCTTATCTCTGAGTTGTCATGTTCCTGACACACAGTAAGTACCCAATAAATTATAGCTAAATTATTATTCTTATTATTGTTACCACTCATTTGACTTCCACAATCCAAATGGGGCTGAATGTCATGGTTTCTCCTTGAACCAGGATGAGGTGGAAGAGATTACCCTTGAGCTGAAGTCGTCATCAGGGAAGCTGATGACGAGTTAGGCAAGAGCAGTAATGATTAGCTTTAAGGCATTGATGATGAAAGATCAGTCTGCATTGTGGGATAAAGCAGACACATTCCTTCCGACGTGCCATGGAGGTGATGGTGTCCATTCCTCCGTTAATGAAGTATATAGATGGGGGTGGGGTTTGGAGGTGGGATGCTCCTGGGACATACGACTTTGTTTTGGGCAGCAGATGGGTGTAGGGTGGTCATATTATTCTTGCAAAATTTGCTGAAACACCTTTTTTGTTGAAACAGAGTCTCGCTCTGTTGCCCACTGGAGTGCAGTGGCTTGATCTTGGTTTACTGCAACTTCCACCTCCTGGGTTC
Source organism: Homo sapiens (assembly GCF_000001405.40). Taxonomy (NCBI): domain Eukaryota; kingdom Metazoa; phylum Chordata; class Mammalia; order Primates; family Hominidae; genus Homo; species Homo sapiens. The sequence goes on along the minus strand of NC_000011.10, from coordinate 62,452,943 downwards.
AAGCGATTCTTGTGCCTTAGCTTCTTAAGTGGCTGGGACTACAGGTGCGTGCCACCACGACTGGCTAATTTTTTAATTTTTAGTAAAGAGAAGGTTTCACCGTGTTGGCCAGGCTGGTCTCCAACTCCTGACCTCAAGTGATCTGCCCGCCTTGGCCTCCCAAAGTGTTGGGATTACAGGTGCGGTAAGCCACCGCGCCCGGCCTGAAACACCTTTTACCATCTCACCTGTCCCATTGTGTGAGCCCAGGAAGAGCTCAGACTCAGGGTGCAGAGGTTGCTGAAGATGCCTGCTGTCATCAATCTGGGTCATCCCTAAGCATGAGAAGACTTAGATAAAGGCCAAGATAAAAATATGGCATGAACATGAAGGCTTGAATGAGGCCGTCCCTGGGTGACTGCTCTGACAACTCCTTCCTATTCTGCCTCCAATCACCCATCCGTCCACACAACCAATAATAGCAGCTCGTAAGAAACCACAGGAATCCAACAGACCTCTCAGCCCTTGACCTGTGGAATCACAGCATAGACCCTCTCTGCAGACAATGCAATGGAATAGGCTGAGTAGCACGAGTTCCAGAGCGGGACGGCCTGCATCCAGTTCTGGCTTTCTCACTGACTGGGTGCACTTCCTTAGCCTCAGTTTCCCTCTTGCTGCAAATGGAGATAGTAAGCCATGTACATCACAGTATTTCTATAAGGATAACATGAGATTACAAATGTAAACTGCCTGACATAAAGGAAGTACTTAACAAATGTATCTGTTATTGTCATTACTCTCTTTGGGGTGGGATTTGTGCCCTGCCAGGCAGGCTTCTTAAGATTAGTTTGCAGGCTGGGTGCGGTGGCTCACGCCTGTAATCCCAGCACTTTGGGAGGCCGAGGCAGGTGGATCACGAGGTCAGGAGATCGAGACCATCCTGGCTAACACGGTGAAACCCAGTTTCTACTAAAAAAAAAAATACAAAAATTAGCCAGGCTTGGTGGCGGGTGCCTGTAATCCCAGATACTCGGGAGGCTGAGGCAGGAGAATGGCGTGAACCTGGGAGGCGGAGCTTGCAGTGAGGCGAGATCCTGCCACTGAACTCCAGCTTGGGTGACAGAGCAAGACTCTGTCCAAAAAAAAAAAAAAAAAATTAGTTTGCTAGTTGTTACGAGCTCTGAAGTGCCATCTATCCTATGAGATTAATTTTTTTTTTTTTTTTTTTGAGACGGAGTCTCGCTCTGTCACCCAGGCTGGAGTGCAATGGTGCAATCTCAGCTAAGTGCAACCTCCACCTTCTGGTTCAAGCAATTCTCCTGCCTCAGCCTCCTGAGTAGCTGGGATTACAGGCTCACGCCACTATGCCTGGATGATTTTTGTATTTCTAGTAGAGACGGGGTTTTATCATGTTGTCCAGGCTGGTCTTGAACTCCTGACCTCAAGTTATCTGCCCGCCTTGGCCTCCCAAAATGCTGGGATTACAGACATGAGCCATCGCGCCTGGCCAATTTTTTTTTTAGATGGAAGATTTTTTATCTTTGAGATAATCCTATTAAGCAACCATTTCAAACAATTACTGGCAGCCATCCTGCCAGGCTGTCAGCTGGGAAGGGCCTAGAGTGGACATAGGGCGAGTGTCTGAGAATGAGGAGGGTCCTGGATGGGAAGCGGGGCTGGAGGAGGGCCTTTCTCTGACCCGACATTTTGCTCTGGTCTTGGGTTCCTAAACACATTATGTTGTTGGTTTTCTTTAAACTGAAGTCTTGTTACAAGGATTGCTTTGAAGCCAGGAGGCGGAAGTTGCAGTGAGCTGAGATTGTACCACTGCACTCTAGCCTGAGTGACAGACTGAGACTCGGTATCAAAAAAAAAAAAAAAGATTCCAGGAAGAACCAACATCTGAGCCTGCCCCCTGCCTAGCTTTGGGTCAGTGACATCATCTCCATGTACCAAAGATGGGTCTCCGTCTCATCTCTTCTCCTCCCGCCTTGGCCTCCCAAAGTGCCGCGATTACAGGCGTGAGCCACCACGTCCAGCCTCTTCCTGGAATCTTGAACTGAGCTTGCCACCCACCTTCTCTGCTCGTTAAAAATGTAACAACCTTTTAATATTTCTGCCATCAGCACCTATTGTCTGGTGCTGTGCTAGATGCCCAGAACGCAAAGGCGAGAGAGGCGTCCCAGTCTGAAAGTCCAATGGGCCTAGGGCTATTGGCTGTTGACTGCTCTGCTGATGACTTCCTCTCTCTGGTGGAGAAGCTCAAGGAGGGTATTGCAGGCAAGGGAGACGGTGGGAGCAGAGGCTTGGAGGTCTGACGGTGCATGGCACTTGCAGGAAATGGTGAGGGACACGGCACAGCTGGAGCTGTAGTTTGCATGGGCTGGCTGATGGTGAAGTCTTATGTCTGGGGGCAGGGAGCTGCTGGAGATTTTTAAATTTTAAATTCTCTATTATTTATTTTAAAATAGAGGCCAAGGGTGGTGGCTCACACCTTTAATCCCAGTACTTTGGGGGGCCAAGGCAGTTGGATCATCTGAGGTCAGGAGCTTGAGACCAGCCTGGCCAACATGGTGAAACCCTATCTCTACTAAAAATACAAATAAATAAACAACAACAACAACAACAAATACAAAAAAAATAGCCGGGCGTGGTGGTGGGTGCCTGTAATCTCAGCTACTTGGGAGGCTGAGGCAGGAGAATTGCTTGAACCCAGGAGGCAGAGGTTGCCGTGTGCCGTGAGATCACACCATTGCACTGCAGCCTGGATGACAAGAGTGAAACTCTGTCTCAATAAAATAAATAAAGTAAATAAATAAAATAAATAAAATAAAATAAAATAATAAAATAAAATAAAATAAAACAAAAGAAAACAAAATAAAATAAAAAACAGGGTCTCGCTATGCTGCCCAGGCTGGTCTTGAACTCCTGGGCCCAAGCGATCCACCTACCTCAGCCTCCCAAAGCACTGGGATTACAGATGTGAACCACTGCGCTCTGCCTCCACTGGAGATTTTCACGCAGGAAAAAGACACGAGTTGACTTTTGTTTTAATCATAATCATATTCACAGCAATTATACCTTTCAGTATTGAGCATTTTCTTTGTGCTAGGCATCAGCTAAGATACTTTATCGTGAGTCAACTCATTGAATCCCACATTACAGATGAGGCTAGGAGAGTTCACCAAGCCCAGTCACATAGTGGAGCCGGGACGAACCACCACATTGGAAGAGTTCAATAAACGTTAGTCATTGTTATTTTTGCCAGTATTTGTTTTCACGAGCGTCCCCTGGCATGCCAGGTGTTGGGTGGTAGCTTTAGCTTTGAAACTGCCTGGGTTGGTGCCAGTGAGCTGGACTAATAAAGCCATTTCATCAGACTAGGGTGAAGAATAGGGTGCACTACCAGCCTCTGCCCCTGCTCTCCCCGGTTGCTGTGGTTATAAGCTGGGCACCTGGTTCTCTCTTGGTCGCTGGCCCCTCTCCAGCTCAGGCCTGGGTGACCCTGATCCCGCCTGGTGTTGCCCCACAGCTGGCTCTCTGAGGTTGCCTCCTGCCTCCCTCTCTGGTTTCAGCTTTTCTACAGCTGAGCAGGGGGCAGACCCCACAGGTGGCAGGGTGCAGGTGAGCTGGAGAGACCAAGGCCAGGTAGTTATGAAAAGTCTCCAGGGGAGGCAAGGTGAAGGCTGGAAGGGCCCCAGCCAGGGAACGGAAGGAGAGAGCATAGCTGTCAGAAATACACTGGATTTAGACTTGATAGCCTGTGGCAAACTCACACCATGAGAAGAGAGAGCAAGAAGTGAAAAATAAACGCTACTTGTAGCTCAAATGACCTGATGGCTCTGCGTGGTGAGCCTTACCCATTCCCAGAACTTTATTATTATTATTATTATCTTTGAGACAGAGTCTCGCTCTGTCACCCAGGCTGGAGTGCAGTGGCGCAGTCTCGGCTCACTTCAGCCTCTGCCTCCGGGGTTCACACCATTCTCCTGCCTCAGCCTCCCGAGTAGCTGAGACTACATGTGCCCACCACCACGCCTGGCTAATTTTTGTATTTTTAATAGAAATGGGGTTTCACTGTGTTAGCCAGGATGGTCTCTATCTCCTGACCTTGTGATCCGCCCACCTCGGCCTCCCAAAGTGCTGGGATTATAGGCGTGAGCCACTGTGCCCGGCCTTCCCAGAACTTTAAATACCATCTGTAGGTTGACAATTCCCAACTCCTTGGGCTCCAGCCTTGAACACTGAGCTGCCCCTTTCTTCTTCACTTGGATGTCTCTCAAGCATTTCAAGCTCAGCATTTCCCAAATGGAACTCAAAGTGGAGCTCCAAAATGATTTGCCTCCCCCACCCCTGAACCTGCTTCTCCATCTCAACAAATAGTATCAGCCCGCCTGCCTTCAAACTAGAAAACTTGAGTGTTATCCTCAATGCCTCCCTCTTCCTCAGCCCTCACATCCCCTTGTCAGCAAGTCCTATAATTTCCACATTGGAAAGACATCACAAAGGTGGCCACCTCTCTCCATCTCTACCGCCACCACTGCAGGTAGTGTGGCGAGTCACCACCATCTCACCTGGACGGCTGTGAGTCCGCATGGTCCATGATCTTTCCTCTTCCATCCAGCTCCACATTTCAGCCACAGGGATCTTTTAGTAACACACATTTGATTGTGAATCCTCATATCCGATGACTTCCAGCCACACTCAGCATAACAACCACCATCTTCCTGTGGCTTACAAGGTTCTACGCCAGATCCCAGCTTCACCTGATGTCCCCTCTCCTCATCACTCTTGTCCCTCTAGCCTCACTGGCTTCCTTTTGGTCCCCACACGCCATGTCTTTCCTTCCTCAGGTCTTCATCCAGGGTTCACCATCGTCGCCACTGTTGGGAATGCTCGTCCTTGCCTTTGCGTGGCTGGCTCCTTCCCATTCTTCAAACTTCAAGCTAAATGTCCCCTCTCAGGTCACTGCCCACGACCTGAGAGGGCTCCACAGGCCCTCTCAGCATCCTCTTTAGCCAGTCATTTCATTCAGAGCATACACTGATCACAACTTGGAATTTTTTAGTTGTTCATCTTATTTATTGTTTCTCTCCCCCACTAGAGTGTCAACTCTACCATACCTATTGGAACATAGAAGGTGCTGACAGGTATTCACTGAGTTGACAAACAGGTAGATGATGAGGGCATGAACTTCAGAGGTCCACGGGGGCAGAGGGCCAGGAGAACACTGAGATTCAAGAGGTGGGCAGAGGGGCTGTCAAGCGGACTTGATAAGGAGGGACAGAGGGAGGAGGCAGTAACCGAGGGAGGAGGGCTATGTCAGCTTGGGAGGCTTTTCACTGTGGGTAACAGCAAAGTTGTCCAGGTGATTAGATGAAAGGGTTGATTTTTCTCACAGTCTGGGTGTTCAGCAGCAAAGCTCTGTGTCAGTGTCACCGAGGCCCTCTTGCCTTTCTCCTAGCCTTGGGCATTACATCCTCACATGATGCGTTCAAAGGCAGGAGATAGCAACAGCGTGGAACAGACGTTCTCCTCATGCCTCTTTTATTGGTGGGATGTGGGGTGGTGATGATGGAGGGATCGTCCCCAGAAGATTCCTGCTAATCTCCCCCTAGATCCCACTGGGCAGAAGGACACATGCTTGCTTTGGACCAGGGGCTGTGCCTGTCTTGGTGAAATCAAAAAATCTCTTTCCTGTCCTTGAACAAACAGGATTCTTCCAGCCAAGGGGAGGGAAATGCCTTTTGAGTAAGGAGGGAATAGCGCTTGCCATTAGCACATTTCATAAGGAAGAGTTTTTCTGCTGGGTTAATTGATGCAGGGAGGTCGAGTGGGATGGGTGCTGAGAAGTAGCCCCTAGATGTGACACTTAGTGGACTATGTGTGGCCCTTGAGAGGGCTGTTTCCATAGAACGGCTGGGCTTGATTGCACATTTTGGCAGGGGAGGGGGTGCTTAGGAATTACTGGGAGAAGTTTAGGAGATTAAGGGGGACTACCAGGAAGCCTAGTGTTGAAGGTAAGAGGAGAGGTGGCACCATCACTGGGTGCAGGAGGCAGACATAGGGAGATCTTTTCAGTTTGGGGGAGACTTGATGTTTATAGGCTGAGCAAAAGGAGCTGGTGAGAGAGAGGGTAAAGATTTTGAAGCAAGATGGGATAATGGATCCCCACGTCCTGAAGGAGGCATGGAGGTGGCATCGAGTGCCCAGGAGGTGGTGGTTGTCACTGGATCAAGCAGGAAGGCTTTTCTGAGAAGATTCTGGTGCCTTTTGAGACAGGAGGGCAGGAAGGTGGATGACAAAACATGAAGATGCCCGGCCAGGACAGATCCCCCTCATTTTCCTTTGTGTGACAGTGGGCTCATTTAGAGATTGAATCCATGACCTTCACCTCTCCTGCATCTTTGTTTTAATCATCTGATATAATAGACTCTTTAGAAAACCCCAGTCCACATCTGCGTGGTTGTGCCCTGGGAAGTCCCGGGACAAAGCTCACTCCTTGGGTTTTCTTGTTTGGACGAACGGAACCACCCAGTATATAGTCATGGGTGTGGCTATTATGGGATGCAATCCAGAGGGAGCAGGTCACTTAACAAACAGCACAGAGCCACCAGATCCTGCAGAGTCAGGTGGGGAGCCAGGTGGAGGGGGAGAGCCCTGAGCTGGGAAGAGAGGACTTGAGTTTCAGGTTCCAGGTTCAGGTCCTGGTCAAGCACTTACAGGCTAGGCTTCTTTGGCGCCCTCCGAGCCTGTGACCTCATCTGCAGAGGGGTGGGTTGGCAGCTCTTCTTCTCCCTTCCCTGCCCATAGTTATAAAATGTGCTGACTCCTTGTAGGAAATTAATGAAATGCCTTCCTGCCCCTCCTGCATCCCTCCCTGGGGAGCCTGCCCCTGCTCTGTACCACCCAGAATAGGATGATATTTTTGTTTTGGTTTGCTTGTTTGTTTGTTTTGAGACAGTGTCTTGCTCTGTTGCCCAGGCTGGAGTGCAGTGGTGTGATCTTGCAACCTCCGCCTCCTGGGTTCAAGTGATTCTCCTGCCTCAGCCTCCTGAGTAGTTGGGACTACAGGCACCCGCTACCACGCCCAGCTAACTTTGTATTTTTAGTAGAGACAGGATTTCACTATGTTGGCCAGGTTGGTCGGGAACTCCTAACCTCAGGTGATTTGGCTGCCTCAGCCTCCCAAAGTGCTGGAATTATAGGCATGAACCACTGCGCCCGGACTGTTTTTTGGTGTTTTGAGACAGGGTCTTGCTCTGTTGCCCAGGCTGGAGTGCAGAGGTACAATCGTGGGTCACTATAGCCTTGACCTTCCGTGCTCAAGTGATCCTCCCCATTCAGCCTCCCAAAGTGCTGGGATTACAGGCCTGAGCCACTGTGCCTGGCCAGGATGTTGTTTTTCTTCACCATTACCCCTGTTCTCTCACTTCTGGCATCTTTCCTCCTTTGTTTTGGGGAATGATGGCATGGGGCCCAGGGAGTAGGATTGGGAGCCAAACCTTTCTCCTTTATTTATTCAAATCGTAGCTATGGATGCAGCAAAAAGCAAACAGAAGTTTGACTAGATATATGAGCTCAGTATTCCACAACATTTAAAGCTGGTGTGTACTTACGTAGGAGGCTTAAAACATAACATTAGGTTAAAATGAATAATAGCCCCAACAGAAAAAAAAATAGTGCATTCTAAAGAAGTTCTTAGCGGGAATGTTCAGAAGCTTGGTTGGTTTGATTGACAATAGCTCTGTATGTCTCCTTCTCGGTAGCTCCTTAATGCAGATCTCTGTTGCTCCCTGACTTCTCCACTGGGTCACGTGTGGCCAGGTGTCATGAGCATAATATCCCTATCATCGCTGTCTGGCAGGGTGAGAGTTCAGAAGGAGTCATATTTGCTTTTAGGTCACCCTCTTTATTTATCCAGCACGTGGGGTAGGACTGTGACCGAAGGAGGGCTCCATGCACGTCTCCTGTGTTGTTGGAGGAGGTAGTGTTGGTAATGGGCGAGGAACAGAGTCGTTTGGTCCCAGCAAAGCTGCTTCCATCAGATCGGTCCTGCCCCTTGGCTGGGCTGCCTGGACTTCACTTCATCATCTCTAAAATGAGATTAAAGATTGTTTCTCCCTCATGGGAAGGCTCCGGGATTCAGTGAGCTTATGCCTGTTTAGGAAAGTGTCTGGCACAGGGTCACTGCCCTTGTGCCATCACATCTGCCCAGATGAAATCAGGTAATCAGCTGACGCACCCGGAGTGCCCATCGCGCATGCGTGCTGTGCCCCATGGGAAAGGGGCGTCAGATGTGACTCTGCCCTCAAGGAATCCGCATCTAGCAGGAGAAAGAAAACCGGACACTTTGGAGATAAATAGAGAGCTAGAAGGCCAGCGGGACCCCCGCTTCCCCACGGCGCGGACATCCTGGAGGGCGAGCAGCTGCCGGGCGGGGCACGCTGTCAGCCAACCCTGCCTAATCTCCTGGCAGACAGAGCTGAGAGAAAGCAGAATCTGGTATTCATTGTGCGGTTGTTTCTAATTTCCTTCTGCTTTCGAGATCCTCTTCTAAGGGAGAACAATGCCCTGAATGATGGGGCACAAGCTTCCTTGGCTGGGCACCCACCCAGCTGTGGCAGAGGCCGGGCACTCACAGGGCCGGTGGTGTTTGATTCTGGCCTCTGAGAAGCTCCTCCGACAGTGGGTTTTGGTGGCTGGTTTGAGTCCCAGCCCATAGAACAAGTCCCCCCAGGCTCACTTATGAGTATTATCTTTAAAATTTCCCTATCTGCCAAAGAAGAACGCCTTTTGTGTTATCGCCAGGGTTGTTACGAGGCCGGGTGGGTGGAGGGGGCACTGAACCTCAGAACTCTCTGTAGGATCCACATCTGGAGCCAAGAGGCCGCTCTGTGCCACCACACTCCCCGGAGTGTCCATCGTGCATTGGAGGGGGACGGTGTTGGCCTCAAGTGCTGCCCTCGCAGCTCCCGTTCACAGACCATGACTGAGAGGACTCTCAGCAGAGGACCCTGGGGTGACATTTCTACTGCTGGTGCCTCATAAGGCTGGCCAGGGGCAGGAGGCCCAGGGCTGAGTCCAAGGAATGGGGTGGGGTTTCCTCATTCCTTGCTGTCTTCATACTTGGCCTTCTATTTGTAGATTTCAGTAATTTATCAGCCTTTCTAGGTTCCTCTTTCATCACCAGAAGCAGAATGAACCTAACATGAGAAACCCACATGCATAAAGGGCTGAGAGAGGCTGAGGGGCATTTGATGATGACTTTCAAGTCTATGGGGCTGTATCGAGGAAGATGCTATGGCAGTGGCAGGTGAGAGGGTGAGTGAGGGGCTGCACAGCCCCAAGAGGCCCTGGCAGGGTTAGCTGTCTTCAAGATGAGCAAGACCCAGCCGGGCGCGGTGGCTCAAGCCTGTAATCCTAGAACTTGGGGAGGCCGAGGCAGGCAGATCACCTGAGGTTGGGAGTTCGAGACCAGCCTGACCAACATGGAGAAACCCCATCTCTACTAAAAATACAAAATAAGCCAGGCGTGGTGGTGCATGCCTGTAATCCTAGCTACTCAGGAGGCTGAGGCAGGAGAATCGCTTGAACCCTGGAGGCGGAGGTTGCGGTGAGCTGAGATCGCACCATTGCACTCCAGCCTGGGCAATAACAGCGAAACTCTGTCTCAAAAAAAAAAAAAAGGCCGGGTGCAGTGGCTCACACCTGTAATCCCAGCACTTTGGGAGGCCGAGGCAGGTGGATCATGAAGCCAGGAGTTCGAGACAAGCCTGGCCAATATGGTGAAACCCCATCACTACTAAAAAATACAAAAATTAGCCGGGAGTGAAGTGGTGGCATGTGCCTGTAGTCCCAGCTACTTGGGAGGCTGAGGCAGGAGAATCGCTGCAATCTGGGAGGCGGAGGTTGCAGTGAGCCAAGATCACGCCACCGCACTCCAGCCTGGGTGACAGAGCGAGACTCTGTCTCAAAAAAAAAAGAAAGATGTGCAAGACTCGAGCCAGGTCTCCCAGGCTTAGGTCACCCAGGTGCATCCTCATCCACATGCCATTCTCACTACAATTTGTTTAATATTTTCCTTTTTTTTTTGAGATGGAGTCTTGCTCTGTCTTGCCCAGGCTGGAGTGCAGTGGCACAATCTCGGCTTACTGCAACCTCTGCCTCCTGGGTCAAGCAATTCTCCTGTCTCAGCCTCCCAAGTAGCTGGGACTACAGGTGTGCGCCACCACACCCGGTTAATTTTGTATTCTTAGTACAGATGGGTTTCGCCATGTTGGCCAGGCTGGTCTGGAACTCCTGACCTCAGGTGATCCGCCTGCCTTGGCCTCTCAAAGTGCTGGGATTACACGCGTGAGCCACTGCACCTGGGCAAATATTTTTCTCTAAATAGATTTATTGATTATTTATTTTTGAGATAGGATCTCACTCTGTCACCCAGGCTGGAGTGCAGTGGCACAATCACGGCTCACCACAGCCTTGACTTCCCGGCCTCAGGTGATCCTCCTGTCTCAGTCTCCTAAGTAGCTGGGACTACAGGCACATACCACCATGCCTGGCTAATTTTTGTATTTTTCATAGAGATAGGATTTTGCCATGCTGCCCAAGATGGTCTTGAACTCCTGGGCTCAAGCAATCTGCCCGCTTCAGCCTCCCACAAAGCGCTGGGATTACAGGTGTGAGCTGCTGTGCCCGGCCCTAAAGAGATTTATTTTGAAAACCTTAATCATTTAATTAAAAAGAAACATTTATGTCACTACTGTAAATGAAACCCAGCATTTTGCTGACAGACATTGAAATAAGTACAGACGGAACTGTTAAAACTACTCATTCTGTCCCTTTGATATAATCTTGAACACCACCCATTGCTTTGTATAAGGTCTCAGTGTATAAATCTTTCTGTATGATGGCAGCTCCATGTGTGTCTGATGGAGATGTTGCAGGGGAGCTTGATGTTGTCAAGGAGTAGGGTGATTTGCGCCGACTTGTGACCCCACCAAAGATGCTGGGGGTGACAGCCCTGCTGCCTGACCAAGGGCTTGCTGGCCCCATATTAGCATCTCTAACAGGGGAGGACGACAGTGGCTGCTTCAGAGGGCTCGGTGAGGGTGAACTGAGCTCCTGGAGGATTTATTTATTTATGTATTTATTTATTTTTGAGGCTAGGCTCGGTGGCACATGCCTGTAATCCCAGCATTTTGGGAGGCCGAGGTGGGTGGATTACTTGAGGTCGGGAATTTGAAACCAGCCTGGCCAACATGGTGAAACCCCATCTCTACTGAAAATACAAAAGTTAGCTGGGCGTGATGGCATGCTCTTGTAATCCCAGCTACTCGGGAGGCTAAGGCAGGAGAATTGCTTGAACCCAGGAGGTTTAGGTTGCAGTGAGCCAAGATCGTGCCACTGCACTCCAGCCTGGGTGGCAGAGTGAGACACCATCTCAAACAAAAATAAAATAATATAAAATATAAAATAAAATATTTATTTTTGAGACAGGTTCTGACTCTGTCACGTAGGTTGGAGGGCAGTGGCTCCATCACAGGTCACTGCAGCCTCTACTTCCTGGGCTCAAGTGATCCTCCTGCCTCAGCCTCCTGAGTAGCTGGGATCACAGGTGTACACGGTACCATGCCAGGCTAATTTTAAAAATTTTCTGTAGAGGCCGGACGTGGTGGCTCACACCTGTAATCCCAGCACTTTGGGAGGCCAAGGTGGGCAGATCACTTGAGGTCAGGAGTTCGAGACTAGCCTGGCCAACATGATGAACCCTCATCTCTACTAAAAATACAAAAATTTAGCCGGGCGTGGTGGCACACACTTGTAATCCCAGCTACTCAGGAGACTGAGGCAGGAGAATTGCTTGAACTCAGGAGGCGGAGGTTGCAGTGAGCTGAGATGATGCCACTGCACTCCAGCCTGGGCAACAGAGTGAAACTCTTGTCTCAAAAAAAAAAAAAATTATACAGACGGGTATCTCTATGTTGTCCAGGCTAGTCTTGAACTCCTGAGCTCAAGAGATCCACCTGTCTTCGCCTCACAAAGTGCTGGGATTACAGGCATGAGCCACTGTGCCCAGCCACCCTATAGTATTTATAAAGTGTTTAGAAATAGTGTCTGGCACATAGTAAGCACTTAGCAGATGTGAACCCCCACTATAACTTGGGAGATTTTGGCTGAGGGCCCTCAACTGTCCTGGGGATCTGCCTTTGTGGAGACGGGGCTGGGATGGACGCTGCCAGGCTCCCTCTGGCTCTCTGCAGATCTCTGTTGTTCCCTGACTTCTCCATTTGGTCAGGTGTGGCCAGGCAGCATAAGCATCATTTCCCCCCTGATTATAGGGTTAAACTAAGAAGTGATCATGACAGGCGTCATCATGAAATATCCCCACTGCAATCGGTGGCCATCTCTGTCCACTAGAGGCTCAGAAACGGGCTCCCAGGGATGGACACTGGCGTGCACTCCTGGGGGCTTGTGGGATCTGTGTCTGCCGTTCCCTCTGGCCAGCCACGGGTTGTTTCTGGAATGGGGCTCGTGGCTGGGAGGGAGGAAGGAGCTGTGGGAAGCAATCCCAGGTTCCTTGGTGGGATTGGAAACTCTGCCTCAAGCCCTGGAATTTTGACTTCCTGTTTGGCCTGGCACTTGTTCCCTAACATTTTCGGCTCTGACACATCCTCTCCCTCCCCCTCTCAGTGTCGTTTCCTCATCGTAAAATGAGGGGGTTGCACTAGATCATATCTAAGGCCCCTGTGAGCTTGAGAAAGCCACGATTCTACCTCCCGGCCACCCCCTCACTTTTCCCTCAGGGCCCTTGATTGGCAGTGAGTGGAGAGGTGGGAAGAAGGAGAGAAATCGCAATAGCTGTGCATCAGGCCACACGCAGGATGGCCCCGTGGCAAGGAACTGTCCAGTCCAAAATGTGAATAGTGCCAAGGTGGAGAAACCCTGTTTTAGGGAAGGAAAGACAGAAGAGAGGAGAGACTTAAAAGACAAATGCGGCCGGGCACAGTGGCTCACGCCTACAATCCTAGCACTGTGGGAGGCGGAGGCGGGCGGATCACTGGAGGTCAGGAGATCGAGACCAGCCTGGCTAACATGGCAAAACCTCATCTCCACTAAAAATACAAGAATTAGTCAGGTGTGGTGGTGGGTGCCTATAGTCCCACCTACTCGGGAGGCTGAGGCAGGAAAATCACTTGAACCCGGGAGGCGGAGGTTGCAGTGAGCTGAGATCGCGCCACTACACTCCAGCCTGGATGCTAGTGTGAGACTCCATCTCAAAAAAAAAAAAAAAAAAAATCACACAAAAATCCAAAACAAACCAAAAAGAAAGACAGATGCACACATGCACTACAAATAATAAATGGTTAGACAAATGATAATGAAAAGGAACATTTAGGGATAAACAAAATGCATAGGAAAAGGGTTTATGAAGGAGATTGGACAAAGTTGCCAGGATAGGAAGGATGTGTTTGCAAAGTGGCCATAGCTGGGCTGGGTCGAGTTTAAGGTGCTAGCCCTAGAGTACTAACCAGCATTCACTTTACAGATGAGAAAAATAGGGAAACTGCCCAGGCGCGGTGGCTCACGCCTGTAATCCCAGCACTTTGGGAGGCCGAGGTGGGCGGATCACAAGGTCAGGAGTTCGAGACCATCCTGACTAAAACAGCGAAACCCCGTGTCTACTAAAAATACAAAAAAAATTAGCTAGGCGTGGTGGCGGGCGCTTGTAATCCCAGCTACTCGGGAGGCTGAGGCAGGAGAATGGCATGAACCCGGGTGGTCAGAGCTTGCAGTGAGCGGAGATCACGCCATTGCACTCCAGCCTGGGTGACAGAGCGAGACTCCATCTCAAAAAAAAAAAAAAAAAAAAAATAGGGAAACTGAGAGGGATGGGTGTCCATCCCTCTCCTTCCTGGTTCACTTTGGAAGATGCCACCTCTGTTAAGGGCCGCTCCTGTGGGATTTCAGCAATGCAGCCAGGTCAGCAGTGGTACCTGTTGATGCTACACAGCAACCTTAGGATGGCAGGCTGCATAGTCCAAAGGCCCAGGAAGTCATTATCATATGAGCATTCTCATGTGAGCCGGTCATGATTAGTTTTTCTATGAGACCTTTGCTCCTCATTGAAATAACAACAAATCAGTTGTCTCCACGCCAGAGGAAGATACCACATAAAGCAAGACTAAAAGGAGCAGAGAACAGAGAAGGTCTTCCTGGCCTTAGGGATGGGCAAACATTTCTAAAACAGAATGCAAACAGCACTAACCACAGAAGAAAAATCGATGAATTGGACTTTATCAAAATTAAATCCTCTCTTCATCCAAGGGCACCATTAAAAAAATGAAAAGGCAAGCCTCAGACCTGGAGAAGATATATATCTGCAATACATATGTCTGATAAAGTATTCGTTTCTAAAATATTTGAAGTACTGCAGATCAATAAGAAAACTAAAAATGACCCAATTAAAAAAATGAGAAAAAGAGGCCAGGTGCGATGGCTCATGCCTGTAATCTCAGCACTGTGGGAGGCCGAGGCAGGTGGATCACCTGTCAGGAGTTCGAGACCAGCCTGATAAACACGGTGAAACCCTGTCTCTACTAAAAATACAAAAATTAGCTGGACGTGGTGGCAGGCACCTGTAATCCCAGCTACTCGGGAGTCCGAGGCAGGAGAATTGCTTGAACCCGGGAGGCAGAGTTGCAGTGAGCCGAGATCACACCACTGCACTCCAGCCTGGGAGACAGAACAAAACTCAGTCTCAGGAAAAAAAAAAAAAAAAAGAGAGAAAGAAAAAGACTTGACCAGGCACTAACAAAAGAGGATACCCAGATGGCCAAATACACTGTGAAAAGGTGCTCAACATCATTATTCATCAGAAAATGCAAATGCGCTGGGAAATTAGCTGAGCCTGGTGGCACAAGCCTGTAGTCCCAGTTATTTGGGAGACTGAGGTGGGAGGATCATTTGAGCCTAGGAGTTTGAGGCTGCAGTGAGCTATGATCATGCCACTGCACTCTGGCCTTGGTGACAGAATGCAAAAGAAAAAAAAAGAACAACATAGACACACAAAACTCCCACAAAAAGATACTACTACACACCCACCATAATAGCTAAAATGAAAAGACTGACAATACCAAGTGTTGCTGAGAATATGGAACAACTAGAACTATTGCATATTGCTGTGGGGAGTGTGGAAGAGGTACAGCCACTGGGAACATTGTTTGGCAGATTATATTAAAGCTATAGATATGCCTGCTGTACAACCCAGAAATTCTACTCCTAAGTATTTGGGTAAGGGATTTGGGCTGGGCGTGGTGGTTCACACCTGTAATCCCAGCACTTTGGGAGGCCAAGGTGGGTGGATAACCTGAGGTCAGGAGTTCGAGACCAGCCTTGCCAATATGGTGAAACCCCGTCTCTACTAAAAATACAAAAAAAATTAGCTGAGTGTGGCAGATGAGTGCCTGTAATCCTAGGTACTCAGGAGGCTGAGGCAGGAGAATCACTTGAACCCAGGAGGCAGATGTTGCAGTGGCTGAGATTGCACCATTGCACTCCAGCCTGGCAGACAGAGTGAGACTCCGTCTCAAAACAAAACAAAACAAAGCTGAGGGGTTTGAGTGCCTATGCTGACAATAATGTATGTACAAAAATGTTCAAAGAAGTTTCTCCAAACCTGAAACACCCCAAATTCCCATCAACAGAAGATTGGAGAAATAAATTGGTGATCTATTCATATAAGAGTACTATGCAATGATGAAAAGATTATATGCTCTGATTCCATTAATATATGGTTCAGAAAGAGGCAAAGCTGATCTATAATGAGTCAAATCATGATTCTGTCTGGTGGGGATATGGATTGGGAGGGTGCATGAGGGAACGTTTTGGGGTGCTGGAAATATTCCTTATGTGGCCTGGAGTGGTGGTTATAGAAATGCCTATTTATGAAAATGATTATCAAGCTGTCCATTGTGTGCTTTATGTACTCTGATGAATGTATGTTATACTTCTTTTTTTTTTTTTGAGACAGAGTCTTGCTCAGTCACCCAGGCTGGAGTGCAGTGGCGCGATCTTGGCTCACTGCAAGCTCCGCCTCCTGGGTTCACGCCATTCTCCTGCCTCAGTTTCCCGAGTAGCTGGGACTACAGGCGCCCGCCACCATGCCCGGCTAATTTTTTTTTGTATTTTTGGTAGAGACTGGGTTTCACCGTGTTAGCCAGGATGGTCTCGATCTCCTGACCTCGTGATCCACCCACCTTGGCCTCCCAAAGTGCTGGGATTACAGGCGTGAGCCACTGCGCCCGGCCTATACTTTTTTTTTTTTTTTAATGAAAAGAAATGCAGATTTTCATGTCCAAGAGAAGTAATAACAATAATAATTTATGGAGCACCCAATATGTGCCTGGTTGCTTTATAGAGATTATTTGCCTTAATCTATCCAAACCACCTGTCAAAATGATATTCTTTTCTTGTTAGAGAGGAGGAAACTGAAGCTTAGAGAGGGACAATAGCTTGTCTGAGTATCACAGCTGGTAAGTGTGGGAGTTAGACTTGAATGCCATATTCTGCACTGTTGCCACTTGGCTTGGGATGTTGAGAGTGAATCTTGGTACAGCATCAAAGCTCTCTGTGTTGCCTGCTACTCCCCCGGAGCATCAGATGTTGCAGACACCATTCTTTAAAGAGAACTTCATTGTGTGAACCCCAAGTTCCCCCACCTTCTTCAAAACAAAAACATGAATTGGGAAGCCCAGCCCCTTTATGAACCCTTTCCATGAATTTGTTCCAATCAGGAAAAGAGCCTGCAACTTCCTCCCCACCCTGTTCATCCTAACTGTTCTGTGTTGTGAATTCGCTGAGAATGAAAGGGGATGGGCTAGAGCTGTCAATACTGTGAGCCAGGCTTGAACTCCAGCTCTGCTCCTTTTAAACAGTGAGGCTCTTGGGTAGTTATTTAACTTCTCAAAGCCTTTGTTTCCTGGTCTGTGAAAAGTGACAGTGGTACTTCCCTTCTAGTCTCACTGTGAGAGTTAAATGCGGTCATATGTAAGAAGTGCTCAGCTCAGCGACAGGTTCATAGCAAGTGTGCAATAAAAGGTAGTGTAGAAATGTCAAAACTGGCTGGGTGCGGCCAGCCTGCAATCCCAGCACTTTGGGAGGTCAAGGCAGGAGGATTGCTTGAGTCCAGGAGTTCAAGGCCAGCCTGAGCAATATAGTAAGACCCCATCTCTTAAAAAGATAAATAAATAGGCCGGGTGCGGTGGCTCAAGCCTGTAATCCCAGCACTTTGGGAGGCCGAGGTGGGCGGATCACGAGGTCAGGAGATCGAGACCATCCTGTCTAACACGGTGAAACCCCGTCTGTACTAAAAATACAAAAAAATTAGCCGGGCGAGGTGACGGGCGCCTGTAGTCCCCAGCTACTCGGGAGGCTGAGGCAGGAGAATGGCGGGAACCCCGGGGGGCGGAGCCTGCAGTGAGCCAAGATCGCGCCACTGCATTCCAGCCTGGGCAACAGCGAGACTCCGTCTCAAAAAGAAAAAAAAAAGATAAATAAATAAATAAAGCTTTCACTTTCCTGGTGCCTAATTCCTTCCAAGCCTCTTAAAGAGGCTTAGCACCTTTGCCCTCTAAATAATTCAACACACATTTGGAAGAAAGAAGTTATGTGAATGGTTTCTTCACAAAGTGTAACATATAGTGAATAAATGGGGCAGAATTGCAGGACTTCAGCAAGGAAAGGGGGGCATTTTGAACTAGAGTGGTCAGATGGTGGTATTATTTGGCTGAGTCTTCAAAAATGGGTAGGATTTAGTCACAGAGAGAAGACCAGGAAGGTCATTCTCAATTAGGGGGAGGGCAGGAGGTAGTTTTTAGGAGCCAAGGTAAAGTTTGGGAAGGGTGAGCAGGTGATTTTGGTTGGTGCTTGAAACTTGTGTAGGGACTAGTAGAAGATAAAGTAGGAAAGGAGGCCTGGTTCCAGATGAGGTCCCATTAAGAAAGCTGGCTTTTTTTTTTTTTTTTTTTTTTGAGACAGGGTCTTGCCATGTTGTCCAGGCTGAAGTGCAGTGACAGGATCTTGGATCACTGTGCAACCTCTGCCTCCCGGATTCAAGTGATTCTTCTGCCTTAGTTTCCTGAGTAGCTGGGATTACAGTGTGTGCCACCACACCCGGCTAATTTTTGTATTTCTTTTTAGTAGAGGCAGGGTTTCACCATGTTGGTCAGCCTGGTCTTGAACTCCTGACCTTAGGAGGTCCGCCTGCCTCGGCCTCCCAAAGTGCTGGGATTACAGGCGTGAGCCACTGCGCCTGGCCCGAAAGCTGGATTTGTTTCTGTTGGAAAAGGAGTTGCTGAACTTTCTTGAGCGCAGGAGGTGTAAGATGAAGCCTGGGGCATGCAGGCCCACGTGGGAGGTGAGAGAGACCAGGCCAGGAGGCCCATGAGAGGACAACCTGCGCATTCATGGGAGTCCGATGGGGATGAGTTGGGTGTGACTCGGGGAGGAGGCACTGGGCTGGGACAGAAGATGTAGTAGTTAGGCTCTGGGAGACGACAGGGAGGGAAGGTGAAGGGCCATGAAGTCTCAAAGCCAGTTGCTTGGGTTCATGAAGCAGAAAGGGTTCATGAAGAGGAAAGGGAAGAGAGAAAGTCAGTTTGGAGATGATAATGAAAGGGATTTCTTAATGGCTGAGGCTGGAGGTGGCAGCTGTTTTCACGGTTCCTACCTTCCTCTGTTATTTGAATGTTCTTGGGAACACACTGTCCTCTTCTGGTCTCGGGCTTGTATGGGGGGCACCAAAAGGACAGACTCGGGCTTTATGCAAGCTTCCTTTCCACCCTTGCCGCACAGAAACCACACAGAGGGAGGCGTGGCAAGACCAAAAGAGACCCAACAGCAGGATCCTTTCCAAATCTATCCCTTCCAGAGGCAAGCATTTGTTTGGATGCCCTAGCAAGGAGTGGGGGGACCTTCTTTCAGTTGGTGCAAAGTTAACGAACCATCTTCTGATTTTATGGAGAGATGCAAATAGTGTGTTGAATATAAATCTCTTTGTTGTTGTTTTACAGGACTGTAGAAGCGGCCAGGAAGAAAACCACCCCCTCTTAAGGTTGTTTTTGTGACCGTTCTTTGGAGCATTGTTCTAAAAATGGGAAATTACATATTGCTGTGCCAAGGGCAACAAACACCTGCAGTTAAAGGAATACCTTCCGCGAGGCGGCTTTTCGGAGCATGCATGTTTATAGCTCCAGCCAGGCCAGACCGAGGGCTGCTGCATAAGCCCTGCTTGGTGCATTTCTTTACTTGCAAGGGGACAGAGTGTGGGCTTAGGTTTGGGACTAGAGGGGGCTTTGGCAACTATGGTGCTCAGGTGATTATCCTTCGCTCGTTTATCCAATAAACATTTATCAAGCATCTGTTCTTGTGTCAACCTTTGTGGTTTTCTCTGTTCCCTTCCCTGGCGTTGTGAGAATCCCTGGGAGAGTTGGCCACAGGCAGCAGCTTGCTGTCACTATTTTTTTTTTTTTTTCAGTTTTCAGAGTCAGCACATGACTGCTGCCTCCACATGACCGAGAACCCCCGCGCGTTCTCTCCTTTCTCTCTTTTCTTTCTCCCTCTTACACCCCTTGCTCCCCCTCCCCTTTCTCTTTCCTCTTTATTTATCTAAAAAAGGAGAAATGTAATCTTTTTTTTTTTGAGACAGTGTCTCACTCTGTCACCCAGTCTGGAGAGTGCAGTAGTATGATCTCAGTTCACTATAACCTCCACCTCCTGAGTTCAAGTGATTCTCGTGCCTCGGCCTCAGTAGCTGGGATTACAGGCCTGCCACCACGCCTGGCTAATTTTTGTATTTTTTTTTTTTTTTTTTTTTTTTAGTACAGACGGGATTTCACCACATTGGCCAGGCTGGTCTCAAACTCCTGACCTCAAGTGATCCACCTGCCTCGGCCTCCCAAAGTGCAGGGATTACAGGGATGAGCCACCATGCCCGGCCAATACATGTATTTTTTAACATGCCAATCGATACGTTTCTTCAGGCACACGCCTTTTCAAAGTTTCCTGTCACTGGGGGTCAGTCTGAAATTCTTATTCTATGGTAGCAGACGTTAAAGGATAACTTTCGATTATCTGGTTAATATTTAACTTTTATCAACATTGATATTGCAAAATAATCAGGTCTTGAAATTTATCAAGCATGAAATGAATACCATTCAGATGGATTTGTGGTTTAAGAGGAATCCAGTTTCATAAACGAGTCTCATCTTTTTTTTTTCTTTTTTTTTTGAGACAGAGTTTTGCTCTTGTTGCCCAGGCTGGAGTGCAATGGCGTGATCTCGGCTCCCTGCAACATCTGCCTCCTGGGTTCAAGCGATTCTTCTGCCTCAGCCTCCCAAGTAGCTGGGATTACAGACACCCGCCACCACGCCCAGCTAATTTTTGTATTTTTAGTGGAGATGGGGTTTCTCCATGTTGGTCAGGTGGGTCTCAAACTCCTGACCTCAGGTGATCCACCTGCCTCAGTCTCCCAAAGTGCTGGGATTACAGGGGTGAGCCACCGTGCCTGGCCAACTAATCTCATCTTTACCTAGAAACAGAAAAGCAGGGAACAACGGAATACGATGAACTTCAAACTTTTTTTGCATTTTGGTTAGAACTTCCTGCCCACAGAACATATGAATTCCTCAAATGGGTCAGCCACAGAGTAATGGGAGGTCTTTTTGGGGGTTTAGGGTCATGTCTCAGGGGCCACTTGGTTATTGATATGGTCCTCCTGGAAGCAGAGAGATGGAATAAAAAGGTCGGGAGGCCAAGGCGGGCAGATCATGAGGTCAAGAGATCGAGACCATCCTGGCCAATATGGTGAAACCCTGTCTCTACTAAAAATACAAAAATTAGCTGGGCATGGTGGCATGCATGCGCCTGTAGTCCCTGCTACTTGGGAGGCTGAGGCAGGAGAATCACTTGAACCGGGAGGTGGAGATTGCAGTGAGCCAGGATGGCACCTCTGCACTCCAGCATGGCAACAAAGTGAGACTCCGTCTCAAAAAAAAAAAAAAAAAGGTCTCGAGTCCTGTAATATACTTAATTTACTGTCTTGGCTTCCACCTTGGTTTCAATTTTTCCACTAGAGGGTCAAAAGTAGAATCCTGCTGCTCTGATCAAGTACTTGACGCAGATGTACATTCGAATGATTTATTTTCCTTTTGCTTTCTTGGGTTTTCTAATTTTTCTACAATGAGTGGCAAGATAACTAAAATGTGAATCATGCCTTCATAGGACTCACATTCTAGAGAAGGCAACAGTTAGAAGCAAACATGCTATAGTAAGATAAATACATGATTTATCCCACTGTAAATACATGCCCCAGATTAGGGGCGTGGAAGCTCAGCAGCAGAAAGAGCCCCTGAACCTCAGGGCACAAAGTGCTGGGTAGGGAGAACAGGGAGAAAGAGCCCACAGACTAAGTCGTGAAAGAATCTGAAGGGGGCCAGACTTAGCAAATGAAATACAGTATGCCCGTTAAGTGTGCATTTTAGATAAATAATGAAACAATTTTTAGTATAAGCATGTCCCAAGTGAGTCATGAAGGATGGAGTTTGGTTCTTCCAGGGACTTTGGGAAGGGAAAGCATTTCAGTTAGCGGGAACTGTTTCTGCAAAAGTGTGGAAGTGTGAATGGCATGGATTTGTTGCCTGTTTCAAATGTGAACGTCTGTGCCTCGACATGAATCGACAAGCCTTACTCAGAGGGCAGTTTTATTTCCGAGCATCATCCACTGCTGCACCCTCAAAGTGAAGGGTAGGTGGGAAGCAGCAGGATTTGAGGCCACAGTGGGAAGCAGGGCCACCATCTCCAGGAGCCTTTGATGATGGGTGAGGGGTTTGGACTTTATCCAACAGGGGACCAGGAAGAGGGAAGGATTTTAAGCAAAAGCATGAACTTCCTGTTTGATTTTTGGCAATCATGGGAAGGAAGTAAGACTAAAATCTTAGAGACTATTTAGGAGGCAGATTAACGGCCCCTCAAGGATCTCCACGTCCTAATCCCCAGACCCTGTGCATGTGTTAGGTTACCTGGCAAGAGAGAATTAGGGTTGCACATGGATGAAGGTTTCTCATCAGCTGACCGTGAGAGGGGAGGTTGTTTTGGAGTATCTGATGGGCCCAGTGTAATCACAGAGATCCTTATGAATGGAAGTGGGAGGCAGAAGAGGAGATCAGTGTCGGAGAGAGAATTGCAGAGGCTGCCCTGCTGACTTTGAAGATGGGGAAGGGGCCATGAGCCAAGTAATGCGGGTGGCCTTTAGAAAATGGAAAAAACAAGGAGACAGATTCTCCCCTGGAGACTCCAGAAAGAATGCAGCCTGCCAACACCTTGGTTTTTAGCCCAGTGAAATGCATTTCAGACATCTGGCCTCCAGAACGAGAAGATCATAAATTTGTGTGTTTTTAAGTTATTAAGTCTGTGGTAAGTTGTTACAGCAGCCATAGAAACTAATGTAGAGGCTGTTTGCAATGATCCAGGTCACAGATGGTGAAGGCTTGGAATTGGCAATAGGGTCAAGAGAAGGGGATAAGGGCTGGGCACGGTGGCTCACGCCTGTAATCCCAACACTTTGGGAGGCAGAGGCTGGCAGATCATTTGAGTCCAGGAGTTTGAGACCAGCCTGGCCAACATGGCGAAAACCCGTATCTATGAAAAAAAATACAAAAATTAGCTGGGCATGGTGGTGTGCGCCTGTCATCCCAGCTACTCAGGAGGCTGAGGGAGGAGGATTGCTTGAGCCTGGGAGGCGGAGGTTGCAGTGAGCAGTGATTGCAACCTTGCACTCCAGCCTGGGTGACAGAGTGAGACCCTATCTCAAAAATAAATAAATAAAAAAAAATAAAGGGATCAATTCCATGTAAGTTGAGATGGACTCAGAGACCGACTGGACGCCTAAGGTCAGGAGGTCAGGAGATCCCCCAGCCCAGCAACCCTTTCTCCTCTCCTGATGCCCCAAGGCCTGCTCCTCCTTCCACAGCTCCCAGGGAGCCTCTGATCAAGTCTCTATCCTGTCCCAGGGCTGATTAGTACCTACTTTTGTGACAGGGGCCTAACAGGGAATTCTTTTTCATTTTTATTTTTGAGATGGAGTCTCATTCTGTCACCCAGGCTGGAGTGCAGTGGTGTGATCTCGGCTTACTGCAACCTCGGCTCACTACAACTTCCGCCTCTGCAACCTCTGCCACTGCAACTTCTGCCTCCTGGGTTCAAGTGATTCTCTTGCCTCAGCTGTAGCGGGGACTACAGGCATGCGCCATCATGCCCGGGTAATTTTTGTATTACTAGTAGAGATGGGGTTTTGCCATGTTGGCCAGGCTGGTCTCGAACTCCTGACCTCAGGTGATCCGCCTGCCTCAGCCTCCCACAGTGGCTTGAGCCACTGCACCCAGCCCTAAGAGGGAACTCTAAAGGAAGCTCTGTAGGTATCTGCCTCGTGGTTACACACACAGGGTGGCTGTGAAACCGCCTTTGCAAAAATTACAACTGAGGAAATTATGACAGTGAAAGAGATCAGACCTAACCGACTCCATCTTCCTTCTAACCTTTAAGCTGTCCTTGTTCATTCCTGGGCATAGGCCTGAACTAACTTTGGGAAGGAATTCAGTTCATGTTTTGACTCTGAAACAAAATTGATAATAGCCATTTCCCTAAAAAAAACCCCATTCTTGCCTGTGGACCAGTCTGCCTTTGCAAGACTAACAAATTAGCTACAAGATTAGAAATTTAGTTTAGCGGTCATGCAGCCTCTGGCTCCAAGAGTCTGAGCCTCCCCAGATTGCTCCTGCAGATAACATCACTATTGTAAAACCTAAGATCAGTGCTTGAGATAGTTTGCAGACCCTGCATTCGATGGATCAGCTGACACAACCCAGACTGGTAATCTGGCTCAACCATTTCTGCCATCCTCCCCAGGAACAGAAGACAGCAAGAAAACCACACTTCCACCCCCTAGGATTCCATCTCCAGCCTGACCAATCAGCACTCCCTGCTTCCCAAGCCCTTACCCGCCAAATTATCTTTAAAAACCCCGATCCCCGAATGCTCAGGGAGACTGTTTGGAGTAATAATAAAACCCAGTCTCCCACACACCAGCTCTGTGTGAATTACTCCTTCTCCACTGCAATTCCCCTGTCTTGATAAATTGGCTCCGTCCAGGCAGCGAGCAAGGTGAACCCACCGGGCAGTTACAGCTATGGGCATATAACTGCAGGTATTTTCAGAGTTAACTAGACTCTTGTGATTAGCTGGGAATCCATTCACTTGATGGGGTAACAAATCTGAGTTCCAAACCCCCGGTTTATCAATTCCCAAGCTGGCAATCAATTCCCATGCTAGCTTAGCTAAATGTATTTTCAGATTTTTTTTTTTTTGGGGACAGAGTTTTGCTCTTGTTGCCCAGGCTGGAGTGCAATGGTGCGATCTTGGCTCACTGCAACTTCTGCCTCCCAGGTTCAAGCGATTCTCCTGCCTCAGCCTCCCGAGTAGCTGGGATTTCAGGCACCCACCGCCATGCCTGGCTAATTTTGTATTTTTAGTAGAGACAGGGTTTCTCCATGTTGGTCAGGCTGGTCTCGAACTCCCGACCTCAGGTGATCCGCCTGCTTCGGCCTCCCAAAGTGCTGAGATTATAGGCGTGAGCCACCGTGCCCAGTCTATTTTCAGATTTTTTTGCATGTACTATAGTTTTATAATTTTAGTTTGCTCATGGAAATATGTTGGGTGGCTAACTACTGATGATTCATCCTCACATTATCCCCATGTGCCTGTTGGTGTATTCTGAAAGTGCTTGGGAGGAACATCCCCTAATTACATGTTTCAGAATGCATTGTTTGTGTGGCCTCATCATCATCAATAAAACTTCTCTTGATCGTCTATCTGAAGCCATTTTGAGTGGCAGACACCCCTATGGTGATTACTGCCCACAAATCCCTTGGCTTTCGAAAACAGCAGGGCTTGCATCAGCTGCAAACTAGACATAATTTTATCCATATCATCGTGATAAGGCTAATGAAGGCTGGTTTTGCTTCTTCTTCCTGCCTCATGAGTCATTTACAGATATTTCTGTCAGGCTAACCTCAACTGTCTCTCATACACAACGGCAGCTTTCCTACTGATCAATTAGTCCAGGCACATTGACACAAGCCCCTGGATTTTGCAACGTGATGGCGGTGTTTGACAACTACCATTCTGCTTTAGCTTTCCTCCAGAGTAAGTTTCCTTTGGTTGCAGATTTCAGGGTTAACAGATACTTTCAAAAAGTTTTTCACTCAGATTCAGTTTTCTTGACAATGTGATCAAGAAATGTGGTCTTAGCGGGGCGTGGTGGCTCAAGCCTGTAATCCCAGCACTTTGGGAAGCCGAAGCGGGTGGATCACCTGAGGTCAGGAGTTTGAGACTAGCCTGACCAACATGGTGAAACCCCGTCTCTACTAAGAATACAAACAAATGACCAGGCACGGTGGCTCATGCCTGTAATCCCAACACTTTGGGAGGCTGAGGTGGGCGGATCACCTGAGGTCGGGAGTTCAAGACCAGCCTGACCAACATGGTGAAACCTGTCTCTACTAAAAATACAAAATTAGCCAGCCATGGTGGCATGCGCCTGTAATCCCAGCTACTTGGGAGGCTGAGGCAGGAGAATCACTTGAACCTGGGAGGTGGAGGTTGCAGTGAGCCGAGATTGCGCCACTGTACTCCATCCTGGGCCACAGAGTGAGAAACCGTCTCAAAAAAAAAAAAAAAAAAAAATAGGCCATAGCCTGAGCTTAGCCTGCTGGCCATAGTCTACAGACCCATGCTATAATACACGAGTAACTGGTGTGAGTAACTACACACAGACAGAAAAGCACCCAGTGAACAGTGCCTTCATTTCTCGAATTTCCTGCTTTCTGTCAACATGCATCACACAGTTACATGCTCTTCCTGTGGTTGCAATCAGTTTATCTTTGCATTCTGCTGTTTTAAAATTTAACGCCCATTTCTGTGGATTGGCATAGCCCACATTCTTGTGAATCACCCACAGTGATTCCTGCAGTGTTGTCCCCAGCCTCAAGCCTCTCTGCACCGTAATTGTGCTTCTTTTCCTCAGATACCTGCCTTGCATTGGCCCTGGGTAAATGTTTCCCTTGGCTGTGAATAGGCAATTAAAATTCTGAACCTTTTATGGCTCTGGAAGCTTATCCGATGAAACAATACTCATCCAGGCGGATGGCCCACCAGCGCAAAGGTATGTGCTTTAGGATGACCTGGTGAAGGAGAATGTGATGCCTCAGCAGGGAGGGAGTGGGGGAGGAGAGGGAGCTGGGCAGCCCCCATCAAGGCCCCACCGGAGGCAAGGAATCTCTTTTGGAGTTGCCAGTCCCCCAACCTGCTCCGGAATTTTTACAATCAGATCCCCTCCTTCGTGGCTGAAAATGAAGGGCACGGTGGCTTTCTAGTTTGTGTGTGTGAGTGTGTGTTTGGGGGTAGGTGGACTTTGCTCATCACCATCATTTGGATTTTTGGCTCTGGGGATTCTGGAATTAGGGATCCCACCACCACCTGCAGGGCAGGGGTTGGGGCACGGGCTCTGGAATCTGGGTTGTGTGAGGAGTAATTGAGAGATTGCAAGGCCCGGCGCGGTGGTTCACGCCTGTAATCCCAGCACTTTGGGAGGCCGAGGCTGGTGGATCACGAGGTCAGGAAATCAAGACCATCCTGGCTAACACCGTGAAACCCCATCTCTACTAAAAATACGAAAAATTAGCCTGGCGTGGTGGCGGGCGCCTGTAGTCCCAGCTACTCGGGAGGCTGACGCAGGAGGATGGTGCAAACCCGGGAGGCAGAGCTTGCAGTGAGCCAAGATCACACCACTGCACTCCAGCCTGGGCGAGAGAGCAAGACTCCGTCTCAAAAACAAACAAACAAACAAACAAACAAAAAACCACTACTGGCTGAGGGCGGGCGCGGTGGTTCACGCCTGTAATCCCAGCCCTTGAGGGGCCAAGGCGGGTGGATCACCTGAGGTCAGGAGTTCGAGACCAGCCTGGCCAACATGGAGAAACCCTGTCTCTACTTAAAACACAAAAATTAGCCAGGCATGATGGCAGGAGCCTGTAATCCCATCTACTCGGGAGGCTGAGGCAGGAGAATTGCTCGAATCAGGGAGTTGGAGGTTGCAGTGAGCTGAGATCATGCCACTGCACTCCAGCCTGGAGACAGAGCAAGACTCCATCTCAAAAAAAAAAAAAAAAAAAAAGATTGCGAAAGCGCCTGCCAGCACCTAAGCAATCAATAAGGGTTATTGGGTTGTGGTTTCTGCCTGGGGACTTTAGAAACCGGGCAGGTGGAGGTCAAAGGCCAGCCCCGCCAGCTCCGCATGGTCTTCTCCACCTTTGGGGCCATCTCAAGTTCTAGATTCCATGAACCTTGCCCTTGAAATCGTCTGGGAATGGAATTATTGCTAATCCCAAAAAGGCTGACACATCACTCCCTGGCAGGGTTCAACCGGGTGGCAACATGGTTTGTGTGGCTGCCCCTGTTTTCCCTCAGAATTCGGATTTTAAAACTTTCAAAATATGAGATTTTTATTTTATATATATATATTTTTTATTATTATTTTTTTTTCGAGTGCGATGGCACAATCTCAGCTCACTGCAACCTCCCAGGCTGGAGTGCAGTGGCGCGATCTCGATCTCGGCTCACTGCAACCTCCGCCTCCTGGGTTCAAGCGATTCTCCTGCCTCAGCTTCCCAAATAGCTGGGACTACAGGTGCGCGCCACCACACCCAGCTAATTTTTTATTTTTAGTAGAGATGGGGTTTCACCATGTTGGACAGGCTGGTCTCGAACTCCCGACCTCAGGTGATCCACCCGCCTCGGCCTCCCAAAGTGCTGGGATTACAGGAGTCAGCCACCGCGCACGGCCGAGATTTAAAAAATTATACGGATGACACCAGATCCTCAGAGCCGGAGCTCTGGGTGCCTCAGCCCCGACAGCGCGTCCGCTCCAGGACCCTGTGGACGATGCTGCCCCCTAGTGGCCGCGGGGCACAAGGCCCACCGGACCACGTTGCTCCATGGAGGGGCTCGAACTGGAGAGCTCCGTCTCTAACCCGCCGCCTCCTTCCGTGCCCTCTGCCGACGCCCTTCCGATTCCTGCAGCCCCTCTGCAGTCCTCCACCTTTTTCTTTCTTTCCTTTTGAGACAGGGTCTCACCTTTGTCACCCAGGCTGGAGTGCAGTGGCATGATCATAGCTCACTGCAGCCTGGAACTCCTGGACTCAAGAGATCCTCCTGCCTCAGCCTCCAGAGTAGCCAGCTCTACAGGCATGCGTTACCAAACTCGGCTAATTTATTTTTATTTTTGTAGAGATGGAGTCTCACTATGTTGCCAGGCTGGTCTTGAACTCCTGGGCCCAAGCCATCTTCCTACCTCAGCCTCCCGAAGTGCTGGAATTACAGGCATGAGCCACCAAGCCCAGCCAATCCTCCGCTTCTATTTAGGTGCTGTGGATAATGTGGCCCAGCAGGGGGCTGGCTGCCATGAAACTGGCCGGGGATTTGGGGGTCTTTATATCCACATGGATGCATCTTTAGGATGAGTTCTATTCTTTGCACATTTTGCTCTAGAGCAATTTTAAAAACCAATCAGCCACAATTTTTTTTTTTTTTGAGATGGAGTTTCACTCTTGTTGTCCAGGCTGGAGTGCAGTGTCACGATCTCAGCTCACTGCAACCTCTGCCTCCCAGGTTAAGTGATTCTCCTGCCTCAGCCACCCGAGTAGCTGGGATTACAGGCACGCACCACCATACCTGGCTAATTTTTTGTATATTTAGTAGAGATGGGGTTTCACCATGTTGGCCAGGCTGGTCTCGAACTCCTGACCTCAGGTGATCCTCCCGCCTTGGCCTCCCAAAGTGCTGGGATTACCGGCGTGAGCCACCGTGCCTGGCCATCAGCCACACTTTTTGAGCAGCCAGGGCTGTGTGGCTGGTACAAAGGTCTTAAGGTTGAAAGGGGCTTGGCTCTTTTTAAAAACTGAGGGCAGGGAAGGTGGGGGTGTGTGTGGGGACTGAGCAGAATGAAGGAGCCGTGGGAAGGAGGAGCACAGGAAAGACTGGTGAGGGGCCACTATCTATCGTCAGGATTTAGGATTTTACAATAAGAGCCCTAGAAAGCTTTGAAGGATGGGGAGGGACTTTGCACTTGAGAAGAATTCCTTTGGGTTGTTGG
The DNA here is from genome assembly GCF_000001405.40 of Homo sapiens. Lineage (NCBI taxonomy): Eukaryota > Metazoa > Chordata > Mammalia > Primates > Hominidae > Homo > Homo sapiens. The sequence goes on along the minus strand of NC_000011.10, from coordinate 62,423,698 downwards.
AGAAGGGATTGTGGGGGCCCTGGAGTCTGGCTGGGAGCCAGAGAGGAGGCCCCGGGGGCTGTACAGGCAGGGATGGGGGTGTTGCCTGTGGACTTGGAGTGAAGGATTCCAGAGGCCCTTTAGAGGTAGCCTGGGTTGGCTAGAGAAGGAAGGATCGCGGATGCTCCTCAGGCTGGTGCAGCCCAGCGGGGAGGATGGAGCCAGAACTCACTGAGATAGGAACAGACTGGGGCAGGATCACTGGTTCTGTTGGACAAGTGGAGTCTGTGATGTTGAGTAGAGTCTGTGATGTTGAGTAGATGGTCTGATATAAGGGGAGGGGGCTTGAGCTCTGTTGGAGGCAGAAACCTAGAGGAAAAGAGCTTTGGAAGAGCACAGAGATTTCTGCTGGGATCCAAGGGCAGAGCTCGGCTGCTTTCCTTTTGTCCTGGCTCACCTTACCCTGACAGGGGCAGACCCCCCACCATAACAAGGAGACCAAAACCACGCAGGGGGCACAAAAGTGAGATGCTTGTGGTTTATTGAAGAGAGCAAGGCTGGTGGGCGTGGACTCAAAGCATGGCAGCGGCAGAGGCTGGAGCAGTTGGGGATCTTCAGCTTCTAAATGCTAATTACACAGTGAGCTTTGGGCTATTTTTTCCTAAAACAAATAGACAAAGAAACAGAAAAACCCAATACAACAGTGAATGAATTGCATAGTTAGGCAGAGATGACGAGCCACAGAAACTTCAACATTAACCGAGAGGTGCAGTCAACTCTAGGAGGAACTAAGGTAGTAAGGGCTTGGATTGTTTCTCAAAAGCCTCTTACAAAATAGTAAGGGGAGGCTGGGCGTGGTGGCTCACGCCTGTAATGCCAGCACTTTGGGAGGCTGAGGCGGGTGGATCACCTGAGGTCAGGAGTTCGAGACCAGCCTGGCAAACACGGTGAAACCCCATCTCTACAAAAATACAGAAATTAGCTCGGCATGATGGTGGGTGCCTGTAATCCCAGCTACTCAAGAGGCTGAGGCCGGAGAATCGCTTGAACCTGGGAGGTGGAGGTTGCAGTAAGCCAAGATCGTGCTATTGCACCCTAGTCTGGGCGACAGAGCGAGACTCTGTCTCAAAAAAAAAAAAAAAAAAAAAGGAAGAGGAGATGTCTAGAAAGATCACTGTGCTGCCTGCCTGGGGACAGTGGCACTGTGACTCTCCTCTCTGGATTAGAAACAGGTCTGAAAACTGGGGCAATCCTGCAGCCCCACTTGGGGAAGCCACTTCTAACCAGTGTGACGTGAAAGGTGCTGGTTACCATGAGCTTAATGATGCTTTCTCTGGGCTTTTGGGGGAGGGTGTCCACCAGCTTCTTCAGCTGAGCCCCTGCCTCCCTCATGTCTTGATCAGGGCTGAAAAGTTCCATGGCAGCCTCATAACTGGAGGGTGTGTCCATGAGGAGGGTTTCGATGACACGCTGAAAGCTCGGGCAGATCTCTGCAGAAGCTGCAACACAGAGGAGAGAAGGCACATGTCTCCAGGCCCCTTTCCAAGCTGGCTAGCCCTCTGGCTGGGTCTGCCCAGATGCAAACAGCCAGGCCCATCAGCGAGAGATAGCAGCCTTTTCATCGATGGACTAGAGTGTAAGATTTGTGGATTGCCCGAGTCTTCCTTAGACTTCTTGGGTTGAGGTGAGCAAGGTGCCGTTTTTCTTTCTGTTGGAGATCAAGGCAGAGTATTGATCATAGAAGCTGCTGGCCTGATTTTTTAATGCAGTGTGGAGGCTGGGAAGAGGCCACTGAGGGTTTTATTTCCCACCAGAAACTTGCCTCTCATCAGTGGTTAGAGATGCCCTGAGCCATGCTTCACTGGGGGCATGTGACAAATTCAGGCTCTGGCAGGAAAAAGCGATTGTAAGCCAGGCACGGTGGCTCACACCTGTAATCCCAGCACTTTGGGAGGCCGAGGCAGGCAGATCACGAGGTCAGGAGTTCGAGACCAGCCTGGCCAACATGGTGAAACCCCGTCTCTACTAAAAATACAAAAAATTAGCCGGGCGTGGTTCTGGGCACCCGTAATCCTAGCTACTCAGGAGGCTGAGGCAGGAGAATCACTTGAATCCAGGAAGCAGAAGTTGCAGTGAGCTGAGATCTCGTCACTGCACTCCAGCCTGGGCAACAGAGCGAGATTCTGTCTCAAAAAGCAAGCAAGCAAGCAAGCAAGCAAGCAAGCAAGAGAAAAGAAAAAGAAGAAAAGAAAAGAAAAGAAAAGAAGCCATTGAGATTGTACCAGCCAAACATGGGCCCCCGAACCTGGCCGGGAAGAGGTGTGCACATGTGCACAGCGGGCCCTGTGGCACACTCAGCTCATGGACAGAGCAGCCACTTGTACCACTTCATTCCCTTCAACACAGAGCTTCCAGACTCTGTTTTCTTCTCAGGTCCTTACAACCAGGAACATGGGGGAAAGTCACCATTTTCTACCCACTGCTTGCCTCCATCTTCCCAGTGAGTCTCAAATCCCTTTTCCTTGAATTCTCTGCCTTCTGAACAAATTTGCCTTCCCTCCTCTGACTCTAGGGCCTCACTAGAAATTGCCACTCCAAGTCAGACCCTCTCCAGAACTTAGGTCCTTGATGTGTAACTTACTGTGTCACCAGGCAAGTCACTCTGTGTTTCTGTAGCTCAGTTTTCTCATCTGTAAAATGGGAACAATATCCCTACTTCATTTTATTTTTTATTTTTTAAATTTTAATTTAATTTAAATTTTATTTTTATTTATTTATTTGTTTTCAGACGGAGTCTCGCTCTATTGCCCAGGCTGGAGTGCAGTGATGCCATCTCGGCTGACTGCAACCTCTGCCTCCCAGGTTCAAGTGATTCTCCTGCCTCGGCCTCCCAAGTAGCTGGGACTACAGGCATGCGCCACCATGCCTGGCTAATTTTTGTATTTTTAATAGAGACAAGGTTTCACCATGTTGGCCAGGTTGGTCCTGAACTCCTGACCTCAAGTGATCTACCCACCTCGGCCTCCCAAATTGCTGGGATTACAGGCGTGAGCCACCGTGCCTGGCCCAATATCCCTACTTCATAGGGTTGTTGTAAGAATAAAAAGAGAGGCCAGGCATGGTGGCTCACGCCTAATCCCAGCACTTTGGGAGGCCTAGGTGGGTGGATCACGAGGTCAAGAGATGGAGACCATCCTGGCCAACATGGTGAAACCCTGTCTCTACTAAAAATACAAAAATTAGCTGGGTGCAGTGGTGCGTGCCTGTAATCCCACCTACTTGGGAGGCTGAGGCAGGAGAATCGCTTGAACCCGGGAGGCGGAGGTTGCAGTGAGCTGAGATCGCGCCACTGCACTCCAGCCTGGCAACAGAGCGAGACTCTGTCTCAAAAAAAAAAAAAAAAAAGAATGAAAAGAGATATTATGTGAAAGGGTGACAGTGATTGGCACATTGTGTGAAGTAAGTGTTAAATATTGTATGCATGTGCACACAAATAGACAAATGCATCTCTGACCCACCCCTTAACATGTTGCAGTCCTATCTTGCTCAGCCACCCACCTCTGTACGCAGACAGCACTGAGATCTTCTAATTAATACACATTTCAGTCCAAAATGATGTCATTTTCTCTGAAAAACAAATAAACCTCTCTGCAAAATAGTTGTTCCTACTGCTTCTTGGTTTGGGTTTTCTAACTCCCCAGGGTCATAAAACTTATCTCCATGGGTGTTGTGAAGCTTTCCAAGTGAATTAATTGGAGTTTGTTTATTAAAAAATAACAACAGCATTTTCAGATGAGAATGGAAGAGGCTGACGCAGAGTGAAAAACAGAGTTAGATAACCCAGTTCCCCAAAGACGGGGGATCTTGGAGAGAGCTGTGATCCTTCTTTCCTTCCTTTCTCCCCCTCTCTCCGTCTCTCTTTCTGCCCCTCTTCCCCCCACAGTTCTTTTCCTTTTAGTGACAGCAGCAACTACTCAGAGACTCCTAATCCCTTTTGCAGAGGACGGAAATGTTTAGAAAACTTCACTCTGGGTTGGCAGTTCCCCAAAGGGAAGCTCTCTTTCTGGAATATTCCTCTGTGCCCAGAATGAGAGACCTTGTCTTGGGTTGGGTTTCTTTTGGGGTCACGAGTCCCTGCAGCTCCCCTTCCAGTGACTTCAGCTGCCAGCATGGAGTGGAGACCCCAGACTTGGAGGCTGCACCAAGGTCTCAGCATCTTGGAGTCTGTCCAGATCTGGGATGAGGGCCTCATTATTCCTATGCTGGATGTACTCATCTTTATGGGGTATTCTCCACTCCTCCCTCCAGGCTATTCCATTCCCTGGGATTCTGAGGGTTGTTGGATATAGAAGATGGGACCCTTTTTAGGCTTCCTTACAGCCTGGGGCTCTCTCCAAGTTTCCAAGATGAGCTTGCTCACCAGACCCAGTTTTCTGAGACTCAGCATGCCCAGGTCCTCCCAGCAGCTCCAGAGCAGGAATGGGCAGCTCACTCCTTCTTCTGAGCAGAACTGGGGGGTCCTGAGAGTTCCTAAGTCCAGGAGGGAGGGAAGGGTCTCTGAGCACTCACCGGAGCTGCAGCAGAGAGCCAGTGTGACCAGGGTGAGGGTGACAGCGAGTTTCATGGTGGAGGAGGGGGATGCTCTGGCCCGTCTCTGGTTCCGTCTCTGAGTCTGGTGGGCTAGTATGAGACATGCCCAGCAAGGTGCCTTTTATATGCTCTAGGCAGCAGCACCCAGATGGGGAAGGGCAGGGCAAGGGCTCTACATAAGATACTGCACTATTTACTTGGCATTGGCTTGGTGGGATAGGTAAATATTCCCTTTTCTCAACCCAGTTTCTGTCCCCACTGAAACTGAGCTCACACAATGGGCCACTTGGGGGTGGAGGGCCGAGCCCTGCCTGGAGGCAGTGAAGGGAACCCAAGTCAGAGGATGTGGAAACCCAGCTGCCTGTGTCACTCACTGAACCTGGGCACTGGGGCAGTCCAGATCAAGAGAAGCAATTGTGGAGCCCACCTGGAGAAACTGAGGCCCAAGTTCCCTCACAAGTGGCAGGGACAGGACTAGGACTAGGACTCAGGACCCTGACACTCCACTGGGCTCTTTCATAGGCTCCCCTCTGAGGAGGGCGACTGAACCTTAAGCCAGGAAAGACACATGGTTTGGAGCATTGCTGTGGTCAGACTTCGGGGGCCCCTGGATTGAAGCATGTTGAATAAAAGGGACCCTTCCAGAATTCCCATCAGAAACCTGAGCCCTGCCCCAGGCTGGGTCTGTTCCCACCCAGAAGTGCTCTCAAGTCCTGTGCTCCTGATGGCCCAATTGGTGGGACCTTCAGTCCTTATCTCACTTGACCTCCCAATGGCCTTGACACCTGTGACTGCTTCCTTCTCGAACCATTCTCTCTCTTGCGCTCCCACGCCTCAGTTCTTTCCTGTTTTCCTTCTTCTGGCCATTCCTTCTTGTTCTCTTTAGATGTTTATTCTTTACTGTTCTTAAGTGTTGATGGTTCCCAGGCTTTGGCCTTCTCCCCTTTCTTGCCTCCAGTTGCCATTTCCTGGTTCTTCTCCAAAGCCCGGGCCTCATAGCACCTAACCTGGCCTGGTCAAAATCCCCTGACTCGACCTCCCTGCCTCCCTGCTAGCTCTCCTCAGCCATCCTCTGAAAGGCCATCAGAATGATCTTCCTAAAACCCACTGGTCGTGTCCTTCTTCTTGAAACCCTTAAACTCTTCCTTTTGCCTAAAGAATAAAATTCAAGTGCAATTTACAAGGCCCTTGCCCACTGACCTTTGCCTACCATTTGAACTTCATTTCTCCTCTCCCCCACACAACGACTTAGCCCTCTCTTACTATTTGTGGATTCGAGAATGTTCCATGTTTTTTCATGCCTTTCTACCTATGCACAAGCTAAGCCTCATGCCTGAATACACATTTCCTGCCTTGTCCACTTCGCCAAATTCTATTCGTACTTCAAGACTCAATCAAATATTGATCCATTCATTCATCCAATAAATGCTGACCACCTATGATGTGCCAGATGTGGTGCTAGGAGTCGGGAACTGGGGTAGATAGACATGGAGAGGCATTGCGTGGCACTTCAAGAACTCCTCAAAAATAAATAAATAAATAAAAATAAATAAACAAATAAAAGGCCAGACAGGGTGGCTCATGCCTGTAATCCCAGGACTTTGGGAGGCTGAGGCAGGTGGATCACCTAAGGTCAGGAGTTTGAGACCAGCCTGGCTGACATGATGAAACCCCGTCTCTACTAAAAATACAAAAATTAGCTGGATGTGGTGGTGGGCACCTGTAATCCCAGCTACTTGGGAGGCTGAGGCAGGAGAATTGCTTGAATCTGGGAGTCATAGATTGCGGTGAGCTGAGATCACGCCATTGCACTCCAGCCTGGGCAACAAGAGCAAAACTCCGTCTCAGAAAAAAAAAAAAAAAAGAAGGACCCCATTGTGCCTGAGGGCTTCGAAAGGGTTGCTGTGCCTGCAAAGGGGGCATTCAGGGGCCAGAGCACACAAGGCCTCGTTCTAAGGCCTTTACACTCAGAGTGGGAAGCTCTTGAAGGTTTTAATCAGGGAGTGACATGGTCTGATATCCCTTTCCTGATGAACTGACCCTGACTTGGGCAGCTGGGGGAATGGGGTGTTATTTCCTGACACAGAGAAGACTTGGGAAAAATAGGGTTGGGGGTGAAAATAGGGAGTGAAGCCTTCCCCGACAGGTGGTTCTGATGGGTGGTGACTCTCCCCATGGGCCTCTCTTCCCCCTCTGCTTACAGGGCCCATTATACAATATTTTAACTTTGCAATTCTTATTTTCTTGTATGACTCCTTTACTTGACTGACCTCCTTTAGGGCTGAGGCCGCTGTAAGCCAAGGTACGCAACGCTTGCTAAACAGGAATCCCTGGAATGAATCCATGCATGAGGCCTTTGTGCCATGTGACAGTTGAAGGCTGTGGTGACCCCGGAACCGTCCCACTCCGAGACGCCTTAACACCGGTAAGAGCACACGTTCTAAACTAGCAACCAACAAAGACTTGTCAAGTACGTTATGGTGTGTCCTTACAATGAAACGCTGTGTGGCTGAAAACAGAGAAAGAAGATCTTCTGAGCTGATGGTGAAATGATCTCCAAGGCAGACTGCAAAGGGGGAAAAACAAGGCATGAATAGAGCAAAAAAGAACAAAGAGAAGGCTGGGCGCGGTGGCTCACGCCTGTAATCCCAGCACTTTGGGAGGCTGAGGCGGGTGGATCACAAGGTCAGATTGAGACCATCCTGGCCAACATAGTGAAACCCCGTCTCTACTAAAAAAATACAAAAAGCTGGGTATGGTGGCGCTTGCCTGTAATCCCAGCTACTCGGGAGGCTGAGGCACGAGAATCACTTGAGCCCAGGAGGCAGAGGTTGCAGTGAGCCGAGATCATGCCACTGCACCTCCAGCCTGGTGACAGAGCATGACTCCGTCTCAAAAAAAAGCAAAAAGAATCCACATATGCATTTGCTTGTATTTGCATAAAGCATCTCAGAAGTGCCTTCTTTCTTTTAAGTTTCCTTCTGTGTCCCATCATCTGGGCTCTTGAGGTTAGCCCATCTTGAGGATTTCAGGTGTCTGCATCCCTCCCCTCTTAGGGACTGTTGAAAGGTGTAGCCTGCCTGTAACCCCAGCACTTTGGGAGGCTGAGGAGGGCAGATCAACTGAGGTCGTCGAGAGTTTGAGACCAGCCTGGCCAACATGGTGAAACCCCCTCTCTACTAAAAATACAAAAATTAGCCGGGCGTGGTGGCAGGTGCTTGTAATCCCAGCTACTTGGGAGGCTGAGGCAGGAGAATCACTTGAGCCCAGGAGGTGGAGGTTGCAGTGAGCCGAGATCACACCATTGCACTCCAGCCTGGACAACAAGAGCGAAACTCCATCTCAAAAATAAATAAATAAATAAACAAACAAACAAACAAAAGAAAGCTGTGGCCAATGGAGCTGAAATGGGCAAGGAAGATGAGCTGGACCACTGGGGGCACCTAAAGCCCATCCAGTGCCGCCACTAGTGGATCCCTCTGTGGGCAGTGGCTGGTCTGGCCGGGGCAGCTGTGATGGCTGCAGGGGTCTTAGGCAGGAGTCACATCACCCATAGCCTCAGACTCTGCTCTCTACTTTCCACCTTCATGGTGCGAGGTCCTGGGGACAGGATAGCTGGCTCCTGGGTCTTTGAGGAACTTAACAGCTAGGAGGAGAGACAGAGATGGGTGCAACTGATGGGAATGCTCTGTGGGGAGATGGAGGAAGTCAGAGAAGGAAATGGTGCTCCGGGAGTTGAAAGGGGGCTGCCCCCAGGCTGGGCGTGGTGGCTCATGCCTGTAATCCCAGCACTTTGGGAGGCCAAGGCAGGCGGATCACCTGAGGTTGGGAGTTCGAGACCAGCCTGAACAACATGGAGAAACCCTGTCTGTACTAAAAATACAAAATTGGCTGGGCTTGTGGTGGTGCTTGCCTGTAATCCCAGCTACTTGGGAGGCTGAGGCAGAAGAATCGCTTGAACCTGGGAGGCAGAGGTTGCGGTGAGCCGAGATCGCGTCACTGCACTCCAGCCTGGGCAACAAGAGCGAAACTCCGTCTCAAAAAAAAAGGAAAAAAAAAAAAAAAAAAAGAAAGGGGGCTGCCCCAAGAAAGGTAGCTGGGCAGAGGGGAGAGGGCACGTGGAGGGCTGGCATTTGAGCTGGCCTCTGGTGGATGGGTGATGCTGGTGGTTGGGGTGAAGCGGGGGATGTGCCAGGAGGAGGAAGCCACATGAAGGGGGCCCAGGCTCAGGAGGGGACCTGGCCATGGTCCGACATGCATGGGACAGATAAGCACACAGGTACAGTGGGAGTCTGGGGGCACCGGGGGCACTGGCCTTTCAGGTGCGAGGTTGGAGGTTTGCTCTGATTCTGGAAGGTACCTCGACTGCCACCACCAAGTGTCCCAGATAGGCTCTGCCATCTGGCCCTTGGGAGATCCTGCTTGGTGGCGGTGGGTGTTTCTCTCCCCTGCCTCAGGACCCTGCAAAGCCCCTGCTCTTCTGACCCTCTGCTTGAGATAGTGAGGCAAAAAGTGTGTTAGTCAAGGCTTGGAACTCAGAGCTTTTTTTTTTTTTTTTCTGGAAACGGAGTTTCGCTTTTGTTGCGTAGGCTGGAGTGCAATGGCACGATCTCAGCGGCTCACTGCAACCTCCACCTCCCGAGTTCAGACGATTCTCCTGCCTCAGCCTCCCAAATAGCTGGTATTATAGGCGTGCGTCACCACGCCCTGTTAATTTTCGTATTATTAATAAAGATGGGATTTCACCATGTTGGCCAGGCTGGTCTCCAAATTCTGACCTCAGGTGATTCTCCCGCCTTGGCCTCCGCAAGTGCTGGGATTATAGGCGTGAGTCACCATGCCTGGCCAGAACTCAGAACTTCTTAAACTCTAACACCTGCTCCTCAAATCCTTAAACTCTATACACTGTGAGTTCCAGGCCAGAACCCTCAAGCCTGACTTAGCATGTGGAGAGGACTGGGACCTGCTGTTTCTGGCCACATGTGGTCAGTTACCTACCTGGTCACCGTGCAAAGACAAACTGTTCCGAGGGAAGATAAGCCATGTGGCTATTAGTACCATGAGGATGGCAGTGAATCGGAACAGCTCCTGCCAAATCCTGCACCCCAAACCCTGTGTTGGCTGTGCCTAGATCTGGGGGAGCCCTGGTCCTTGGGTGGCTGAACCTTCCAGCTGGGGCAGTGGCTGGGGAGCCTGCTCTGAGCTCACCCCTTGCCCAGGCTCCAGCTGGGATGACGTGAGCACCTTTGGCCTGGCTCTGGCCTTTGAGAATGGAGCAGGAGAAAGAGCCTCTCCAGAGCCAGAAGCGGGAGGGTACTAAGGGGCCTGGAAGCCTCTCCTGGGTATTTGGACTACAAGGCCCTGGATCTGCTGGCCCCTCCTCCATGTATGGGATATGGTGGGTGCACATGTGGGTGCCAGGTTGTTGAGCCATGTTCAGTGCTCCTTGGGGAGCCCTGCCTATGTCCCCAGCTAGAGGTCTGGTGGCAATGGCAGGTGGGAGGGGTTGGGCCAGCAGCAGCCCCAGCCCATACTGCCAGAAGGCATTGGCTGAGGCCAGGTGCTTGCCCCCAGGTTCAGTGCTTGGTGTATTGTAATGAGCAGGAAGCTGGGGTGCAGTGTGCTGGCAGCTGGCTGGCTGCAAGTCCCAGCGTGGCCCAGACAACAGGTTGGCGGCCTGTTCCGAGCCTATCCATCCGGCTGGGCTGCTGGGGGAGGACTAGTCGGGCCATGGGCTTGGGTCAGCTCCCGGGGCAAGCCGTAGAGGTCAGCTTCCTCCCTCCACCCTGAGTATCCAGCTCTTCTAGTGCTCAGGAAATAACTCTTGAGCAGAGTAGGTTTTTCCTTAGGGGTTTGGTTCATTCTCTTCTGCCTTGGCAGCTCCTGGGGCTGACGCCTGCATTGATTGACCCAGGGACCTCCTAGGAGGAGCCTGGCAACCTCTGGACATTCCAGCCTTTCTGTCCACCAGCCACAATGCCTAGGGCCTGTGAGCCTTTAGATGGCCTCAAAAATGGTCATGTATCTGCTGGCTGCAAAACACAAAAAGAAAATCTCAAAATTGTAATTAATGGATATTGATAACAATTTCAACGAGTAAACTGCATTTTAGTTCAACTATTATGTAGTTGTATGCAAATGTAATAAAGTTTAAATTATATGTACCAAATGCATAATCCGTTTTTAGGGTCAAAATTATTATTATTATTATTTTTTGAGACAGAGTCTCGCTCTGTCACCCAGGCTGGAGTGCAGTGGCATGATGGCATGATCTCGGCTCACTGCAACCTCTGCCTCCCAGGTTCAAGCGATTCTCGTGCCTCAGCCCCCTGAGTAGCTGGGACTACAGGCATGCACCACCACACCTGGCTAATTTTTTGTATGTTTAGTAGAGATGGGGTTTCGCCATGTTGGCTAGGTTGGTCTTGAACTCCTGACCTCAAGTGACCCGCCCGCCTCGGCCTTCCAAAGTGCTGGGATTACAGGTGTGAGCCACCGTGCCCGGCCTATTATTATTTTCTGAGACAGGATCTTGTTCTGTCACCTAGGCTGGAGTGCAGTGGTGTGATCACGGCTCACTGTAGCCTCAAACTTCTGGGCTCAAGGGAACCTCCTGCCTCAATCTCTTGGGTAGCTGGGACTGCAGTTGTGTGCCACCACATCCGGCTAATTTTCTTTTTCTTTTCTTTTTTTTTTTTTTTTTTTGAGATGGAGTTTCACTCTTGTCATCCAGGTTGGAGTGCAGTGGTATGATCTCGGCTCACTTGTAACCTCCGCCTCCCAGGTTCAAGTGATTCTCCTGCCTCACCCTCCCAAGTAGCTGAGACTACAGGCAGGCGCCACCATGCTTGGCTAATTTTTTGTATTTTTAGTAGAGACGGGGTTTCACCATGTTGGCCAGGCTGGTCTTGAACTCCTGACCTCAGGTGATCAGCCCATCTTAGCCTCCCAAAGTGCTGGGATTATAGGCATGAGCCACCGTGCCTGGACACCTTTGATTTTTTCATGCTGTGGGATATCCCTTTTCATGGATGTAATGTCATCTTTGCAGGGATATAATGTAATTTAATTTTCCAGTGCCTTATTGATGGACGTTTGCACTTTTTTTTTTTTCCAGTTTTTCTGCTGTTACAAACCACAGAGCAACGCGTGTGCCTCCTCCCGCCCTGGGGACTCTTTCTGTGGGAGAGGTGCCTGGATTTAGAGGAGCGACCACTCTTCATTTGTAGGTACTCTCCCTAGCCTGGGAGCCCTTCAGCTCCCACTCCAGAGTGGTTGTTGGTGGTAATACGCCAGGCCTGGGGAAGCAGGAGTGGGAAGGTGTGAGAGGTGGGGGAGTGTGGTTGTCAACTGTTCTGATTTTCCACCAGGATCTTGGTCACTTTCCCAGTTGTCACTCGGCCCACAAACTAGGATGTGAGCAGCATATTAAGAATCTGCAGAGATGTTCCCGTCTGCCCGGCATATGGATGTCCTTCTGGGCTGCAAAGTGGCATCCTGTGGGCAACTCCCCCCACAACAACCAGCTGTGAGCTGTGCCCAGGCACAGAGGGACCTGGCTTTCCCTGTTTCTGCAGATGGAGCCCAGGGTTTCAGGGAGGGAGGGGGCAGGCTGGGACCTGTTGGGGATCTGGGCACTTTCTCATGCTCCTTGAGCTGCAAGTCATAGAAGGAGTGGGGTGGGAGCTGGGAATGTACCTTCCCAAGGCCACTGGCAGAACCAGCAGGCCCTTTGCTCTGGGATGAGCTCCCTCTGAGGGGTGGGGACAGTAAAGCGGACCGAAGTCCCTGTTCTGCGGGATGGAAACTGGCTCCCCTCCATTGTACAGGCCAGCTCTGGGGATTTGGGCAGCAGATTTGGGGTTGACAGCAGAATGACATGATCACCAGTTGACCTTGGCCAGGATGCCAGCTTACTTTCTCGCTTACTTCTGCAGGTTCTTTGTTCTGCGGGTGAGTCACCCAGGTCCTGCCCTCCGTGCCTGTCTGCCCTCTCCCACTTTCCCTGCCCTGAGCTTGTTCCCACTTGTAGATTTGGCAGGTCACTGCCAAGGCCCCTATTCCCCCAACATGGCCAGTGCCCTAAGGGTGGGTTGTACAGGGAGGAGCTGGCGTGGTCAGTAGACTTGAATCAGGGACAACTCGGCTGCTGAAGGCTGAGGGGGCCTTGCAGGGCTGCAGGTGCCTTGTGCACACAGGGAGTGGGTAGAGAAGGCAACCAGGGGCTCCTTCAGGCCTTAATGCTCTGCAGCCCAGTGAGGCTGTGCCCAGAGAGTCTGGCGAGGCCCTGGTCTGCTCCCCCAGCCAATGGCCTGATGCTGTTCCATCTGGGCACCCTGTCACTTTTCGTTCATCAGGGAGTACAGGGTGATTCAGGGTCTCAAATGCAGGTGTTCACAAAATGAAATAGAACTTCCCTCTATCCCCGTGCTTCTTTTTATTTTTATAACAAATATACATCGTTATATTTTATTTTTATATTTATGTATTTTATATATATGTGACATCTACTACATGACAGAAAATATTTATGGCCAGGCAAGGTGGCTTACACCTGTAATGCCAGCACTTTGGGAGGCTGAGGCAGGCGGATCACCTGAGGTCGAGAGTTGGAGACCAGTGTGACCAACATGGAGAAACCCCATCTCTACTAAAAATACAAAATCAGCTGGGGGTGGTGGCGCATGCCTGTAATCCCAGCTACTCGGGAAGCTGAGGCAGGAGAATCGCTTGAACCGGGGAGGCGGAGGTTGTGGTGAGCCGAGATTGCACCATTGCACTCCAGCCTGGCAACAAGGGATAAACCCCGTCTCAAAAAAAAAAAAAGAAAAAAAAAAAGAAAAAAATATTTATAATGTAACTAATATAGCTAAAATAAAATGTAATTTCAGTCTCAAGCCTTCATTCTGTTAAGGGGACAGAAACTTAATCTTGGTCATCTTGGGGTCTCCCTCCCTGGGGCTGTGCCTGACTTCCAGGGGGCTCGGCGTTGGCAGGATTTCTGGTGCTTGAGGTCACCTGTCAGCCTGTCTCTTGTCATTGGCTATCCGCCGTGCCATCTGCTCCTGTGTGTCCTTGGCACTGTTCGCATGTCTCCAGCTCGCTGGCTTTCTCTGCCACCTTGGAGCCACTCCTGGGTGCACAGGAGTCTTACTGCTCCCACGCTGTGCTGGGGCCTGGGAAGACTGCTGTGGCCTACCTGCCTCCGTGTAGCACACACACCCATTTCTTCTTCTTCTTCTCCTTCTCCTTCTTCAGACAGAGACTCACTCTGTCACCTAGGCTGGACTGCAGTGGTGCCAAATTGGCTCACTGCAACCTCCGCCTCCCGGGTTCAAGCGATTCTCCTGCCTCAGTCTCCCGAGTAGCTGGGATTACAGGCACACGCCACCATGCCTGGCTAATTTTTGTATTTTTAGTAGAGATGGGGTTTCACCATGTTGGCCAGGCTGGTCTCGAACTCCTGACCTCAAGTGATCCACCTGCCTCAGCCTCCCAAATTGTTGGGATTACAGGCGTGAGCTGCCATACCCAGCCTGTTCTTGGAGGGCTCTTCTCTCTGTTCTCAGACTCTTCAAACCCACTCAGGAGCTCTGCCACCTCACTAAGGCTTGGTCTCTCTGGTAGCTTACCTGGAGAATTGGACACCTGGGGAGGATCATTTTTTAATGATCCTCCTGAGTAGCTGGGACCACAGGCAAGTGCCACCATGCCCTGCTATTTAAAAAAAATTTTTCAGCCTGACCAACATAGTGAAACCCTATCTCTACTAAAAATACAAAACTTAGCCGGGTGTGGTGGCGGGTGCCTGTGATCCCAGCTACTCAGGAGGCTGAGGCAGGAGAATGGCGTGAACCCGGGAGGCGGAGCTTGCAGTGAGCTGAGATCGCGCCACTGCACTCCAGCCTGGGCGACAGAGCGAGACTCTGTCTCGAAAAAAAAATTTTTTTTTTGTGGAGATGGGGGTCCCACTATGTTGCCCAGGTTGGTTTTGAACTCCTGAACTCCAGCAATCCTCCTGCTTTGGCCTCCCAAGGTGCTGGGATTACAGTCATGAGCACTGTGCCTGGCTGATTTATCCAATAGTTTTTATATTTACCTAACCAGATTTTGATATTTTGGTTATCATCTGATATAGTAATATTTTATGTAAATTATTGAGTAACGCCAGGTGTGGTGACTCACTCCTGTAATCCCAGCAATTTGGGAAGCCGAGGCGGGTGGATCACCTGATGTCAGGAGTTCAAGACCAGCCTGACCAACATGGAGAAACCCTGTCTCTACTAAAAATACAAAATTAGCCGGACATGGTGGCGCATGTCTGTAGTCCCAGCTACTTGGGAGGCTGAGGCAGGAGAATCGCTTGAACCCAGGAGGTGGAGGTTGTGGTGAGCTGAGATCATGCCATTGCACTCCAGCCTGGGCAACAACAGGGAGACTCTGTCTCAAACACAAAAACAAAAACAAACAAACAAAAATTCTCGAGTACCCAATAAGTAAATTTTTTTGAAACCAAAATGTCTATAAAATCTATAAAAGGTAAAATTTAGGCAACTACTAAATGGTACCATTGATGTGATGTTTTACTTTTTTGAGTTGTTCTTTAGTTCTAAAACAAATACCATTGGGAAGGAATATTTCAACTGTAAAGATATTAAAATACAGTAAAATATTTCCTGTATGAACTAAAATGTTCTCTTAACAAATATTATATCATACACTCTATCATTATTTTGAATGTGTTTTTTTTTTTTTTTTGAGACGGAGTCTCGCTCTGTCCCGCAGGCTGGAGTGCAGCGGCGCGATCTCAGCTCACTGCAGGCTCTGCCTCCCGGGTGCCCACCACCACGCCTGGCTAATTTTTTTGTATTTTTAGTAGAGACGGGGTTTCACCGTGTTAGCCAGGATGGTCTCGATCTCCTGACCTCGTCATCCGCCCGTCTTGGCCTCCCAAAGTGCTGGGATTATAGGCATGAGCCACCACGCCCGGCCCATTATTTTGAATGTTAAGCCCACATAGAAACTCTAAGTGGTCTCATAGAAGAACAGAATTGGAGTCCAGGTGCGGTGGCGCACGCCTGTAATCCCAGCACTCTGGGAGGCTAAGGCGGGTGGGTCACTTGAGGTCAGGAGTTCGAGACCAGCCTGACCAACATAGCGAAATCCCGTCTCTACTAAAATTACAAAAATTAGCTGGGTGTGGTGGTGCACACCTGTAGTCCCAGCTTTTTGGGAGGCTGAGGCAGGAGAATTGCTTGAACCTGGGAGGCAAATGTTGCAGTGAGCTGAGATCATGCCACTAAACTCCAGCCTGGGTGACAGAGGGAGACTCCGTCTCAAAAAAGAAAAAAAAATAAAAAGGGACACAATTGAAGCAACTCAAGTTCTACTTCTTGGTCTTTGCAGTCACTGTGCTTTTGCTGCTTATGTTGAATCTGTTTACACACAGGCATGGGTAGCACCCAGGAGGAGTTGAGATGAGAACCAACTCTGAAGCCGCCTCCAAGGATTTTAGACCTTCATGAATTTACTCATGAATTGAGTTAGCTGGGCAAAAAAATGAGTAGGCAAAATGATGGCATTGTACCCTATAAATATATAGAATTATTACTTGTCAATATAAACAAATAAATCTGTATTTTTAAAAGACAAATGAACCTGTTGGGGATCACCCGTATAACTGGGAGTTCTGAGAAATAATTTCCATGTCAAATATAATGTCTACTTAAAAATAAGTAATAAACATGTTAATTTCTAGCTTGCATATATTATTATTATTATTTTGAGACAGGGTCTTGCTCGTCGCCTAGGCTGGAGTGCAGTGGCGTGATCATGGTTCACTGCAGCCTCAACCTCCAGGGCTCAAGCAATCCTCCCACCTCAGCCTCCCTAGTTGCCGGGACTACGGGCATGTGCCACCATGCCTGGCTTTTTTTTTTTTTTTTTGGTAGAGACAGCGTTTTACCATGTTGCCCAGGCTGGTCTCAAACTCCTGGGGTCAAGCAATCCTCCCGCTTCAGCCTCCCAAAGTGCTGGGATTACAGGTGTGAGCCACTGCTCCCAGCCTTATCATTGTTTTTAAAGCCTTTTACAGAAGGTCACTGGTCTCAGCAGGGACCAACACTTAGTAACTCTTGCTCTTTACCTCCTGGCCACCCTGGGAATCCTTTTCTTGTCTGGGGGTGGGGTGGGGGTTCTGGAAGCCTGACTCTTACACAAAACCAGCACCTGCAGGTCTTTCCATTCCTCCAAAGGACTGGGCTTTTGAACTGTACAGCCAGGAAAAGACTCCCTCTTCCTCTATCCTTTCCCTGGGGAAAGCAGCCTTTCCCTGGGGCTGCCTTGGCTTCCAGAATCAGGGGAAGTTCTAAGAGAAGAAAGGAAAATAAGGCCAGGCCTGGTGGCTCATGCCTGTAACCACAGCACATTGGGAGGGCTAGGCGGGAGGATCACCTGAGGTCAGGAGTTCAAGACCAGCCTGACCAACATAATGAAATCCCATCTCTACCAAAAATACACAAAAAATTAGCCGGGCATGGTGGCGGGCGCCTGTAATCCTAGCTACTTGGGAGGCTGAGGCAGGAGAATCACCTGAACCCGGGAGGTGGAGGTTGCAGTGAGCTGAGACTGTGTCACTGCACTCCAACCTGGGCAACAAGAGCGAGTCGACTCCATCTCAGAAGAAAGAAAAAAAAAAAAAAGAAAAAGAAAGGAAAATAAGAGGAAAGATACTATGGGTTAATGTTTCCAAAATTTGCCAGTGCAAGAGGAACAGCTTGGATGGTCTCGGCAGCTGCCTCTGGCTTGCCCCAAATCTGAACTCCTGGGAATTCTATCCTCTAGTCACTGGCCTGGGAGAAAGTAGGGAAGAGCTACTCCACCCTCTGCTCTGGAGAAGAGATCTCAGGCCTAGAGAGGAGCTGTAATTGATGGGAAGTCGCATAGAGAGTTAGGGGCAGAGCCAGAAATGGTATCAGGTCCTAGGGTCCTCACTCTAGGAGTCTTCCTGCTGTTCTGAGCTGCAGAGCATAGCTCTGTCCCTGCCGTTTATTGCTCAGCTGTAAATGCACGCAACATCTTACCAGCAAACACAGTTCAATGCATTTATGCTCTGAACTTGATGCAGCTGTGGGGCTTATAAAAGCTGAAAAACAAGCACTACTGGCTGCTATTTGCTTTCCTCTAAAATCACTTGTGGGTCTTTCCTGGGTGGATTCATAATGCCAGAAAATATGATAACTGGAAAACATGCATCCCCCAGCCCCAAGGGCTGGAAATGGAGATGCCCTGGTCAGGCAAGGGGCAAGTGTAAGCAACCTGTTCCCCAGGGTACTGGGAGGGGCCCGGGCCTGGGTGAGGGGGCTACCTCTGGCTCAGCAGGGGATTCATGTCCAAGGTCAAGGTTGCCATCCACAGTGGCCCCATGAAGTCCGTTCTCCCGTAGCAACCACGGTGATCTTTTTTTGTTTGTTTGTTTGTTTTTTTTTTTTTTTGAGACGGAGTCTCGCTCTGTCACCCAGGCTGGAGTGCAGTGACACCATCTCGGCTCACTGCAAGCTCCGCCTCCCAGGTTCATGCCATTCTCCTGCCTCAGCCTCCTGAGTAGCTGGGACTACAGGCGCCCGCCACCACACTCGGCTAATTTTTTGTATTTTTAGCAGAGACGGGGTTTCACCTTGTTAGCCAGGATGGTCTCGATCTCCTGACCTCATGATCCGCCCGCCTTGGCCTCCCAAAGTGCTGGGATTATAGGCGTGAGCCACCGTGCCCAGCCAGTGATCTTTTAAAAATGTAAATCAGGTCATGTCCCTTCTCTGTGTAAACTCTTCCTGGCTCCCCATAACACTTAGAATAAAACTCCAGACCTCATGTGACCTGTTCCCACCTGTCTCTCCAGCCTCATTTTGTGTCACTACCGCCATATCCCTCTAGCACCCTGTGGCCACACTGGCCTCCTTACCTCCAGGGTAAGGGACACCCTCAGAGCACCTCCGGCCTTCACTCGTTTCCCCTCTGCCTGCCCTGCCTCCTCCAGTTTATTTCCTGATTGCACCTTGTTCTCATCATAGGTAAGTCTTCTCTGATTACCGTGGGGCACCCTCCCCCACCCCCTGGGATCCCAGGGTCTGGCTTTCTTCCCTTCATCACCTTTGTCACCGTCTGAAATGATTTTGCTTCTGTGTTTCCTTGTGTAATTATCTACCTCTCCCTCTAGAATGTAAGCTGCATGCTCACCTTCGATTCTCCAGGGCCCAGCTACCTGGTAGGTGCTTATTAAATATTTATTGAATGGATGATGGGCTCTGAGCCTTTCACCCTACAGCCGCATTTCCAGGTGTTCTGGGAGCATCAGTGGGAAGGACGTGTCCAGTGCTCAGAGCAGTGTGTGGTACATACTAAATACTCAGCGTCCCACCGTGACAACAGCAGCGATAACCAACACCTCCATTCTGCCAGGCCCTGTGCTAAATGCAGTATCTCATTTAACCTTCGCAGTGATCCTCTGAGGTAGGCACTGCTCCTGTCCCCATTTTAAAGATGGAGAAACTGAGGCTTAGGAAGCTGCCCAAGGCCCTATAGTCAGCAAGGAGAGGAGCTAGGATTTAAACACCAGGAGGCTGCCCAAACCCACTGTCCATACCTGCCTGCTGAGTTCACTGTCCAAACCCACTGTCTACACCTGCCCTGCTGAGTCCATTGTCCAAACCCACTGTCTACACCCGCCCTGCTGAGTCCGTTGTCCAAACCCACTGTCTACACCCGCCCTGCTGAATCCACCATCCTCCAGCCCTACCTCACCTCTCCCCTCGCTTGCAGCACCGGTCCCTGCTGGTTGCCTTCCGTTAAGCATCCTCATCTTGAGGCTGAGTCCTTCTTGCTGTTCATAGAACCTCTGTACACCCTGAGTCTCAAAAACTGTTGCTGGGTGAAATGGAATTTAATTCTGGCCCTTCTTCCCCCCACCTGAAGCCCCTTCCGTTTTGGTTCCCTTCTTTTCTTTCTTTCTTTTTTTTTTCTTGAGACAGGATCTCCCTATGTTGCCCAGGCTGGAGTGCAGTGGCGCAATCTCAGCTCACTGCAGCCTCTGCCTCCTGGGCTCAAGCAATCCTCCTGCCTCAGCCTCCTGAGTAGCTGGGACTACAGACATGCATCACCACGCCCAGCTACTTTTCGTAATTTTTTTGGTAGAGACGGGGTTTTACCATATTGATCAGGTTGGTCTTGAACATTTGAGCTCAAATGATCCACCTGTCTCGGCCTCCTAAAG